>NC_000014.9:37490500-37793531 GCF_000001405.40 Homo sapiens
AAAAAAACTCCTGCAGCTAGCTCGGTGTCTGCCCAAACGGCCACCCAGTTTTGTGCTTAAAACCCAGGACCTTGGTGGCGTAGGCACCAGAGGGAATCTCTTGGTCTGTGGGTAGCGAAGACTATGGGAAAACCTCAGTATCTGGGCCAGAATGCACGGTTATTCAGGCTCAGTCCCTCACAGCTTCCCTTGGGTAGGGAAGAGAATTTCCTGACCCCTTAACACTTCCCAGATGAGGCAACATCCCACCCTGCTTCAGCTCACCTCCATGGGCTGCACCCACTGTCCAGTCAGTCCCAATGAGATGAACCAGGTACCTCAGTAGGAAATGCAGAAATCACCTGCCTTCTGCGTTGATCTCACTGGGAGCTGCAGCCTGGAGCTGTTCCTATTTGGCCATCTTGCCAGCAAATCCTCCATTTGTTTCTTAATTGCATCTTCTATTTCTTCCATCTCCTCAAAAGCAGAAGTCTCCCTTCTATTAAATTTGACAGTATAAATTTTTCATTTTAGTGATGCCCATACAATTATATTTATGTGTTATATGACAAAATTCAAGATAAACTTTGTTGCCTGAGAACTATACAGTGGTATATAAATATAAGTGGCTTTGTGAGTATAATGTCCTACCACTCTGCTTCCCACATCACCAAATTTATGAAGCACACAGTATACTCTTAGATAATCAGGAGCTGGCCCTACATTAATTCCAGGTACTGTAGTATATTTAATAGTTGGATATTTCTGGCCAGGCGCAATGGCTCAGGCCTGTAATCCCAGCACTTTGAGAGGCCGAGGTAAGTGGATCACTTGAGATCAGGAGATCAAGATCATCTTGTGCAACATGGCGAAACTCCGCCTTTACCAAAAATACAAAAATTAGCTGGGTGTGGTGGCATGTGCCTGTAGTCTCAGCTACTCAGGAGGCTGAGGTAGTAGAATCGCTTGAACCCCAGAGGTGAAGGTTGCAGTGAGCTGAGATCATGCCACTGCACTCCAGCCTAGGTGAAAGAGCAAGACTCTGTCTCAAAAAAACCTCCAAAAATTTAGATATTTTTTAATGCTTCCTTAGAATTATTTGTATAGGTTGTTACATTTCTAAACATGAATTCAACAGATATTTAGTGAAACCCAATTTATATTGTGAAATGTAGCATCCAGAAAACTTGTAATAAATATTAATAAATATATTGACAACTTATCCAGTTTAAAATTCTTGAAATTTTAAGTTCAGTATTAATTGACTTACTTTATAATAAAGAAATTATTTTTTCTCTGAAAGTACTTTAGCAGGTTATTTTATTAAACTAAACCAACTGCAGCAACAGTGGAAGCAAATCATTGAAGTTACTAGACTGTCTGATTTGCAGATTAAATTTCCTCATACACACTCTTATCCATTCTGAATATATTTCCCTCTCTCTGTATGTCATTCAGAATTAAGGCCTATTATACTGGAGCATATGCTGATTTCCTTAAAAATAAGTGAGCAAGTTAGTGATTTTCTTTTTTCAATTAAAAATAATATTTAAGATGGGGTCTCACTGTGTTGCTCAGGCTGGTCTAGAACTCCTTGTCTAATCCTTCTGCCTTGGCCTCCCAAAGTGCTGATATTACAAGCATGAGCCACCATGCTCAGCTTCAGCTATCTTCTTGAAAGGGTCTTAGCAAATTAATTGATGTAGTAAACCAGGAAATAAAAGTAGACATTATCCTTTCAGAAATGTATTCTTAGGAAAAAGCAGCACATACTTCTACATTTCATATTTGCTTAGGTTTTATTTATTTTAATTCAGTAAAACAAGCCAAACCTGCCCATTTTTTAAAAAAGAATGATTTAAGAATGTTATCAGTAAGTGAACAAAGGTTGAGAAAACTAGTTTCCTTCTCCCAATTCATGAAAAACCTGTAGGAACAGGCAGTTGTTTTTCTCAGTAAAATGTTTATAAAATACTTGAGTATTGTGTAACATTTTTGTACAAAGTTAATTAGATATAAGTAACTCCTTTTAAAAATTATACAGATATGAATGCGTATTCTTTGGCAGGTATTGTGCCAGTTATTTTCACATATGTAGATCACCTCATTTCATTCTCATATGATTTCCATGATATTTTTCTCATAGTTTTCGAGTTGAAATTAATATTCAGTAGGTAAGTTTTTTTTTCCAATGTCACTCAGAGTGAATGACAAGACTGAAATTTGAATCTTTATCTTCTAAGTTCAACCCAACATCTCTTCATCTACACCAGTTTCAGCATTGTTGACATAGTGGTCTGGATAATTCTCTGTTGTAGGAATCTATCCTCTGTTTAGCAGCATCTTTAGCTTCTATTCACTAAATGCTAGTACCATCTCACCCTCCCCGCCACCCCCACCAGTTGTGACAAAAATGTCTTCAGATGTTGCAGAATGTCCTCTGAAGAACAAAATTACCCCTGGTTAAGACCTACCTACTGATCTATATTGTTGTACCTCATCTCTAAATTTTAATCCAAAAATATTTATCCAATTAAAATAAATAGCATATATACAACACACTAATGATTGAGCAATTACTGTAAAATAAATGAAGCATAAACAGAATAATAAGTGCATATTGTAGGATGATGAGTAAAATGATTTCTGTAAGGACTTGGCCAATACCTGATCATGGAGACAAGAGAGGAAGTCAGGAAAAGTAGCATCAAAACTTGGTATAAATGGAAAAATACTAATTGCAAAAGTAAGCTTAATCCATGTTTAACATTACAATTAAGATAGAGTTCAATGAACAGGTAGGCAGACAAGTTGAAGAGAATATAAATATCTGCAAGCAAAACATATAAGTGGCTCATAAACCTTATAATTCCAAGTTACATTAAGCTGAGGTGGCATAGAGAGTCAGGGACCAGGAAAATAGTCAGGGCCACAGACATAAAGTAATAGACCAGGGAACGTAGAAACCAAGACAGAAACCACTTCAGACAGGAAATCTATTACATGGCACTCACTGGAGTAATACACATTAAGGACATTTTCTACCTTGGCCTGCCATTGGACTCAATGTGGTGAGCAACAAAGGAGATAATGTGCAGGCTTATTTGATGTGAATTAGAAATATGATCATATCAAACATTAGTAAGTAAAAATATTTTTAAAGTTTTACTTTCTACACTAAATTATAAAACTTAAATTTATAAAGAATTATATAATTTTAAAACTGGAAGAGCGAATTTAAACTTTGCTTATCTTATTACCTCATTAGCTTCCTGGTTAACAGAAATAGTTAACATCCTATGTGGATATTGTGTAAGTTGCACTATTGATTACATGCTTTAGAATTTCTGAGAGTGATTCAGTGACTCTTTGGCTGTTATTTCATCATTTATGCTTACTGTAACTTAAAATATGTTCCTATACAACTTAAGTGCCTTTGAGGAGTTATAATACTACTACTACGCTGAAAATGCACCTGAAAATTAGTAACTTTGGAAAGAGGGTAAATGTAATATGTCTTTGTGAAGAAAGCTAAACAAGCGGGCCTTGTTGTCAGTTAAGGAAAGACCATTCTGAGGAAGAAGTACTAAAGCAAAAATTGTGCTTCAGTGGTTACAGATTTATAAATGCTTGGAATATAGCTCTCCTGCTTCACCTTTATTCCTATTGGAAAATTCCTTAGAATTATAGATGTTTTGATTTACTGAAGTTCTTAAGGAATGTATTCTTCCCATAAAATAAAATTGCTATATATAAATGAAGTATTAATATGTTAGAATTGGGAAGAAAACCACAAGATGAAATGGAAAAAAACTACAAATTACAAGTTCTGAGAAGGAAGAGTAGGATCTATGAGACAGACTAACAAAGAGGAAAATCAAGATTTAGATTGAAGACCCACGTAGGTGTATCTAAGAAAGTGATATTTTTGCTTTGTCTTACTGGATAAGTAAGACTTTGTCAGGTAGAAGCATGGGTGGAAAGGCATTCCAAACAAATACCTTCAGCAGAAAAAACTTGACACGCTTGAGAATCTGAATGCCTAGCTAAAAGGTGAGGAAGGAGGTAGAGAGGTCAGTGATGCAGGGCTTTATAGACCACAGCAAGTATAGAAGAGGTTTCCAGTGCAGACATAAAGACTGTAGGTTCAAATTCTGGCTCTGCTACATGTATTAAATTACTTATCTCTGTTTCCATTTGTATCAGTAAAAAAAGGAATATTAATAAGACTTCTCATGCAAGTTGTGACATTTAGTGAGTTAACATATAGCATTTATTATTTTTAAAGACTGTTTTCTGAATGCAAGGACATGCTATTGCAGGTTTTTAAGTGACATTGTCTACTTCCATCTTTTTAAAAAGATCATGTCCATTGCTTGGGAAAGCCTTGATGGTAATTAACAGGTTTCCAAGGTATTTTGAATGCTAAGCAGCTTTTGAACTTGCGGGTACAATCCAAACATGTCCATCTGAGAGAAAAATCAAAATCAGGTATAAATTTGCCCCCTAAAAATTAAATGATAGAAGACTAGAAAGTGAGGAGTGATTAGGAAATTAAATCAGGATGCTCATAATTTTCATAATGGTGAGACTTTTAAAACTTAATCATTGATTCTTTTTTTTTCTAGGTAATTTTTCTTTTTTTTTTTTTTAATATTTTTTTTATTATACTTTAAGTTTTAGGGTACATGGCACATTGTGCAGGTTAGTTACATATGTATACATGTGCCATGCTGGTGCGCTGCACCCACTAACTCGTCATCTAGCATTAGGTATATCTCCCAATGCTATCCCTCCCCCCTCCCCCCACCCCACCACAGTCCCCAGAGTGTGATGTTCCCCTTCCTGTGTCCATGTGATCTCATTGTTCAATTCCCACCTATGAGTGAGACTATGCGGTGTTTGGTTTTTTGTTCTTGCGATAGTTTACTGAGAATGATGATTTCCAATTTCATCCATGTCCCTACAAAGGACATGAACTCATCCTTTTTTATGGCTGCATAGTATCCCATGGTGTATATGTGCCACATTTTCTTAATCCAGTCTATCATTGTTGGACATTTGGGTTGGTTCCAAGTCTTTGCTATTGTGAATAGTGCCACAATAAACATACGTGTGCATGTGTCTTTATAGCAGCATGATTTATAGTCCTTTGGGTATATACCCAGTAATGGGATGGCTGGGTCAAATGGTATTTCTAGTTCTAGATCCCTGAGGAATCGCCACACTGTCTTCCACAATGGTTGAACTAGTTTACAGTCCCACCAACAGTGTAAAAGTGTTCCTATTTCTCCACATCCTCTCCAGCACCTGTTTCCTAACTTTTTAATGATTGCCATTCTAACTGGTGTGAGATGGTATCTCATTGTGGTTTTGATTTGCATTTCTCTGATGGCCAGTGATGATGAGCATTTTTTCATGTGTTTTTTGGCTGCATAAATGTCTTCTTTTGAGAAGTGTCTGTTCATGTCCTTCGCCCACTTTTTGATGGGGTTGTTTGTTTTTTTCTTGTAAATTTGTTTGAGTTCATTGTAGATTCTGGATATTAGCCCTTTGTCAGATGAGTAGGTTGTGAAAATTTTATCCCATTTTGTAGGTTGCCTGTTCACTCTGATGGTAGTTTCTTTTGCTGTGCAGAAGCTCTTTAATTAGGTATTGTTGGGACGTATTTCAAAATAATAAGAGCTATCTATGACAAACCCACAGCCAATATCATACTGAATGGGCAAAAACTGGAAGCATTCCCTTTGAAAACTGGCACAAGACAGGGATGCCCTCTCTCACCACTCCTATTCAACATAGTGTTGGAAGTTCTGGCCAGGGCAATTAGGCAGAAGAAGGAAATAAAGGGTATTCAATTAGGAAAAGAGGAAGTCAAATTGTCCCTGTTTGCAGACGACATGATTGTATATCTAGAAAACCCCATTGTCTCAGCCCAAAACCTCCTTAAGCTGATAAGCAACTTCAGCAAAGTCTCAGGATACAAAATCAATGTACAAAAATCACAAGCATTCTTATACACCAATAACAGACAAACAGAGAGCCAAATCATGAGTGAACTCCCATTCACAATTGCTTCAAAGAGAATAAAATACCTAGGAATCCAACTTACAAGGGATGTGAAGGACCTCTTCAAGGAGAACTACAAACCACTGCTCAATGAAATAAAAGAGGATACAAACAAATGGAAGAACATTCCATGCTCATGGGTAGGAATAATCAATATCGTGAAAATGGCCATACTGCCCAAGGTAATTTACAGATTCAATGCCATCCCCATCAAGCTACCAATGACTTTCTTCACAGAATTGGAAAAAACTACTTTAAAGTTCGTATGGAACCAAAAAAGAGTCTGCATCGCCAAGTCAATCCTAAGCCAAAAGAACAAAGCTGGAGGCATCACACTACCTGACTTCAAACTATACTACAAGGCTACAGTAACCAAAACAGCATGGTACTGGTACCAAAACAGAGATATAGATCAATGGAACAGAACAGAGCCCTCAGAAATAACACCGCATAGATCTGATCTTTGACAAACCTGAGAAAAACAGGCAATGGGGAAAGGATTCCCTATTTAATAAATGGTGCTGGGAAAACTGGCTAGCCATATGTAGAAAGCTGAAACTGGATCCCTTCCTTACACCTTATACAAAAATCAATTCAAGATGGATTAAAGACTTAAACGGTAGACCTAAAACCATAAAAACCCTAGAAGAAAACCTAGGCATCACCATTCAGGACATAGGCATGGGCAAGGACTTCATGTCTAAAACACCAAAAGCAATGGCAACAAAAGACAAAATTGACAAATGGGATCTAATCATTGATTCTTAATATGTAATTGGTTACGGTATACTGGTTACTGCTTTAGGCATGATAGGCAAATGCTGAATTCCCAAACGAAGCTGTCTCACTGAGTTTTAAATTAGGCCATATATGTAAAGTTAAAATATAAGGGAATGGAGTAGGCTAAGATTTTTTAAACAGTTTACAAAAAGCATTGCCATTAAAGAAACAATGATAAATTGAACTTTATTTAAATTGAGAACTTACCTTCATCAAAAGACAGCATTAAGAGTCAGGCATGGTGGCATATGCCCATAGTCCGAGCTACTCAGCAGGCTGAGGCAGGAGGACTGTTTGAGCCCAGGAGTTCAAGGTCAGCCTGGAAAACATAGTGAGAACTTGTCTCAACCAATCAATAATATACACATACATAAGACAATACGAAGAGAATGAAACATCACTGCATCCATATTACAATAACTAAAGTTAAAAGCATTTGACAGTGCCATTCTGAGGGAGGATATAAAGCAATTGAAACTCATATTTTGCTGATGGGAGTACAAATTGGTACAACTAATTTGGAAGACTATTAGCAGCATCTAAATCTAAATCAGCATCTATTATCATTGTACTAAATCTGAAAATAATGCATACCCTTTGGAGAAATTCTACTTTACACATGAATACCTAGGTCCATCAAAAGACATGTACAGGAATATCCATAGCAACAACTGTGGACAGTTAAATAAGTTACGGCATATGTATATAACAGAATATTTTATAGCAATAAAAAGCAATGAATTATATGCAACAGCAAGGTGAACTTCACTTACCAATTGTTGAGGAAAATAAGCCAGACAAAAAGTTTAAAAATAGGCAATTTACATTTTGATAAAGGTTGGATTAGTACTTACCTTTTGGGGAGGGGAAAAAATGGGAGGGAACACTGGGGGGTCTTCTAGATTTCTGCATTTGTTCTGTATTTTGTTCTTCACATTTTTTCAAGCTGAATACTTTGTATATATGCACTTTGTGTAATTTAAAACGTAATTAACAATTAAAATATAACTAATGTTTTAAATATAAAGAACATAAACAAGTACCTTTTTTAAGGTTTAGCTTTTAGTTTGTTTCTTCTTTTCTTTCTTTCTTTCTTGCATCTTTCATGGAGATAAAGAGGGTGAGCTGAAGAAAATTGGAACTTGGAACAGACAAGAATGCAGAAAGTGAGAGGACACAGAAAAAATAGTAAAATGGGCAAGAGACAGCCTTTAAGCATATGGGTTGGTAGAAAAATCTGAGAAGAAATGAAGTAGGGATAGTTAGATTAATAACAATGTGCAAACCATGAAAAAAGGTATTTTTTGCACTCTACAAATGTGGCACTACACACTATTCTAATTTTCTGTGTAGTAACCAGTTGACCAGCGCTTAGTAACAGTCCGTATTCTTAGGGGTTTGAATCCTGAAGTGGTTTCATTTGGTATGCTGACTGTCCTTGTTTCATATCCATCCTAGTTCTATGGGACGCCTTCTCCAAAATAAGCATACTGTAAAGGCTTATAGATAACTTAAACTAAAAGAGGAAATTTATAATTACTTTGAACAGTTTTAAAGAAAGTATCAGGCTAGATATTAGGACAATGCCAAAGTTCACTAACTAGCTTTTTGCAGGTTTAATAATGATATTGCTTTCCTTCCCATTATCAATCTATATTATATAGTTAAGTTGTTTTACTTCAAATGTCTCCAATCGACATTTCCTTTGTATGCATATACTGAAATGATATTTAATAAAAAAGAACATCTCCTGTGTGGAGTTTAAATTTCTCTTATTAAATATTTATATTTTCAAAATGTCTTTATTTAATTGAGTGAGGTGCTTGGTGCCATTTCAAAATAACCTCAGGTGGTAGGTGTAATGACATATCAAAGATTTGACCTTTAGCATTTTAGGATTCTATTTGTCTGCATTTTCTTCTGCATTCATTTAGTCTTAATTTATATGCTATTTCTCTGTATGACTTAATGAGTAGATGTATTCGTTAAGAGATTCATTAGCCAAAAAAAAATATACACATGTATATATGAATACATTTTATTTCTGTGCAATCTGACTAGTGATTTTAAATTCATTTATATCTCAACTGTGACAAGTAGAAGATCAAGTAGAAAATGCTATGTAGAAGGCTGGTCAGTGTTTGCATAAACCTCATCCATTCTCATTAAGTGCTTGGCAGAATAGACCCTCGATCTCCTAAACCAATGCCCATTCTCTTCTCACTTCTTTCAGCTTATTACATTCTTTTATTTGCCTAGAGATACTTTATTTTCCAGTTCTCTGCTATTCCTTTTAAAGAAAATTGAATGTAATATTTACACTGATATAATTAAATTAACATCTTGCAGCATCTTTTTGTATGCTTTGGTAGCATAATCATTTGTCTGGGTAGCTTTCAGCCTAGAAGCAGAGAAATTATCAATTATAATGTTGTGACATAAAAATTATTTTCATTTGCTCATTTAAGTATTTATTGATTTTTAGAACTAGAGATTCTAAATGGAGGTTTTTGTTAAATAGATCATAGATCACTCAGTTTACATTACTTATCTTTAAATTTTTTTTAATATTTTCTCAGTTTACACAAATCTTTATCTCAAGAAGAAAATCTGAAGGATCAGTTTAACTATACCCTTAGTACATATGAAGAAGCTTTAAAAAACAGAGAGAACATTGTTTCCATCACTCAACAACAAAATGAGGAACTGGCTACTCAACTGCAACAAGCTCTGACAGAGCGAGCAAATATGGAATTACAACTTCAACATGCCAGAGAGGCCTCCCAAGTGGCCAATGAAAAAGTTCAAAAGTAAGTTAAATGATCTTGTAATAATACTT
Organism: Homo sapiens; assembly: GCF_000001405.40. Classification (NCBI taxonomy): domain Eukaryota; kingdom Metazoa; phylum Chordata; class Mammalia; order Primates; family Hominidae; genus Homo; species Homo sapiens. The sequence continues at coordinate 37,500,168 of NC_000014.9, forward strand.
CAAACACATGAAACAAAACAAAACACTTTCTTTTGGGAACTAAACAATATGTAGTTATTGATCATGTTAATAGTTTAGAACAAAAGTAGAATTAACCCAGTGAACTTTTTTAGATTGGATACCATATGCCATATTTGGGGTCAAAAAAGTCATTTTCTTGGGAACCATTGTTACCCTGTAGGGCAAACCATTTTTATTTAATAACTGATCATCAGTTCATGGAGGCCATACTATTTAAATCATTTCACAGTCACAAGTTAATAGGCAAAGTTATTAGCAAGGGGAAGAGGCAGTCAAGTTACCACCTGAACTAATTTAGCTTTACAATAATCCTGCTTGAGTTGAGATCATCTGTGACATTGCAACCTGAGACTTGTAGGTGCATAAAAACCAGTAGGGTGAAATTAATTTTCTTGTGTTGTTCTTCTGAAGTATTCAATACTGCTTTTCACAGTGCATAATTATATATGTTTATTTTGAATGATCTTTGCATTTTTATTAGAATTTAAATAAAGCTGCATAATCTGTCAGTCCTTTTGACAGCTAGCAAAATGTTAACAAACAGCTTACCAGGCAAAGAAGTCACTTGTTAATTTAATGGACTTGAACATTGTAGCAGAATTTTCTGAGACACCTTTAATGTAATAGAACCACTGTAATAGAATACATAGAACACATGTAATAGAATATATTTTAACCTTCTTTATGTATTGTTAACAGCACTACAGCATTCACATATCTAGTCACCTTCAATTTCAAAGATATACCTTTTTCCTTAACAATTTTTATGTCAGTTTTACACTGTGAAGCAGTGCTCACATCAAGGTTTCTTACTTCCCACTACTTCTTATTTGAAAATGTCATCTTGACCATTTCCTCAATATCCCTGAAGTTATATTTTGATTAATAGCCAAAGTTATGTAAGTCAGTAGTTTTAAATTAGACCATTTTAAAACAGTTTAGAAATTGTGCATTTTAATCTTTACTAGCCATGTACCTTGAAACTTTTGATTTATGTAGGTATTATATATATTTGTAAGTTTAAAGATGGGGTTTATATTCAGTCAGAAACTATATGCAGTTATTCACAATGTACGTTAATATTCTAAGAACACTATGATGTATAGGTAGATCTCATTTCATTATAAATCACAATCAGTAACTTTTGACAGGATCTGATTTGGCTCTGTTTGCTTAAAGTCTACAAATACATACAAATTTCAAATTTTTCTTTATATATAATCCATTAATTTCTATACATGACCAAAATTCCCTAAAACAGTGGTTCCCACAGACCAATTCTATTTTCAAAAAATCTTCGGATGTGTTATCAACCTTTTATTTTTTAGATCTCATCAACTATCATCATCATTTCATTTAAAAAAACAATTTTTATACACCAAGAAGTAGAAATAATATCATCTCAGATAATGTTTTAAATTAAATAACTTTACTGAATGGCCAAGATAACCAAATAGGAACAGCTCTAGTCTGCAGCTCCCAGTGTTGATCGACACAGAAGATGGGTGATTTCTGTATTTCCACCTGAGATACCTGGTTCATCTCGTTGGGACTGGTTGGACAGTGCATGCAGCCCACCGAGGGTGAGCCAAAGCAGGGCAGGGTGTCACCTCACCTGGGAAGCACAAGGTGTCGGGGGATTTCTTTTTCCTAGCCAAGGGAAGCCGTGACAGACTGTACCTGGAAAATCGGTACACTCCCACCCAAATACTGTGCTTTTCCCACAGTCTTACCAACCTGCAGACCAGGAGATTCTCTCTCATGCCTGGCTTGGTGGGTCCCACGCCCATGGAGCATGGCTCACTGCTAGCATGGCAGTCTGAGATCCACCTGTGAGGCTGCAGCCTGGCAGGGGGAGGGGCGTCTGCCATTGCTGAGGCTTGAAGGTAAACAGAGTGGCTGGGCAGCTCAAACTGGGTGGAGCCCACCGCAGCTCAGCAAGGCCTACTGCCTCTATGGACTCCATCTCTGAGGGCAGGACATAGCTGAACAAAAGGCAGCAGACAACTTCTGCAGACTTAAACGTCCCTGTCTGACAGCTCTGAAGAGGGAAGTGGTTATCTCAGCATGGCATTTGAGCTCTGAGAAGGGACAGACTGCCTCCTCAAGTGGGTCCCTGACACCCCTGTAGTCTAACTGGGAGACACCTCCCAGTAGGGGCCGACAGACACCTCATACAAGCGAGTGCCCCTCTAGGACGAAGCTTCCAGAGGAAGGATCAGGCAGCAATATTTGCTCTTCTGCAATATGTGCAGTTCTACAGCCTCTGCTGGTGATACCCAGGCAAACAGGGTTTGGGTGGACCTCCAGCAAACTCCAACAGACCTGCAGCTGAGGGACCAGAGTGTTAGAATAAAAACTAACAAACAGAAAGGAATAGCATCAACATCAGCAAAAAGCACATCCACACCAAAACCTCATCTGTAGGTCACCAACATCAAAGACCAAAGGTAGATAAAACCATGAAGATGGGAAGAAACCAGAGCAGAAAATCTGAAAATTCTAAAAACCAGAGCACCTCTTCTGTGCCAAAGGCTCACAGCTCCTCACCAGCAATGGAACAAAGCTAGATGCAGAATGACTTTGATGAGTTGGCAGAAGTAGGCTTCAGAAGGTCGGTAATAACAAAATTCTCTGAGCTAAAGGAGCATGTTCAAACCCATTACAAGGAAGCTAAAAACCTTGAAAAAAGGTTACATGAATGGCTAACTAGAATAAACAGTGTAGAGAAGACCTTAAATGACCTGATGGAGATGAAAACCATGGCAGGAGAACTTCATGATGCATGCACAAGCTTCAATAGGCGATGCAATCAAGTGCAAGAAAGGATATCAGTGATTGAAGATCAAATTAATGAAATAAAGTGAGAAGGCAAGATTAGAGAAAAGTAAAAAGAAACAAACAAAGCCTCCAAGAAATATGGGATTACGTGAAAAGACCAAATCTTGATTGGTGTACCTGAAAGTGACGGGGAGAATGAAACCAAGTTGGAGAACACTCTTCAGGATATTATCCAGGAGAAATTCCCCCACCTAGCAAGGCAGGCCAACATTCAAATTCAGGAAATATACAGAACATCACAAAGATACTCCTTGAGAAGAGCAAACCCATGAAACATAATTGTCAAATTCACCAAGGTTGAAATGAAGGAAAAAATGTTAAGGGTAGCCAGGAAGGTCGGGTTACCCAGAAAGGGAAGCTGACTAACAGTGGATTTCTCGGCAGAAACCCTACAAGCCAGAAGAGAGTAGGGGCCAATATTCAACATTCTTAAAGAAAAGAATTTTCAACCCAGAATTTCATATCCAGCCAAACTAAGCTCCATAAGTGAAGGAGAAATAAAATCCTTTACAGACAAGCAAATGTTGAGAGATTTTGTCACCACCAGGCCTGCCTTACAAGAGCTCCTGAAGGAAGCACTAAACATGGAAAGGAACAATTGGAACAAGCCACTGCAAAAAACATGCCAAATTGTAAAGACCATCGATGCTAGGAAAAAACTGCATCAATTTACGGGCAAAATAACCAGCTAACATCATAACGACAGGTTCAAATTCACTCATAACAATATTAACCTTAAATGGAAATGGGCTAAATGCCCCAATTAAAAGACACAGACTGGCAAATTGGATAAAGAGTCAAGACCCATCAGTGTGCTGTATTCAGAAGACCCATCTTACATGCAGAGGCACAAATAGGCTTAAAATATAGGGATGGAGGAAGATCTACCAAGCAAATGGAAAACAAAAAAAGCAGGGTTTGCAGTCCTAGTCTCTGATAAAACAGACTTTAAACCAACAAAGATCAAAAGAGACAAAGAAGGCCATTACATAATGGTAAAGGGATCACTTCAACAAGAAGAGCTAACTATCCTAAATATATATGCACCCAATACAGGAGCACCCAGATTCATAAAACAAGTCCATGGAGACCTACAAAGAGACTTAGACTCCCACACAGTGATAATGGGAGACTTTAACACCCCACTGTCAATATTAGACAGATCAACGAGAGAGGAGGTTAACAAAGATATCCAGGACTTGAACTCAGCTCGGCACCAAGCAGACCTAATAGACATCTACAGAACTCTCCACCCCAAATCAACAGAATATACTTTCTTCTCAGCACCACATCACACTTATTCTAAAACTGACCACATAATTGGAAGTAAAGCACTCCTCAGCAAATGTAAAAGAATAGAAATCACAAAAAACTGTCTCTCAGACCACAGTGCAATCAAATTAGAACTCAGGATTAAGAAACTCACTCAAAACTGAACAACTACGTGGAAACTGAACAATCAGCTCCTGAATGACTACTGGGTAAATAACGAAATGAAGGCAGAAATAAAGATGTTCTTTGAAACCAATGAGAACAAAGACACAACATACCAGAATCTCTGGGACACAATTAAAGCAGTGTTAAGAGGGAAATTTATAGCACTAAATGCCCACAAGAGAAAGCAAGAAAGATCTAAAATTGACACCCTACCATCACAATTAAAAGAACTGAGAAGCAAGAGCAAACAAATTCAAAAGCTAGCACAAGGTAAGAAATAACTAAGATCAGAGCAGAACTGAAGAAGATGGAGACGCAAAAAACCCTTCAAAAAATCAATGAATCCAGGAGCTGGTTTTTTGAAAAGATCAACAAAATTGATAGACTGCTAGCCAGACTAATAAAGAAGAGAGAGAAGAATCAAATAGACACAATAAAAAATGACAAAGGGGATATCACCACCAATCCCACAGAAATACAAACTACCATCAGATAATACTATAAACACCTCTACACAAATAAACTAGAAAATCTAGAAGAAATGGATAAATTCCTGGACACATACACCCTCCCAAGACTAACCCAGGAGGAAGTTGATCCTCTAAATAGACCAATAACAGGCTCTGAAATTGAGGCAATAATTAATAGCCTACCACCAAAAAAAGTCCAGAACCAGACAGATTCACAGCTGAATTCTACCAAAGGTACAAAGAGGAGCTGGTACCATCCCTTCTGAAACTATTCCAGTCAATAGAAAAAGGAGGAATCCTCCCTAACTCATTTCATGAGGCCAGCATCATCCTAATACCAAAGCCTGTCAGAGACACAACAACAAAAAAGATAATTTTAGACCAATATCCCTGGTGAACATCGCTGTGAAAATCCTCAATAAAATACTGGCAACCCAAATCCAGCAGCACATCAAAAAGCTTATCCACCATGATCAAGTCAGCTTCATCCCTGGGATGCAAGCCTGGTTCAACATATGCACATCAATAAACGTAATCCATCACATAAAAAGAACCAATGACAAAAACCACATGATTATCTCATTAGATGCAGAAAAGGCCTTTGACAAAATTCAACAGCCTTTATGCTAAAAACTTTATGCAATAAACTGGATATTGATGGAACATATCTCAAAGTAATAAGAGCTATTTATGACAAACCCACAGCCAATATCATACTGAATGGGCAAAAACTGGAAGCATTCCCTTTGAAGACTGGCACAAGACAAGGATGTTCTCTCTCACCACTCCTATTCAACATAGTATTGGAAGTTCTGGCCAGGAATCAGGCAAGAGAAAGAAATAAAGGGTATTCAATTAAGAAAAGAGGAAGTCAAATTGTCCCTGTTTGCATATGACATGATTGTATATTTAGAAAACCCCATTGTCTCAGCCCAAAACCTCTTTAAGATGATAAGCAACTTCAGCAAAGTCTCAGGATATAAAATCAATGTGCAAAAATCACAGGCATTCCTATACACCAAAAACAGACAAACAGCCAAATCATGAGGGAATTCCCATTCACAATTGCTACAAAGAGAATAAAATACCTGTGAATCCAACTTACAAGGGATGTGAAGGACCCCTTCAAAGAGAGCTACAAACCACTGCTCAATGAAATAAATGAGGACACAGACAAATAGAAGTACATTCCATGCTCACGGATAGGAATAATCAATATCGTGAAAATGGCCATACTGCCTAAGGTAATTTATAGATTCAGTGCCATTCCCATCAAGCTACCAATAACTTTCTTCACAGAATTGGAAAAAACTACTTTAAAGTTCATATGGAACCAAAAAAGAGCCCATAGCCAAGACAATCCTAAGCAAAAACAACAAAGCTGGAGACATCATGCTACCTGACTTCAAACAATAGTGCTAGGCTACTATAACCAAAACAGCATGGTACTGGTACCAAAACAGAGGTATAGATCAATGGAACAGAACAGAGCCCTCAGAAATAACACCGCACATCTACAACCATCTGATCTTTGACAAACCTGACAAAAACAAGCAATGGGGAAAGGATTCCCTATTTAATAAATGGTGCTGGGAAAACTGGCTAGCCATATGAAGAAAACTAAAACTGGATTCCCTTACACCTTATACAAAAATTAATTCAAGATGAATTAAAAACTTAAATGTAAGACCTAAAACCATAAAAACTCTAGAAGAAAACCTAGGCAATACCATTCAGGACGTAGGCGTGGGCAAAGACTTCATGACTAAAACACCAAAAGCAATGGCAACAAAAACCAAAATTGACAAATGGGATCTAATTAAACTAAAGAGCTTCTGCACAGCAAAAGAAACTATCATCAGAGTGAACAGGCAACCTACAGAATGGGAGAAAATTTTTGCAATCTACCCATCTGACAATGGGCTAATATCCAGAATGTACATAATTTATTGGAACTTAAACAATTACAAGAAAAAAACAAACATCCCCATCAAAAAGTGGGCCAAGGATATGAATAGACCCTTCTCAAAAGAAGATATTTATGCAGTCAACAGACATATGAAAAAATGCTCATCATCACTGGTCATCAGAGAAATGCAAATCAGAGCCACAATGAGATAACCATCTCATGCCAGTTAGAATGGCGATCATTAAAAAGTCAATAAACAACAGAAGCTGGAGAGGATGTGGAGAAATAGGAACGCTTTTACACTGCTGGTGGGAGTGTAAATTAGTTCAATCATGGTGGAAGACAGTGTGACGATTCCTCAAGGATCTAGAACTAGAAATACCATTTGACCCAGCCATCCCATTACTGGATATATACCCAAAGCATTATAAATCATTTTATGATAAAGATACATGCACACATATGCTTATTGCGGCACTATTCACAATAGGAAACACTTGGAACCACCCAAGTGCCCATCAATGATAGACTGGATTAAGAAAATGTGGCACATATACACCATGGAATACTATGCAGCCATAAAAAAGAATGAGTTCATGTACTTTGCAGGGAGATCAGTGAAGCTGGAAACCATCATTCTCAGCTAACTATCACAAGGACAGAAAACCAAACACCACATGCTTTCATTTGTAGGTGTGAATCAAACTATGAGAACACTTGGACACAGGGTAGGGAACATCACACACCGGGACCTCTCAGGGACTGGGGGTCTGGGAGAGGGATAGCATTAAGATAAATACCTAATGTAAATGACGAGTTGATGGGTGCAGCAAACCAATATGGCACATGTATACCTATGTAGCAAACCTGCACATTGTGCACATGTACCCTAGAACCTAAAGTATAATAAAAATTAATAAATAAAGTAACTTTAACTCTGAAAAATTCACTGTCTCTTCCTTAGTTTTTGCATTTAACCATAGACAGATGAAAACTTTTTTATGGAATGGCACTAATCCATGGATCAGAGTTTAAGCACAACTATGTCATTAAAAGAATTAAATGTTAAATCCCTTTTTCTTCTGATTTCCAACAGTAAGAGCTAGATGAAGTATTATCGGGTTTTCCTTTTCATATTTGATCCACTGTATTTCATATTTAATTGCCATCAATTTGGCAAAATGTATCTTCATGAGGCTATTAGCCTATTTTATTGAGTTTAAGAGAAATGTTATCCTCTTAAAGGAAACCAACTTATAAGACTTCGTAAGATGGTATTCATAGTCTCCTTAAAAATCTGAAATCATTATTATTAGCAAATGTTTTAGAAAGTTCTTTGAAAATATGTCAGTATTCCAGGGAATTTAAAATTTAAACTAAAGGAATTTCTTCACAATCAAATTTTTCTTCACAACGAAATTTCTTAAATAACTGTCCCCTTTTCCCTTCACAATCAAATTTCTTGAATAACTGATCTATATTCACCATCTCTAATTTTTCAATTCCCATTTACTCCTCTGCTACTCAGTACAGTATGGCTAGTTTGTATACTGAAATTGTTCTTCTTAAGATCACCAGTAATTTTCTAACTACTAAATTCAATGGCTCATTTTAAACGATATTTTTATTGTACAATGAACATATGTTTATGGTGAAAATAAATAAAGACCTTCATGTATCTTCAGCAATATAGCATAATGGTTTAAAATCTCAAGCTTTGAATTCAGAATGTATAGGTATGTGAACCTGGATATAAAACACTATGCTAATGTGGACAATAATGCTTCTATCTCATAACGTTGCCATGATAATTTGATGAGCTAATACATGTAATGCTTTTAGAAGAATATGTGTTACGTAATTCCTCCTTCTCTTGGCATTTCACTCCACACTGTACTATCTCATTCCTCAGAAGGTCTCTGCCTTTTCAGGACTAAATGCCTTTGTGTATATTGGTTCCTCTGCTCACGTAATATTATTTTAGGATTTTTTTTAAGGTTAGCAAGCATCCAATCACAAATGCAGTCAACTTTTAGAATATTTATCCTACTTGAACTCTCATCATTTAGTACTGTTCATCATTCCTTCCTGAAGCCTTTTGTTTTCTTAGATTCTGTAGCACCATTTTTTTCTACCTTTATGACTTCCCTGACTGTTCCTACTCCATTTCTTTCGGGGATTACATCTCCCAGCTATCCGAACATAATGGTTGCTTAAAGATTTTATTTTTCTTGTACCTCTACACAATTCCCGGGAATGTCATCTATTTCCTTAAGCTTCAACTACTACTTATTAGCCAAATAACTTCCAAATACTTATCTTAGTACTCACCTGTCCCCTGAGATCCAGTCTCATGTTTCCAAAACTCTTTACTCTTCACTCCTCACTCCCCTGAAAGTAAAGTCCTGCCCATTCTCCTGTATTTCCTGCCTCCTCTGACAATTCTGAGAGTTTTATATATATATTATATGTATGCATGTGTATATATATCTATATACACACATACACACACACACAGACTCAAAGAGTGGTATGTATATATCACTCTTTGAAGTGTCAGGGGAGTCACCATAGTGTCACACAGGGTTCTTAGCATAGAGCAAACATACTTCCCCCAAACTCAGCTGCTTAATCTGTTTGCAGGATGAATTATAGAACAGGATAGATGACTCTGGGTGCTGGCAAGAGGAACAGAGCACGTTTCTACAGTTTCTCAATTTTAGAAAAAGCCTATATATATGTACATATATAGTACAGATACATATATACATACACATTATAGTTTATATATGTATATACACATATATTGTTTATATATGTGCATGTACATATGTATATATACTTATAGGTGATATATATGTATGTTTATGTACGTTTATACACATGTGTATCACATGCACATGTGATACACATACATGTATGTTTGTGTGTATATACATGTATGTATATCTATCTACTTATGTATAAGCTATATATGTATGTGTATATACATATGTAAACTATGTATATGTACATATATGTAGGCATTTTTTAAATTAAGAAACTGTAGAAATGCTCTGTTCCTCTTCCCAGCACCCACAGTCATTGATCATGTTTTATAATTCAACCTGAAAACTATATATATATATGCATACATACGTAGTTTATAGACACACATAGTTTATATATGTATATATACACGTAGTCTATATAGTCTATTCATCTTTGTATAGTCTGTATACATATAGACTATATGTATGTGTAAATACATATATGAACCATACATATGTCTATATTATATATAAAGCTTATATATACACACATCTATAAACTACATGTATATAGACATAGACTGTATATATGTATGGTTTATATATATACACATACATATACGTGTGTGTGTATATATATAGTTTTGTTTTGGTTTTGGGGGTTTTTATGAGACAGGGTCTTGCTCTGTTGCCCAGACTGGAGTACAGTGGCACAATCATGGCTCACTGCAGCCTCAGCCTCCCCAGGAGCTGGGACTACAGGCATGCGTCACCACACCTGGCCAATATTTTTGGTGTTTTTTTTGTTTTGTTTTGTTTTTGGTAGAGATGAGGTTTTATCATGTTGCCAAGGCTGATCGCAAACTCCTGGGCTGGAGCAATCTGCCCGCCTCAGCCTCCCAAAGTACTGGGATTACAGGTGTGAGACACTGCACCAGGCATAGGTGGTATTTTTTTAATATCTATTTTCTACCTACTGCACTCTCTTCCAGATTTCCTAAGACATTGACTGTGTTCTATTCATCTTTGTTTCCCCATCTCTTCTAAAAACTCATGCAGATACCTGCTGTAAAGTAAGTACTCTGTAAATTGATGAACAAATCAACTATAACAATTTAGTAGTTTCAGAGAATAACAGATTAAAGTAAAAGCAGGTCAAGTTAGAGATACACAGGAAAATTTCAGATATACTCCCCTCTGCTTTAGGCCCATGACAAATACTTTTTCTTCCAACCCAGAGCCCAGAGTTTACTAGTTTCATAGAAAAGCATGACTTCTATGGCTGTTCCTTCCCTCCCTCCCCTCACTGCCACCACCACACCTTTCACTCTCCGAGGAGCTGGCAGTGCTTACTTCCTGTTGATCAGATTTTAACCACGCACTTCCATCAAATTTAATTACATTTAGAAGACCTGAAATCTTTGGTAATAGTAGAGACTATCTACTATTGCTATTCATAGAATTATAAATTTATTTTCTTCCAGAGTCATAAAAATTTTTAATATTTTCTGAAATATTTCAGCCTATGGGAGTATTCCTAGAAAGACAAGTTGTACAGGATTACCATCCATAAGCTAGCCAGTATAGGCATATCATCACTTATAGGGAAAAAGTCAGTGCATGCCATACCTCATCACCAAAAAATATCTTCTTGGCCCACCTGTCATAAAGCCTAATCTTTTATCAGTGGAAATTCATTCTCTTTTCTTTATGTACTTTTATTGGAAAATGTGTAGTTTGTGGATGAATAGCCCATTGTGATTTAGCTTTTAGATTGCTGGTACTGAATGTGCTTGGTTTTGGACAGAGTGGTTATGTCGAGGTAAAGGGAACTAAAGAGCAGCTAAGAGCACAGGAACTTGGTAGGAAAAACTTCTCTTAATAGTTTTGTCAAAGACTATCCCTAATCCCCATTTATTAAAGAGAAAACTGACACATCAATCCATTAAGAGATGTTTTTATTATTCATGAGAGATTTAAAACTTTGTGATTCTTTATGCTATAGTTTCGTTTCCATCTACAAGTATGCTTGCTTCTTGTGGCCTGGAACAAGTTCCAAAGGACTTTTAAAAATACATTTTGCTATACTTAGCATACCTAAGCTCCACATAGTTTCTTAAAGTAAAAGTAATTACAACCAGGCTTATAAGGTTAGAACTCTTAAAGATCTGGGTTTTACACTGAAATAACTTTTGTCATATGTCATTTTTACTGTGGGCCAGATTTACAGTGATATGATTCAAATTCCCTCATAAACTATATGAAGAGTTATATACTGTAACTATATAATGAATAGATGAGACAAAGAGATATAGAAAAATTGTAAACTTTTAAACAGATTTGTAAGAAAAGATGTATCAACTCAAGAACTTTCATGCTTTCCATAATTTTCTAAAAAGAAAAAATCCATTATTTAAAATTTACAGGAGTTCTGCTCATCTTAAATTTTTATAACTTAATTATAACATCAAAGATCAGGTTAAAACATTTCAATTGATAGGTTTTGTGAAGTTGTAGATTGTCTTTTGAAATATAGGGCACCCTATATCTTTTGAGCACTATTGACCAAACACACACACACACACACAGCTGTTTAAAGTCTTTTCTGCTATTTGACCAAATACTGATTTCTGTAAAGAAATTGGTGTTACAAAGAAATTGTGAATTCTCAGCCTGGTTTTCCTGCTGACGAGTAAGAGTCTGTAGTTCTCTTCGAAGTGTCAAGGGAGTCACCATAGTGTCACACAAGGGTTCTTAGCATAGAGCAAACATACTTCCCACAAACTCAGCTGCTTAATCTGTTTGTAGGTTGAATTATAAAACAGGATAGATGACTGTGGGTGCTGGGAAGAGGAACAGAGCATTTCTAAAGTTTCTCAGTTGAAAAAAAAAAAAAGCCTGCTATTTTCATCAATACATTTTACTAGATTTTTTACTTTTGTTGCTGGCTCCAGAATCCGATTTTATCCATAATGAAAAATAATTATGCTAAAAAATGAAAGGCCTCAGTGAATTTTTTTTTATAATTTCATTGTCTTTTCATTAAAATTATTCTAGTTCTTGTCAACTTTACCTGTGATATTTTTCCTATAAATTTTTTGTTGGACTGTAAGTGTCAAGGCAAAATTAGACATATCCAAACAATATAAGTACTTGTTGATTGAATCAAAGAATAAGTTTCATAATTCCTTAACTCAGCAGAAGGTATAAATCAATATTTTATATAATGTTGAAAGTTAACTTTGATTTATTAGTACTATTAATAAGTGGGAGGAGACCTAAAACTTCTAGAAATTGCTCCTTAAAATATTTTCTTGTATTTGAAATTTAAAAGCTGTGAAATATATGTACTTCAGCAAGTAATAAGTCGAATAGTTATTTGTAATAGTTTATCAACAAATGCCCTCCCTAATTAGCTTTGGAAGGCACCTTCTAAATCTAATTAGAGATAGCTTTATTATCATCTATATATGGAAGATGGACTCAGATGGCTCCTAAACAGTCATCATAAGATATACAACATCTAAACATGCTTAATTTTTATTCTTTGACATGTGATATGCTTTTAAAGAATTTAATATTCTGAATTTGTGAATCATAAAAGTTAAAATTATCTGATTACATATTTAACTTGTGAAATATGTCATCTCATACTCTGTTAAACAAGCATTTCATTAAAATTATCACCAATTGCATTATATGCTTGTAGAGTGGATCACCTTTCCCATCCATCTATATATAAAGTAGGTTTCTTTAGAGCTGATTTTATTATACACATAGATATACCTACAATGTTTGACAAGTACATAATTATATTCATTTATTTATAAAAACTAAAGAATTTGGGCTTATATCTTAACTATGGGGAATGTCTCATGTTGGTATGAAGAAGAAACATAGTTTTAATTATCTGGCTAACTCCTTTGTGCCAGGGAAGGATTAATGTAGGATTGTTAGGATTGGCGCCTAACCCAGAATATAAGAATTCCAATGGAGTGCAAAGTGAAGGATCCAGGCTAAAGAAGAAAAAGGGCTCTTTAAACCTAGACTCTGTATTTTCCCTAATAAGATAGATCCTTTTTGTAACTAACCTTATGGAATGAATGAAAATGAGCATAAAAGTAGGAATCAAAATTTTAGATTACAACATGGCTTTTTGCATTTAATGTACTTCTTCATTTCAGAGGCTGTCTTCCAGTGATTAGAACTAGAGTTGAGCTACTATATGTTTCTGCATACTCAGATAGATAAAACATGTTTCAGATGAACACAATAGAGAGGAATGGAAGAAAAAGAACAAAAGACTAAATATGAGATACCATACTGTTTCAGTTTAAATACAAGAGTTTTGGCTTTTGGTTTTTATTAATGCCAGTACTACAGTGATTTTAAAAGTAAAAGACCAGAATTTTTATTATTTTAGGGAAATTACAGAATCCACTTACGATGATCATGTACATTTTAACTAAAATTTGATAGGGAAAAATACCACATTTTTTATACCTTAGATTCACATACATGTGATTTTCACATATCTATTTTATATGAAATATAAGTTCCTTAGAGGGATATATGATCTAACAGGTACGCTTTTCCCTTCTTTTGTTCTTAGCTGCAGTCAAAAGCTTTCTAATTTTTTATCACTTGACAGGCTACATAGCTCCTGGGTACTTCTGTGAAGTTAGGAGTACTCAACTACCTTACCTGAGATTCATTGAAGAATTGATAAAAATAAGATGTATAAAGTGATTTGAATTCCCTAGGAAAAGGTTACTAAATGACACTAATTGTTAGTGTACTTTAAAATATGTTTATAGTAAAGGTGAAAAGGAAGGTGTAGAAGTTAGATTTTTAGAAGTTTTGGTCATTCCTGCAAAAACATTGCTCAATCTCATTAGACTTGATGTAACATATCGTTTAACTTGATACTTTATATAACTCACTCAAAACTTTCCCCTTTGTTGTCTCTATTATTAAACACACAGATTAGATATAATGTATCTACTGGTTAATATAGAAAATATACACTTTTTTTTTTTTTTGGAGACGGAGTTTCGCTCTTGTTGCCCAGGCTGGAGTACAATGGCGCGATCTTGGCTCACAGCAACCTCCGCCTCCCGAGTTCATGCGATTCTCCTGCCTCAGCCTCCCCAGCAGCTGGGATTACAGGCATGTGCTACCATGCCTGGCTAATTTTGTATTTTTAGTAGAGACGGGGTTTCTCCATGTTGGTCAGGTATACTCATCTAAAATCTTATTTCACAGTTGTGCAGCTATCCTAAATAGACACGTAGGTATACTAGGTACAGCTTTTATTCCCAAAATATAATTGGGAGAAACTCAATTGAACCCAAGAGCATGTAGAAATACAAATTTCACTTGGATTCTAAGATTCCGTAATTGGTTATTTATCCCTACTGGGTCAGGGATTTGCCGATGTCCATATTTGCCCATTGGTAAATTTACAGAATGAAGAATCCTTTGCTTGTTTCAGTGTAACTTTGTCTGATGGAGAAATCATAAACATTGTCCATAGATTAACTTTATTCTTGATCATTTACATTTAAGGAGAAAAAACTTTCCATAACAATATTGAATATAATTACAGCTGAAGCATATCTTCTTTCTTCCTTCAGTGTTATACATTCTTGAACAACTCAACAGAGGCACTTTTCACTTCTTAACCTAAATATAATGAAAAAAAAAAAAAGCTATACTATTGTAGACTACTTTAGCAGGTCTTTCTATAGGAAGACTGACCAAAAGTGACAAAAAAAAAGATTCTACAAATTCCATGTAAATGATATTTTGGAACCTACTAAACTAATTTTAATTTTTTTAGTTGCTTTGGCATTTATACAATACAAACTAATAGTTCTTGGAACGTCATCATCTTTTTAGTTTTTCGTTTGCCTCATACAACAGTATACTGTGTATATGTAAAAGCATATGTTATATCTCTTTCTGTTACCATGTGCCATATAACAAGCTATATAATGGTAAAAATAACATAAAACATTTTTAGTATCTTGAAAAATCTTTCTTAAGTTAAACTAATCTGCCTTCTTAGCTAAGTTATGTGTATTTCACATAACGTCCAAGAAGTTCTCTAGTACCGACTCTCAGAGGGCCTAAATCTTTCCCAGAATGATGGGAGTAGCACAGTTCAAGAACAAGAATGAATCTCTGTATAATCACACCACAATGTGAGGTGACCCTAAGACAGAGAACTGATCAGATACACATATGGGTTTTAGGAAGACTTTCTGATGCTCTTTTTTAACACAGCTGTGAGAAGAATGTGGCTAAGACCCAGTAGTCATTCTTGAGGAGAGCTGGTAAAGGAAACCATGAGGAGAAGAGAATTTAACACATGGGTGTAAGAGAGTCCGGCTTCATTGATGCGATCTGAGGGGAATGCCTAATGACTGGAAGAATCAAACTTGGCAATGAAAACACAAAGCTCTTTTCATCAATTCAAACGCAGACTCTAAAGCTGCAGATGGTCACCTCCAGCCTTGTCTATTCAGTGTGGGGTTTTATAAAATGGCACTTTGGTGAATACTAATAGATCAAAACAAAGATTTAATAACGTAAAGATGTGGTGTTCATTTTTAAATGAGTATACAGGTCAGTGTCTCAGAAAAGGATGAAAAGAGTACCTTTTATATGTGGGTCTAAAGTCTTTTTGTTTTTTCAACCTCAAAAATAAATGGCATCTTTAACATACAGATTGTGTTTTATGGAGTACAGTTTACATTATGAAATAGAGGCCAAAATTAGAGTTTATATTTATGCTCAATAATTTCATTTCTTCTGATTTGAGGACTCTCAGTTTATATTTGTTAATGTCATTCTTTAATATTTTATTGAAGTATACTTCATAGGATAAATATATGTTGCCATTCTCAAGGATGAATCAATCTAATTAAAATTTAGTTCAAATGTTTTATTCTCAGAATAGAACTTTTTCTCTCACCTTTTCACAGAATGCAAGGAGACGTTGTTTAGTACAAAGGAAGACTTTGAACTTTAATTCAGTCCTGAAATTACATTTTGGCTACTTTTTACTTTATTTGCTATGACTTTAGAAATGTACAGCAATTGCTTATGTATTAAAAGATAATTCATTGTGTTTAATCTGTTACTTATTTTACATTACTAAGTCTTTCTTTAAATTGAAATATGCTGTATTTTTTTAGAATAAACTATATTATACTTGGTTAGCACTTTGTAGTTCATAAAATATTTAAGCTGAACCAAACAAATGAAGCTTTATTATCCAAAATAAACTTAAAATACAAGCTCAAATAACTCAATAATAGCGTTCTTGTTTCTGCCATTTATGAGGTAAATATAATGATTAGGTCTGCATTCCTAATACTTTTATCTAGAAAGTTACACTAACATATAGAAATTAAGACACTAAAATTCAAAGTTAAAGGGGAGGCAACTTAGTATCGAGTAAAAATATTAGTGAACTAACAGGACCCTCAACTGTCAGTAACTAGGTATGTACAGATCATTAAATTTGCTCTCAGTGTTCTCATCTGGAAGATATACTTGCTCTAATCTAGTTCAAAACATGGCTATAAGGATCAAATGAAATGCGTGTGCCTAAAAGTGCTTTGAAAAGTATAATGTGCTCTGTAAACATAAGTGGTTTAATACCTTCAACTTATATATTTTTAATTAAAACATTATGATCACCTGTTTGGAAACAGAAAGGGAGAAAAATTATATTGTAGCCTCAGAAACTATATAAGAACCATGTAACTTTTGAAAGGGATTCTTCACATAGGTCTTGAAACTGGAAGTAAAGAGGGTTCTGTGCATTCTCATACATTACTGGTGAGAACGTGAAATGGTAAAACCCCTATGGAGGAGAATTTGGCAATGTCTAACAATAGTACATATGCATTTGCCCTTTGACTAAGGGAGAATCACTTCTAGGACTCTATCCTGAATATAAACCTCCATGCGTATGAAGCAACATAAGAATTACAGTATTGTTTTTAATAGCAAATAAAAATAACCCAAACAGGAGAGTAGTTAAATGATGGTACGTGCACATAGTGTAATACAATGCAACTGTAAAAAAGAATAAGGACGATATCTATAAACTGATATTGAGTGATTTCCAGGACAGATTGCTAACTGAAAAAAATCAAGTGCTTCTCATATACTGCCTTTTGTGTGAGAAATAAGAATAAAAGGAACAGGAAAGATCAGCCAGAAACTAAAATGATTACCTTTGGAAGTATATGGGAAAGAGATACAGGCAAGGATGGGAGTGCAACTTTTCTGAGTATGCCCTTTTGTATAGTTTTGACTTTTGAGCCATGTAAATCTTTTACATATTTAGAAATTGAAATCAAATTAAAAAGATAAAAAGAAAGCCTTAAAAGTGACTATAAATAGAAATAAACATACCTAACTGTATAGCAAATTGATAAGATACAGAAAAGTATCTTTTGATCATCATACTTTGACTATACATCCTTAGTGGCATATATTCTAAGAACAGAAATACATGCAAAGAAATTTTAAAGTTTACTAACTATGTTAACAGTTATTAGCCCTACTGGTATTAATATTTTGAAATGATTTTATGTATATTGTTGGATTGAGCAAATAAAGAAATAAATGTTATTAGGAACCAAGATTTCCACCATAAAATAAATGGAATTAGGAAATAGAAACTGTAATGTTAAATTTGAATTAGAAATATCAAAGTAAATCTCATGATTTTATTTTATTAATTTTTTTGAGACAGAGTCTTACTCTGGAGTGCAGTGGCGGGATCTCGGCTCACCGCAACTTCCGCCTCCCGGGTTCAAGTGATTCTTCTGCCTCAGCTTTCTGAGTAGCTGGGATAACAGGCACACATCAACACACCCAGTTCATTTTTGTATTTTTAGTAGAGATGGGTTTTTGCTGTGTTGGCCAGGCTGGTCTTGAACTCCTGGCTTCAAGTGTTCCGTTTACCTTGGCCTCCAAAAATGCTGGGATTATAGGCATGAGCCACCGCAACTGGCGTGATTTTAAATATATACATATTTTTCTTAGCTCTATCCTCTGAAAAGGGCTTAAAAGCAACACACACATCTAGCATCCAGATTTTAGTTTCTAAGTACCATTTCCCATTAAAAAGTACCAAGCTTCTAGGTCTGGGTCAGGGAAAATACAGAGTAATCTGGGATGTCTTCTTGTGCCAAGAAACAAGCAAATGCTCACAGATTTAATGGGGGTTATATAGAAAGGACACATAAACCATCGTGAAAAGGTTCCCACTGACCAAATTTGGGATGTCTTGTGAATCAAAAAATAAACTCTTTGATTACAAAATATTGAAATTTTACATCTTAGAGTCTACAAACGTACTCAAAAACAAGAGATGAAGGATAAAGCGGAAACAGCCTTTTGTACAGAATAATGTCAGTTAATAAATGTAGAGAGAATGATACAATTAGAAAATCAGTACCTTGTAACTTGCAGTATAATTAATTCAAGCAAAGACCATGAATCAGCTATAAAATTAGTTAAAAGAAGCAACCTTGGTACTAGAATCAATCAGTCTAAATAGTTTGAGAGAGCTTACTTAGTATAACCAAGGGGTTTAGAGCTTAGAAATCAGGGTGGGTTTAGACATAGGGATTTAGGATAGCAACTGCCTTAGAACAATAATTTAGGGATTTATTATTAAAATTTACTTTGGGCATTTTTCTCACTCATGTATTCTGTGCTTATGTAAGTGATGGCAGATAGACCTAAACCACTCAACCCTTTATCAGAATTCATCTTTTAAAGAAACTACGAGGTAAAGAAGTTTTGCTTTAGAGACTGTCAGTGTTAGACTAGGTACTGATCCTTTCCTTATTTAAAATTTTGATATTTTTCTCATGAAGTTTTTGTTTTGTGATTTTAAAACTATTTTTATTAACATATTACTCATCTTGATTACTTTTTTTTACATCCTTTTAAATTTTAACCTGAGATGAGTGCCTCATTCACCTCACTCTAGTTCTAGCCTTGAATACCCTATAAAAGATGAAAAAGACACTGTTACAGGGGAAAAAAAAGACTGTTACAGGGGAACAAAAGACACTCCTAGTTTAGTCTCTTTAAAAATAGTAATAATGATAATGTTAACTTGCTAAGTTATCCTGACTTGTATGATTTCTATTGAATGGTATTTTATGTTTAGAAATGATAGTGATATCATAGACTTGAACAATTGTGGTTCTTCCACCTTGCGGAATTTGGCCAGGTTTTTAATTATATGGTGTCCATAAACCTTACCACTGTCTAAATTTTTATATCTCAATTCATGTTTGGAACCTTCACCACTTTTATCAACTGTTACTTTATCTTTATTTCAATCATCTTTTATACTCTATGTAGATCAATCATCATATCTATCAACAGGGGCCTGATTGCCTTCTAGACCTTAAATGTTGATCTAAATATGAGAATATATGGTTTTTATGAATCATGGTTAAATCAGGTAGGGAAAATGACTGTGATGATGCCAGCTTAATAAGTTGAATATTACTTTTACTTTGTAGGCCCATGGCTTAGTCTAAAATTTGAAGTTGCATTGATATATTATCTCTACTAGTCTCCCAAAGGATGTTGCCTGTCTTTTGAATTAAACTTGAGTAAGGTTGATTTGTATTCCCTGTTAATCAAAATTTGAAATGTTGACATTAGAAAATTTCATTCAGTGCTAATTATATATGACTTTTATGAAAGTTAGGAAGGAACGAATCCTACATTTTAAAGTTTAGTATCTGCCTAAAGCCCTATGAAAACAACAGTGAGTAGCTTAATAAGCCATCTTAATAAGATACCTTAATAAAACTAACCAGTTATTCTAGCTTGCTGCATTTCATTGGCAGTATAAAAATCAGTGACTCACTTCCTCCATCATTAATTGAAACTTTTCTGGGTTTAAAATGATCAAAACCCTTAGCAATGTTAAAGCAACATTTCTGAACCTTTCTTGCCTCTTGAATCTCTTCAATGTATATTCTCTAGGTAGTGTTTTAAACATATTTTTTTGCATTGGTATAAGATAAAGAAGTTAATTTACATTGATTGTTTTATAACTTTTATTTAAAACAATCTTTAATACTTATAATATGTAACATCACATGATGTTTGACTTCAGCTATATAAGAAAAATCACAATTTGTTAAATTTTATAATGAAATATTAAGTTGGGTTTAGGGACTGAATATAAAAAAGAAAGTAGATTAAAATTTAATAACATATTATGACATTAAATAACTGCTTGTGAGATGATATTTGGAATTCTTAACATTTTACTTTTTTTTTTTTTTTTTTTTTTTTTTTTAAGGCGGAGTGTTGCTCTGTCACCCAGGCTGAAATGCAATGGCAAGATCTCGGCTCACTGTGACCTCCACCTCCCAGGTTCAAGTGATTCTCCTGCCTCAGCCTTCAGAGTAGCTGGGATTACAGACACCAGCCACCACGCCTGGCTAATTTTTGTATTTTTAGTAGAGACAAGGTTTCACCATGTTGGCCTGGCTGGTCTTGAACTCCTGACCTCAGGTGATCCACCCGCCTCAGTCTCCCAAAGTGCTGGGATTATAGGTGTGAGCCACTGCGCCCAGCCACATTTACTTTTAAAATAAAACAATAGAGCCTCTGTTTTCTAGAATATTTTCACAAATAGCACATTGTGGGTGTTTTGGCCTTTATGCCAGTATATGAAAAACTAAATTGAGTATTATTATTCTAATTTGTTCTCTCTTTAACTTCATTTTTTAAGAAGCAGCTACATAATAGGTAATGTGAGTAGTGTGATCAAATGAACACAATTTATAGATCTCGTGAAGAGAATCCTGAGGTGAATTTACAGATTTATTTTTATGCTCCTCATTAATTTGTATTTCAACATCCATATACTTTCTGCTTGCTTTACTTCTTCAATGGCTATTAGCGATGGAAATTAAACAAGTTACAACTACCAAAGAAAAAAATTACGCTCTAAAACAACATGTTGGCCAGTTCTCTTCAGCTGAATGATAAACAACTCAGTCAGCTGATTGAGTCATGAACTATTCTGCGGATCTCTTCCAGTACTCCACTTTGCTCATTTGTGGGCTCTCAGAAGTCCTCAAACTATTCCATTTTAAAAAGCAAAAAAAGTTTAATAAAAATGTTATTCTTAGTTGCTTGAACCCAGAAGGCAGAGGTTGCAGTGAGCCGAGATCATGCCACTGCATTCCAGCCTGGGTGACAGACCAAGACTTTATCTAAAGAAAAAAAAATATATATATATATATATTTTTTTTTTCTTTGGCTTCAAAAATAAAACAGAGCAGAGAACATTACCACCTTTGGCTACATGATCTTTACATTTTTAAATTACAAAATTTTTACATGATGCTTTAGAGAATTTCATTGTGTAGTTTTTGCTCAACCCTTTTACTCTCATCAATTTAACACATTTTATTGTTTAAAAGTATTTATTTTGAAATACTAAAAAACATTTTTAAATACTTTTATTATTTATTAACAAAACACACCCCACAAATACATGCAAAAGTCAAATTATCTGAGTTAGCTAAATTCAGATACAGTATTGAAAGGACTTGTTTGCTAGAAAAAGTATGTGTTACATCATATTAATGTTAAGTGTTACTTTACGCATCTTCAAATAAGAAAACGTTTTCCCAAAAAGGAAATTTAATAGTTTGTTATAGAATAGTTTACCATATAACATAAAATACTAAGTAAATATTTTTCCCATCGTGGACAAAGTGTACAACTTAAAAACCTAATTTGTTTGTGTTAGTGGACTTACTAAATATTAGTCTTTGCTAGTCTAGTTTACACCATATATCGTTCTCTTATGCCAACCTTCTGATTTTGCTCTGAAGTATGCTGCAACTTACTATTGTATGATACTAGCCTCAGAGCTATCTTTTCCAGTTTACTGAGAATGCTTATTATACTCTGTAACCAATAAATCAATAAATCCTCATTGTAATGTGTAAACTCCCATCTCTGTGAAGTAGTTAAAAGCAAACTGTGAATGAACACATGAATCCAAAAAAAGTATGTTGTGATTATATTGACTCTGAAAACGTTTGAATTTCATAGAATACATCATTTATCGTGTAGTATAAATTGTTTGTACTATTGCTCATAATTTTTTGAATAATGAATCCAGTGAATAGTAAAATAATAAAAATGTTTGCATCCTAGGAATACATTTCAAGTAGTTATTCTGGAGAGCTACATGTTAGTGGGAAATTAATAGATATGAATCCTATTTTCTTACTTAGGGAGTGAAACTGGAACCCATTAATACAATTTTTATCCTTAGTAATTGAATTTAATATTGGTTTCATACATTTTCTATATCATGAAAATAAAAATAAAGAACTTTAAAATATCATTTAAGTAACAATTTAAACACAATAAACTCTACTCTAAGTAAATGTCTTTAGAAAGGAATCAGATCAGTGCATCAAAGATTTATGTTAACAGTCATGTCACCTTGCTTATGGCTTAATGAACAAGTTTCATTACTCATTAGAATTTGGGCCAAGTTCTAAGTATAATAGCTAGCCCATCTGTCTGCCTAATTATTTAATGAGTCCATACTTCTATGATAAAACTTAGCTTTGATACTGTTTTGTGATGGATTTTGTCCGTTTAAAAATAGCCCCTTTTGACTACTGGAAGTGGTTGTTTGTATTTTTTAAATGGTGATCTAGGTGTCCTAATTAGTTATCGTAAAGTGAAAATTTAAACACAAATCATTACAGATATCCCAGGAAGTAAATAGATGAGTTATAATAGCTAAGCCAAATATAAATATTAGAGTTTTTTTTTTCCAGATCTCAAATACAAATCTATTTCATTCCAAATAAAAAAGATGAAAGAGAAAAATTCCTAATGGATAAAAGAAGAAAGATTGTTGCACATTCAAAACAGGTCATGATTTAAATATTTTTCTGTCATAATTATAATAGTTAGATGTTGATCAATTGTATTCATGTCCTAATTCAACAGATTTTTTAAAAACATCTTCTGTGTGTTCCAGGCACTGTGTTAGGCACTGATGAACAAACTCAAACTGTATCTTGACCTCACTGTACCTTGACCTCGTAAATCTTTCAGGAGAGACATATTAAAATATTCATACACAGAAGTGTGTAATTATAACTTAGTTTAATATGATGAGGAAAAATTCCTAGGAATGCTAGGAAAGTATAACAGGCAGATTAAGATTTGTGGTAAGGGAAGAGGTGTTTCTCTGAGACCAGAAGTATAAATAGGAATTAGCCAGGAGAAAAAGCCTTCTGTATGGAAGCCAAAGCAAATAACTTGGCTTGTTGGAGAAACTGAAGGAAGATTTTTGCAGCAAAATAATGGTGCTTGGAGCAAAAAAGGAGGATGGAGTAGTATGCAGAGTCAGATCTTATAGAACCATTTAACTTTCGTTGTGGTTTTTATCTGTTATTTCCCATTTTTTGACTTTACCTTACAAGCAGTGGAAATTGTTGATGGATTTCAATCCGGGATATATTCTGATTTGCATTTTTAAAAGACTAACACTGACTGCTATGTGGAAGATAATTGGAATGAGACAAGAGTAGAAATAGACTCACTAGGAAGTAATAGAACTGATGAGAAATTGTGATAACTTGGATGTGGGGTGGGGGAGATTGAGAGAAATAGTGACATGAGATAAATTTGGACAGTAGACTTTCTGGAAAGATACAGGGTGTTGAGGAGAGTTCCCAGATAATTGTCTTGAACAGTCTGATAAATGGGAATACCATTTACTGAGATTTGGAAGACTGGAGGAAGAACAGAGTGAAATGGAACGACATCTTTAGCAGGTTGAATTTCAGTAGTATGTAAATTTCAGTAGTATATAAAATATCCAGGTGGATGTTCTTCTTGACATCTTAATTTTTCTTTTTCTTTTCTTTTTTTTTTTTTTTGAGATGGAGTCTCATTCTGTCACCCAGGCTGGAGTGCAGTGGCGCAATCTCAGCTCACTGCAACCTCTGGCTCCCAGGTTCAAGCAATTCTCTGCCTCAGCCTCCCGAGTAGCTGGGATTACAGGCACCAACCACCACACCTGGCTAATTTTTTTTGTATTTTTAGTAGAGACGGGGTTTCACCATCTTGGCCAGCCTGGTCTTGAACTCCCGACCTCGTGATCCACCTGCCTCAGCCTCCCAAAGTGCTGGGATTACAAGCATGAACCACCGCACCCGGCCTGAAGCTTATTTTAAAAAGACAAAGGAAGTATAATCATTAACATGAAAGACTACAAAATAAAACTGGAAATAAAATGAGCATGATTATTATCACAATAGAAATGTCAGTGAATGGACAGCTGCTAAAATATTTTGGCGAAATAAGAATAAAAGGGGTCCTTAAATAATGAAAGGATAGAAGATGAATGAGAGTAGTTCGTGTCCTACCTTGAGTTATTTGAAGGTACTTAGAGAATTATTTGAAACTTATTTCTTCTGCCTTCCAATTCAATTATTATTTTAATCAAGCATGTGCTATGCACCAAGCACTGAGGCAAGCACTGGGAATTACTGGTTAAATATAATTCAAGGCAGCAGCATCTGACATCACTGAGCATACAGTCTAGCAAGGGATACTGACCAGTAAACAGCAATCATAATAGGGGAAGTGTGTAGTACTGTGGGGACACTTAGAAAGGACATCTTTCTCCGACTTGGGTGAATCAAGGAAGGTTTTATCATTGTGAAAACCATATATTCCATTAACTCTTTGGGCTATGTTGCTGTAAGTCTTGATTACTTTTTAGAGTGTACCATAGAATATAATCAATTTTAGACCCTCCAAAAATATGATTTTAAAATATTGAATTTGCTATGGCATATGAACAATATTGTTCACCTACTAAAGGAATAACACAGAACCTAATCAGATCCATATCCCTCACTTAAAACCCTTGGGTTTATGTGTGTTTCATAATTCAGAATTTTCCAAATCTTATAAAAGGATGTTGTTCCCGGAAGCAGCCTATAATCAAACACATGAATGTTTCTGCAATGAGATATATGTGAATTGTCACCCTAAATCAGGTCAGGTTTTGCTGCAACAGGAGTGCAGCAAACTTATAAAAGTACTTTTTGTTTTTCAGAGCTTTCTGAACTTTGAAATTGTACATTAAAGGATTATGCATATAGCCTACTTGTCCGTAAGAAAAGTTGGACCTGATAAATTAACAGTAAAGATAACCAGTGAAGACTTTACATTGCTTTGTGCCCATATTAATTGTTGAAATTAAGGAGAACTCATTCAGTTAAATTTGTTCCTCTATGGTGTGTATTGAATATTCCTCAATGATGGAGAGAATCAATGGGAAAAAGTAGAGGATACTCTTAATGGCTTCTTTATCATAGTATTTCTAAGAGAGTATGGCATATCAAACGTTGTTAAAATTATAGAGACAGAAGAATCACCAAAAATGTGATAGATAACTTAAAATATGATTTCTTAATAATTTGACTAAATATTAGTCTCTCATAATCAAGCCTCTGTAGTCAGTGTAGTTGTATATATGCTTTTTTTTTTTTTTTGGAAATACTGAACACAACAAAACCTATCAACTAAATGCATTTTACACAGAATGACTATTATTCCTGATAAGGAATTTGTTATGCTGTGTTTAGAATTATTGCTGTACTATACAGTGAGAAGGCACTTGGAAAGGCAAAGTGGACTTTTACTTCTTTTCTTTTTTTTTTTTTTTTTTGAGACGGAGTCTCGTTCTGTCGTCCAGGCTCTAGTGCAGTGGCGCAATCTCGGCTCACTGCAAGCTCCACCTCCCCGGTTTACGCCATTCTCCTGCCTCAGCCCCCCAAGTAGCTGGGACTACAGGCGCCCGCCACCACACCTGGCTAATTTTTTGTATTTTTTTTTTTTTTTTTAGTAGAGACGGGGTTTCACCGTTTTAGCCAGGATGGTCTTGATCTCCTGACCTTGTGATCTGCCTGCCTCAGCCTCCCAAAGTGCTGGGATTACAGGCGAGAGCCACCGCACCTGGCCTGGTTTAATTTTTAAAATCTGCTGTTACAGACAGTGCTGTAAATGAGCAGTCTTCCTCAAACATATTTTTGTGTAGTTCTTTCGATAAATCTGTAAGATAAATTCCTAGAAATGAACATTTTGAGGTTCAAAAAATGTGTGTTCTTTTAATTTTGACAAAAATTGTCAAATTGTTATTTTAAAAAGTTATGTGAACAATATTTGAGAACAACAATGTCTAAGAGAATGCTTATTTCTGTAAGCATTCACTACTATTGAGTAAGTTGTTAGCCTTCCAGTGTGAAAGGTAAAAAATTATATTGTTCTGATATGCACTTATTTTATTAGGAATAAGATTAAGCTTTTAAAAATATTTTATTAGCAGTTTATTTTTCTTTTTATGTGAACTGCCTATTCCTGACCGGTTCCCATTTTTGTGTTGGACAAAAAATTGTTTATAAATCAATTTTTATTGATTTATAAAAACTCTGAGTAGTAAATAAATTAGCTTTTTATTATATGCACTGTAAGCAGTTTTTCCTGTTTGAAATTTTGCATGTTTTTTTTTAACAGAGAGGTTTTATTTTTCTTTTACAGTGTCAGAATTGTGTTAAATTGTGGTATTTTATGATAACAAACAGCTTGCCTTCTTTTGAGTTGCTTATTTGAGGTTATTATTATTATCATTTATGATTACCTAGAGAAAGCATTAGAACTGTTTGTAAACTTAGCCGTTGTGTTATTTTTTTCCATTTAAAAGAGTTATTTTTATTAATTAGAAGCCCAGTAGGTAATAGTTTTTATAACTTAATACTAATTCAGATTTGTTTATCTTAGCAAATAAGCTGTCATAGTTCTTCAGTCATAAATCATCTCTTCCAATGCAAATATCCTTCAGGGATAGAACAAACAGGATCAAAACACAGTGAGAGGTTTGAACCCTTAGATTCTAGATTGGGTTCATTTGAATGTGAGAGATTAAAGGAAAGCCTCTGAGATAGTCTTAACTGTATAAAAAACTCTGCTTCTTTTCATTCAAATATTGTAAATGCTTAATTATCAAAATTGTAGGGCCTTGACTTATGATGTTAGAAAAGAACAATAAAATAACATCTTTGTATACCACATGTCCCCTTAATTTATGTCTAGGTATGAAGAAGTAAAACTATAAAACCTGCCTAATATATATATTTAGTATAAACTCTGTAGCAACACAGCTGCATGTAGTTTTTGAGCTTAATTCTCTGTCAGGCTCATAAGATCCTAAAACCCTTGGAGAGTTCAGCAAAAAATAAATGAGAATAGGATGAAAAAAAAAGATTGCATTTTTTAACCTTTTAAATACCCTCATGTTCACTTTAGCAGTTATATACAAGTGTTTATCGTGATCAAAAGAAATATTAATATCTTTTTGATTGGCCAATCAGAAAATGCTTTTTTCATCCATCATACATATTTTTACAAATTACTAAAGTAATACACATTCATTTTAGAAAAAGTTTAAAATATAGCTAGGCAACTTGACATTTTTACAAAATGTTTTCATACAATACATATAATATTATGACCTGATTGTTTCACTTAGCATATTATGAAAAACTTCCTATGTTATTATATATAATCTTTTACATATGAAGAATAAACAATTTAAATGGCTTTAAGTCTATTCTATGATTGTACTATAATTTAATTGTTATTTTCAAATACCACTGCAGTGAAAATACTTAAAGCTAGATATTTGCACATATCTGTGCAAATGGAATTCTTGAGTTAAAGAATATTTAGAATTGTTAGAAAAAGTTTCTATCAGTTAGAAAAGCAATTAGGCTATTTATAGAGATATCCTTGAGGAACTGTGTATTTTTAACTCCCTTTAAGTATATGGAAAAGAGAGAAATATAGTACTTTTTTATAGCAGAAAGATAACATTTCATCTTGCCGTCTAATTATAAAGTGTATTATCATAATATTCTCTAAGAGTGATCTAAGTTGCAAAAGCCATAAAGATATATAGTAATAGCTAGAATTTAATTTGGATTTACTTATGGTACAAATACTGAGAAACTATTCAAAATTTCTGTACTTTTTAAATATGCTTTTTTTATAACTTTCAAAAACACTGGTACCTAATAGAAAAGAATGATGTGAAGCTGAAAAAGGCAGTGTGTGTCCCATCAAAGAGCTTCACTGCTATAGTTTGCACAGACTGAGAGAGAAGGTTTGGACAGTAGTTAGTAACTTCCTTGAGAATAGTCAGTCATCCTCTGTCCTCAGTAAGCATGTCAAAATAGTGGACCAGAGTTTTTGACAGATTAATGTGAGTGATTTAAATCTTCAGGTATAGAACATAGCATTCGAAGTACTATGCCTGTGGGAAGTTTTTGGCAAAAAGGTGACAAGTATGAATAACTCTTTCAACTTGCTTTTTACAGTTGGCAACACCTCTTCTTGCCATTTCATTGTAAGCATTAATAGAAAAAATGTCTTGTTAGTCTGACTACTTACTGGATGGAATTTAAAACATTTTATCACTTTTTGGAAAGATGTAGGATTTTAGTGGAAAATGTAGACTAGTGTAAGAAAAAAGCAACAAAATTGATTTTATTTTCATCTCTGTTACCGTTATTACAAGATATAAAGACAGCTAAATCAAAAAAATTGTGTCATGTATTTAGCACTACTGGTTGGATACATTAAAAGCATTTCATACCTCCTTTGCCCACGAGAATTTTATACTGCTGGTTTTGAGTTGTTTCCTAATACTGCTGCAGTAAACATACTTGTACCTAAATATTTGGAGAGGGTTCAAGTGCCTGCAAATAGAATTAAGTTTAAAAGTATCTGGTATCTTGTAATTTGTGTATATGTATGTATATATATAATGCTAGTAATATATTGCCATAATTTTCTTTGTTCATTTATTATTTCATAGAGTAGGATGGCACTAAGTAACCTCTTAGTTGTTCAGTACAGGTAATACGGCGACAAGGAAGGCTTCAAGGAAATTTAACTTGGCCCTGTAGAATGGGTGGGATATGAATTAGCATAGGGGAAAGAAGAGAGGGTAATACAGAGGAGAGAAGTAGCAGAGATGAAGCACAGGTACAAGAGTAAATATAATCTATGAGAGGAGCTGCAGAGAGGTCACCCTGGCAGGAGCGGAGGCTCCTGGAGCATGAGATCAGATAAGCGAGACTAGTCTGAATTACTGAGAGCCTTCAAAAGTATGCAAATGCATTTAGATTTCCTGTGATAGGAAATAAGAAGCCATTGCAGAGTTTTTAAAGCAGTGGCGATTACTTGATGAAAATAGCATTTTAGGAGCATCAATCTCTCACTTAGCATTGGAAGATTTATTAAATCAGGTTGGTGTTAGAGGTAAGAGTACCAGCTAAGAAGTCATGATAGTATAGTATTTTAAGATAGACAAACAATGTACTGATGTAGGTTGGTAGCAGTGAGAATGGGAGGAAGAAATTCATATCAGAAACATTATCGACAAAATGTGATTCAATGACCAACTAGATGTGAAGGGTAAAGAATTCAGCATCTTAAGGTTCTCTGCATAAGAGATAGGAAAAACACAGTGCCATTAATAGAACGTCTTTATTTCAATACTAAGAACTAATTTCATTTTCTTTTGTGTAACCCTAACTTATAAACTTATGAGAAAAAATATTAAGTTGAGTTTGAGAAAAGTACGGCCAGATGGCAGATATAAAACTCATCAAAATTGGCTTCTAGAAACTGACAAGGAAAAGAAAGGAAGGGCTTGTAAGGATTCTTCTCTGGGAATAATAGAAATACCCATGAGAATTTCTATGGAATGATAGCAATTTAGATTGTATAACCCCATTTCCCAAATAATTAAACTCTTTCCATGGAGTTTAGTGCTAAAAGTCAGAATGTCCAAAGTTATTCTGAATGATAAAGATTATTCATAAGAGCTGTATCTCAAGCCGTTCAAAGATAGGCCAGATGTCAAGGCTGCAGTTTGAGGTATCATCCTTCAGAAGGCAATAATATGTAACTCCTCTACTGGGCAAACAGCAGATCACTTTCTGAAGTGATGTCATTCAGATTGAGAATTATCAGAAGTAGCCTGATGTGTGAATATTTTAAAGTCCAGATATAAGCAGCTGGAGGCTGCATGTAGAAAGGATTTTTTTTTTTTTTAAGATGGAGTCTCACTCTGTCACCTAGGCTGGAGTGCAGTGGCATGATCCCGGCTCACTGCAACCTCCGCCTCCCGAGTTCAAGCAATTCTCCTGCCTCAGCCCCCCGAGTAGCTGAGATTACAGGTGCCCGCCCCCACGCCTGGCTAATTTTTGTATTTTTAGTAGAGACGGGGTTTCACCATGTTGGCCAGGCTGGCCTCAAACTCCTGACCTCATGTGATCCACCCACCTCGGCCCCACAAAGTGCTGGGATTACAGGCGTGAACCACCGCGCCCAGCCAGAAAGAATTATACTAATTATTTTGTTTAAGAAGGCACATGATGAAGGATGGACAATGAATAGTTGTAAATCTTTGCTTATTTGCCTCTCTTTGTTCCTGCCAGACTGACCTCTATGCAGTTCCTCTCATAGACTATATTCGCCCTTGTACCTGTGCTTCATCTATGCTGCTTTTTTCCTCTACGTTACCCTCTTTTCTTTCCTCTTTGCTTATTTGTATCCCACCCATTCTACAGGACCAAGTTCAATTTCCTTGAAGCCTTCCTTCTCTCTGTATTACCTGCACTGAACAACTAAAAGGTTACTTAGTACCATCCTATTCTATGAAATAATAAATGAACAAAAAATATATATATTAATATATTACTAGCATGATATATACTTATAAGCTAATAAGCAAATATTTACAGCAACTATTCATTCATATTATCTAGGTGATTTACTCAAAATAGGTATTTCTACCAAAGTTGGGAAACAAAACACATACCAGAAGAGGCAGATAACTGCGTGTCACCCAAACCTAAACTGATCTAAGGAAAAATAACAAATTACAACTTTCACATGTCATGTTTTGTAGAGTTTTTGAAAATCCTTGAGGATTTTGTCAGGAGACAGGTTTGTGGCTATTCTCTTAGCACACAGATGAGAATTGTTCTACTAATTAAGATGAAACAATAATTTTCATTGGCCTTACAGAGCTGGCACTGTAGGTGACTATATGGTACATTGAGGGGAGAGAAGGGGACCTATATGCCTCCTCTGCTCTATAAGCTGTCATCTTGGTGGACAGAGAAGGTGGTGGGCCAGTCCTTGTGTCCTTTCCACCTCCCATGCCCGCCGTACATTACCCATCTGTTCAAAAGGAGAGGAAGAGGCATTAAGGGATGGAGGGTGACTATGTATTACTTACGCATTTCTGAGTAAATTGACAAAGTGTCTTTCGTAACTCTCTAAATCATAATCATTATAAATAAATGAGGCCTTAATTGTTTGCTGCCAATTTCCAGATGTTTTCTAGAATATATAGATTTATATAAATTGTTAACAGTACAAATATACTGTAAGTCTAAAGGAAATCACATGAAAAGTCCATCTCTGTGATCACTCACAGTAAATAAATTTGAACATAAGTGTAATTCACACTTAAGATCATTGTAACTCAGTCCCTGATATAGTTTACTAGTGTCCTGTCAGTTTGAAAGAGTTAATGTGTTCCTATGTTACTAACTTACTACCAAAGAATAATCTAGGTACTGAGAATAAAGCCCATTAATCCTTAATACTAACACTTTAACGCATAAAGAAAAGATGTATGTGATTTAATTTCAAGTCATCTATGGTGCTTGAGAAATATTAACTGTGAAGTGAATGGATATTAAAGAATGAAAATTACATTTGCAAGTGGCATATGAAAATCAGGAATCAGGAAAAAAAATGAAAGTCAGTCTTACAGTCTTACTAAGAGAATAGTCTCAAACCTGTCTCCTGGTAAAATCCTCAAGGATTTTCAGAAACTCTACAAAACACGACATGTGAACATGGTAATTTGTTATTTTTCCTTAGATTAGTTTAGGTGTGGGCAGTATGCAGTAGCTACCTCTTTTGGTATGTGTTTTGTTACTGAACTTTGGTAGAAATACCTATTTTGAGTAAATCACCTAGATAATATGAGTAGTTGCTGTAAATATGTGCTTATTAGCTTATGTATATATATGATGCTAGTAACATATTAATATGTTTTTTCTTGTTCATTTATTATTTCATAGAGTAGGATGGTTCTGAGTAACCTCTTAATTCTTCAATCTTTCTCTGCATTCAGAATTCCTTGTCTATAAAATACAAAAAAAGTGTATATGTTTGTACACTATTTTGTGATAAATGAAAATATATGCATATGTGTTATAGGCTTTATAACATTTTCTATATTCTATGTTGTGATATTATACTAATTAAATAAAGTATAGTCTATGATGAGTATGCATCATAACAATTTCAGAGCCATCTGCCTTTTCATGGTTATATAACAACTAAATTTGATGTTTTAGAAAAATGAATCACTCTTATTTATGTAAAAAGATTAGGACTTTATACAATGTCTAAGCCCAATAACATGCAGTTTTAAACTGCCAGAAAGAAGCAGTGACCGTCTGAAAGTCCAGTAATACCATGAATGAAATTATACTTCAGATTTCTATTTATTATATCCTTATCTTGAAACCAAGGATTGATTCCCGATAAGAAAAAGCCTATGAGAACAGTATAATTGAGCAGTTTTCAAAACAATATTTAAGAAGGAAACAACTTATCACTCTTAATTTTTAACAAAAGACACTCTAAAAATAGTGAAACTGTGATGTTTTAGATGAGACAGTGATGTAACCAACAAACTCCATTTCTGGCTAAAAGAAATCAAGATACTCTATAAGCCTTCAGTTGTAACTTAAGCAAATGCTCATATGGGGAGTAGGAGTAAAACACAAACACCAGAATAAGGCAAAAAGAGGGACTTTCCCACTAATCTACATCCTTTTTAAAAAATACCACTGATGTATCCCATTACAATTCTTAGAAATCAAATAATTTTAAATGGGATCATTGAAATGGTTGGCATTGAATTTGTTTTTTCCTACATTCTGTCACATGCCTGCTTATTTTTGACTCCGATGCTTCTTCCATAGAAGATGCATAAGCAGTCCACATTCAAGGCAACTTCATTCCTTTGTAAGCTTCTTTTTTCTTCTGACAAATTATGAAATCAAAAGAAGAGCTGAGACCAGCCTGACCAACATGATGAAACTCCATCTCTACTAAAGTACAAAAAATTAGCTGGGTATGATGGCACGTCCCTTAATCTCAGCTACTTGGGAGGCTGAGGCAGGAGAGGTGCTTGAACCCAGGAGGTGGAGATTGCAGTGAGCCAAGATCATGCCACTGCACTCCATCCTGGCGAGACTCCATCTCAAAAAAAAAAAAAAAAAGGAAGAAAAAGAAGAAGAAGATGATGATGATCTGAAATTCTGGTTTTCCAGAAGCAGTGATTCATTGTTATCACATTAAATAAATTCCTCCTGATACAGAAAGGCTAACCTTTACTTAGTTATTACTTAGGGTGAAATTTTATCTAACATATTTCTCACCAAGTCTCCCAAACTCCTTCGATTTAAAGTGAGAGAAATCTGTTCTTTTTAGATAACTGCTCTATCATTTAATGTTCTTCTGCAAAGGTTATTGACAAAATATATACTACAAATCTTCACATTAATTAATTGACTTTCTTTTATTCTTGAAACCTACTTTTAGGAGGTCAGCAGCAAAATTTCAACCCATTACTTTAGAATAGAAAATGTGAATGTACTTCTTATTCCCAACATATGTGTGTGATATTTATTCATAAGCAATATTCTATTGATTTTTGAGAGCCTGTTGGGCTAGTTACCAAATATACAGTGGTAAACACATTGTCCCTACCCTTATGGAGCCTCATGGGCTTGTTATTGGAATTGAGTTTTCTTGGGAATGTTACATATGATTTAAATATCCCCTGAGAGACAAAGTGAAGGAGCCCAATAAAATTGTAACTTAATCTTAATTTATTCTATTATCTCAATCACTTTCTAATGTTGTTAGGGGATTAAGCAAAATAACTCCATTATCTTCTGTTACGTACTTTCCTAATAGTATCATCTAATACACTTAGTGCTGCCATGTTCCAACTGGAATCCAGGGGACAATCTAGATATCTAACTTACAAAGCCTTAATTAAGCCTTGGGTAAAATTATACCAAAGGTAGTATTTTAATCTAGATATCTAACTTACAAAGTCTTAATTAAGCCTTGAGTAAAATTATACCAAAGGTAGTATTTTAAAATCCAAAACTTGAAATAAAATTACTTTAGTGATACTATAAAGAAGGAAATATTGCTTTAATTATTCTCTATGTTCTCATTTTTAAAAGAGGTGAAATAAAAGTAAATAAAACAAAGTTTCACATATTTTAATTTTTATATCCAACGTTTATGTTTATTATTCACCTTAGTAGGTATTAATTGATATGATTGATTGGTGAGCTTCATTTTTCAAGGTTACCTAAAAGATAGTAGTTAGTCAATGTTTAAAATATAGGTAATTTTTTGGCGCCTTGTCTACTTTTGATATTAATGACATTGAAAAAGGAATGTCGTATATCTAATCTAAGGACAGTTGAATATACACATATCAAGTTTTTTCTGTGTTCTATTTAATCTCAACAATAAATCCAAGTTTCTTGCTGAATTTCAAGGTGTGAAGTAACTTCTTAATGTTAATGTAAATCTAAAAGACAAGCTTAATGCAGCATGGTAAATAAAATGACCCAGGAATTGTGAGATCTGAGTACAGCTTATTCTCACTTTCTCACTGTTTTCCTATGTAACACACTCTCCCGTTCACAGTATTTAAAACCTTTCAGCCACTTGAAAAAGGTATAACATGAAACTCCCTATATTATAACTTGCTATGGATGAAAACTCCTTTTATAATCCATCCCTACAGAGAATTTTGTAAAAAGACTTCATATGATATATATCTACAGTAGAAACACCTAAAAGGCTGTGTAGAACAAGTGTTTAGAAGGTGCTATTCACAAAATAATTACCTAAGAAATATGCATAAATGAATGAATGACAGTGCTTTGTATAATTACATATCTTAGGAGCTAAATTAATTTATCTACATTATTTCTTTGTATCCTTTATTCCAGTAATTCTTTATCTTTTTTCAATTTCTTTTTCCTTTCCTTTATTGTCCCTTTCTTTTCTTTTGGAGACAGGATCTTGCTCTGTTACCCAGGCTGGAGTGCAGTGAGTGGGACAGTCTCAGCTGACTGTAGACTCAATCTCTTGGGCTCAAGCAATCCTCCAACCTCGGCCTTCCTAGTATCTGGGACCACAGGCATGCACCACCATACCTGGCTGATAAGTTTTTACATAGCGAAATAGTTTGGGGGAAAGGGCTGAATTAGATTTGATTAATTTTGAAGTTATAGGAGAAATCAACAAACTAATTCATACCTGATTAGTAATGAGGCTTTAACGCTAAATATTGTTGGCTGTATCTCCAAAGTTTTTCTTGCTTTTCTCCCTTTTCTAAGATACGTGTATATCCAGCCAATCATACCAGTTGACAATAAGAGGGACGTGTAAGGGGCAATCTTATATGCAGACAGAGATGATAGTCACATCCCAGGAGTCGTTTAAGAGAAAAATGTGAATCCCAAAATACATCTATTTTGATATCTATCAATTGATACCTGAAATTTCTCCATCAGATATTCCCGTATTTGAGTTAAAGCTTTGTACTGTAATAAATTATAGATATGCCTTTTTGGGAATCACATAACATCATCATAAAGTTCAGGGCAAGTGCTAAGCATCATTAGGAGGAGAATATGAGGATACTTAGATTCTTGATGGGAAATGAGTGAAGTATCATTCGGGTACATTTCTGCTAAGCATTGAGTTTTTGTTTTGAGTTTTTTCTCGCTCTCTCTAGAATTCTCTATTACTATTGGAACTCCATTTTAATTATTATTACCAAATTATTTTAGACTTTGCTCTTTGAGAAATAAAGACAAACTTTCCACTTTCATAGTTCTGTCCCATGACTAGCCCAAACAATTGTTACTTTGACTATTTGATATCAGGTGTAAAAGAAAAAAATGTGGCCCAAAATCATTTTAAGAACCATAATAATTTTCTAAGCTTCATTTCCTGAGTATCCCCTTGTGTTTGGGATAGTGGGGGTTGGTAGTGGAAACAATGTGTACATAAGTATTGAATTGGGAGTCATCATTTTTAGGTCAAAAACTAGACTGATAATGCAATCAATGCTTTTGCTGAAAGTTGGCTTTTTTGCTGAAATGTATCTAAACAAAACCTAGGTATCTACTCTGCTTAAACTTACATAAAGCTCTAAATTTAGCAACATTTTAGTACTGATGAAAATTCTCAAATCTCATGACTATCACAAGATATTGGAGATACCTGAACACGGTGGATGAAGTAGGTAGTAAGAGGGCCTTTTAAAATGCATTCTTTGGTTTCTACTTAATCTCAAAGATCTTAATATGAAGATTAACAAAGAGAAGAATGCTTGATTCTAAGTATGATATCCATGTAAACTTTCAATGCCACCTTAGCTAGGCTAAGATTTTTAACACTATCCTTTGTCAAGGAAGACACTTATATGTATGATATAAGTCATAGTTGATAGTTACTTTGGCTTTCTACATCCCTGCTAGTGTCAATTTTTTTTGCATTTTCTGTAGTATAATGATAGCTGAAATCTGACTTTATTATTGTTGTAATGCCCAATTCTAGGTAAATAAATTATGCCCACAGCCGAATCAATCACAACCCATTATTAAATTTGAGTTTTCTATTAATAAGATTACAAATGTTTTAGTCTCAAAATTGTGTAAAACAAGATCAATTTTTAAGTTCCTATCCATTTAATAGTGAATGTGTTCAAAAAAATATGTATTTTTAATAAGGCAAAATGCATGATACCAAACACAGCATTGTTAGGTTGGTAGTATTTTGGAATTCACGATTTGGCTTTGATAAAAGTGACTTATGGACTCTTCAATATAGCTTTCCAGTGAATATATATTGAATGTTGAAAGACCACTCATTAAAATTAAATTTAAAAATAAAGTAAATGCTCTATGCTGTGAGCCATACAAGGCATAATATCAACTTCAACAAGAAATGGTCTGCAAACACACCATATTTGCCAAGTATCATAACAGTCTAGAAACTTCTGCTTCTGTGTCACAGATCATGAAATTAGGTTATTAGGCTTTTTTTGATATCTGTAAAAGCCCTAATTAAGCCCTTTAATACTCTAATTGAAATAGATATAAGTGCTTCTGGATGATACCCTGTAGCTGGTCCAGCTTCTTTAGTTGCAGACTGACCTAATAACTCAGTGATCTACTCACTAAGGACTTAGTATGCTCTGACAGCCAAACCAGTCCTAGTTGCCATATAATGAGCCTTGCAGGTCTAGCTACATTTCAGGAATTAACCTCTATAGCTAGTAGGTAAGGAAGAATAATGAACTTTAATATGTCTTGATTTCAGGAGTCATTTCACAAACTGTCTCATAATAACTTTCTGGAAAAGATCAAGAAATGATTGCACAGTTCTGAGAATTTATAGCTAATTGAAAAAGAATACATATTATACTCTGTAAAATTGCCTGTAAGAGCTTTTCTCTATACTTTATCTTTGGTTCTTTCCCAGTCAACATTTTTCTGAAGACCTAAGTTAAAAACATAAAGAGTAGACTTCTCAAAAGAACAAAAAAAAGTGATAGCAAATTCAGGATGCCAAAAGATATGAATTGCTGGGGAAAATGAGCTATATTTACTAAGATGAAATCTGACAGGGATAAATGTAAAAATCTTAAATTTAGGATCAATACTATAGTGGGATAAAAAATGGCCACAAATTTTTTTCAGCTGCTCGTGCTCCACCCTTTGAATCTGGGCTGGCTGCGATTCACTTTAACCAACAAAAGAAAGCAAGGGATGTTGTACAACTTCTGAACAAGGTCTCAGGAGGCCTCACTGATTCTGGCATTGCCCTCTTGCTGACTTGTGCTGACCACGTGAATAAATCCGGGCCAGCTTACTTGAGAGTGAGATCGCACATCAAGAGAGAGTCCTAGCCACAAGGCAGGACCAACTGTTAGCACATGCCACCCAGCCCCAGTGGACTACAGCTACTTGAGTGATTCCAGGCAAGGCTTATAGAACTGCCCAGCTGACGCGGTGGCTCACACCTGTAATCCCAGCACTTTGGGAGGCCGAGGCAGGCGGATCACGAGGTCAGGAGATCGAGACTGTCCTGGCTAACATGGTGAAACCCCGTCTCTACTAAAAATACAAAAAATTAGCCGGGTGTGGTGGTGGGCGCCTGTAGTCCCAGCTACTCGGGAGGCTGAGGCAGGAGAATGGCGTGAACCCAGGAGGCGGAGCTTGCAGTGAGCCGAGATCGTGCCACTGCACTCCAGCCTGGGTGACAGAGGGAGACTCCGTCTCAAAAAAAATAAAATAAAAAAAGAACTGCCCAGCTGAGCCAAGCCCAAATTGACATGATTAAATAAAATAGAGTTGTTTTAAGCTACTGACTTTTGGGTGATTTATTCTGATATGGAAATATTAATTGTAGATGTCAAAAAAAGAGAAGTTTGCCTTGGTTTTGCTGGCAAAGCAGGCCCAGGTATTAGTGGGTGAGCCTTTTGCCCCAACGCTCAGTCTAAGCCCATAGTGAAACATGGCAGCATTAAGATAGAAGTAAATTCCCAGATTGAGAGAGATATAAGTTCCATTTCCCTTTGTAATGAACCATACTGGATTGTTGTATAGGACTCTATGTTTTTAAAAACACTAGACATGCCGAGAGAGTAACCAATAATGGTGAGCAATTTATTAACCTATACAAAGCCCTTCGAGGACTGGAAGTGTTAGCCTCAAAAAAAGTAAAACACAGTAAAGATACAACAATTTTCTTAACATTTTGACAACACCTCATAAAGGAAATCAAGTAGGGTAATGATTTAAAGGGTAGGTGTATGCAGATAGGTAGAAGAGCCAATGAGGCTCTCTATGAAAATAAGGAATAATTCTCTGACTATATAGTTATTATTCAGCTCCCCATTTGATGTGATTTGGCTGTGTCCCCACCCAAATCTCATATTGAATTGTAGTTCCCATAATCCCCATGTCTCATCGGAGGGACCAGATGGAGATAATTGAACCATGGGAGCAGTTTCCCCCTTCCTGTTCTCATGAGATCAGATGGTTTTAGAGGGGGCTTTTCCCCCTTTTGCTTTACACTTCTCCTTGCTGCTGTCATGTGAAGAAGGACATATTTGCTTCCCCTTCCCTTATGATTGTAAGTTTCCTGAGGCCTCCCCAGCCAGGCTGAACTGTGAATCATTTCAACCTTCTTCCTTTATAAATTACCCAGTCTTGGGCAGCCCTTTATAGCAGTGTGAGAACAGACTAATACACCATTCTTACCACTTTCTAACAGTTCTTGTTTTCACTTTCTGTATGACTTTTCAACCCATTTTCCCATCTACTTCTACCTTCACCTTTTCACTTATGAATTCATTCTTCAGTCTTTTTCAGATACGAAGTCTTCTTACCTTTCTCTTATCAATTTCATTTTTTTATATTCCCTGATGTCTTACATGTACTTTTGTGAGCATATTTGTGTGTGTTCATATTTATATCGTAGTGTCTGTATATATTCATAAATATGTCTGCATATGTACATTTTTATATCTATCTGTGTGCATTATAGACTGTATATGTATCTTTCGGTTGTGGCTAAAACTGAGCAAGAAGTTTATTTCATTAGTTACAGCTTCTGCATGGAGGAATGGGTAAGCCGATCAATTGCCTGTCCTCTTCCTTACATTTCTGTGCTTCCTCCCCTCCCCATCTTTCCCTCCTTCTGCTTTTGTCCTTACACCTCAGCTCCTTTTAATCGGTCTTCATGAACCTTCTTTCCATTGTTTCTACTTGTGTCTATCCACAACTTCTGCACTGAATGTGTCACACTCACATTTTACCTGAAACTTGAATTTACCAAGAACACTTTTTTACCAGTAGCCCACTAGACACCAGCCTTTCTCCCTTACCCCATGTAATAGGAAGGAAAGCTCTGGTTCCCTTTTAGTACTTTCATACCTTCTGCATCCATGTAAAACTGCTTCTTTGAGGTTTACATAATCCATCTCTATCATTCTCTATCCCTCTTGTTCAGTAATTGCTTCTGATCTCCTGATCAATGCCATTTATTTAATATGAGTTTCAGGCATCTCATTCAGTGTCTTCCCCTCTACTCCAGCTTCTGCATTCATGCTGACAAACTTCAATATCTATGTCAATAACCTGCATTATTCATTTGCCTCCTGAATGTTAATGACCTTTACCTTTTCACTTCAGCTACTCACTCTGGATCTTCTTGTCACTCAGAACTTTTCTACATCTGAAATCCTAAGGTCAAAATTGCTTCTCTGACAGAGATCACAGTCTTATTCCAGCTCTTCTTGCTTTTTAGCCTCAACACAAATCAAAATATCCAGTCCCTTGCTCCTTCCATTCTCCCCGTAGAGTAACAGCCCTTTGTTGACTTGCTTTCTTCTCCCCTCAGTCTGGAGTCTGGGTTTAATCACTTTCTCCCTAAGACAGTTTCCTTATGTCCTCGTCTTTTTCACCCTACTGCCCTGTAAGTCATAAACTCTGAGTTACTTCTATAACTTGCTTTCCGCAAACCTACCCCCAAAGTATAGAGCTGATGGGGGAAAAAATTATACCACAATGATGGTTTATGTCTTCTACAAGACTGCAGTGTCTAGCTTTAGCTAGATCATCAATACCACCTAAAAATCCTTTTTCAAATCCCTGGTCACCTCCCTTTCTTGTCCTATTAAACCCTCACTATTCTTTTTCAGCCTTTTTCCTCACTCTATGCTTTCAGCAGAGATCTTACCTTTCTATTCCATGAGGAAAATTGAATCTAGCACGTATGAGATCAGTCATTTCCTTCCTCCACACCTACAGAATTATCCACAGATATATTCTTTCTACCTCCGTTCTTTTAGTCTGCAAGAAAAGTTAACCAGTCGTAGTTTCAAGGATAATCCTACAAGTTATGCTTATGATCCATTCCTCAGAAGCCCATTTTAAAAAGCATTTCCTTCCTCCCTTATACCTTAGCATGTTTCTGTTTCTTTAGACTCCTTTCCCATAGTCTATCAACACATTCACATGTTTTCCATTTCTTACAAGACTTCTTCAGCCATACGTCCCCTTGTAACTACAGTTCTCTTTACATCCTAACCAAGCTCTTATAAAGCAGCCTATACTTAGTTTTCACTTTTTCACATTCCATTCATGCTTTTTCTCACTTTTATCATACCATTACAATTGCACTCAAAAAAGGTTATCACTTCCTGCCAAATCAAATGGACATTTCACTTTAATCTTGTTTAAGCACCTACTTAACTCTGATGATCACTCACTTCTTGGAGTTCTCATCTCTGGATTCTGTGACTGTCCTACTCTTGGTTCATCTTTTACTTCTTTGACCATTCTTTCTCAATTTATTTTTAGAATTTCTTTTCTTTATATATTTGTTGTCATTTTGGTTCTATCCTCTTCCTCCCTCTCTTCTCCTTTTTTATTTCTTCTCTCTCTAAACATTTCCATCCCCTCCTCTGGCTTCAGTTGCAACCGAAAGTAAAATGTAGTATGGCCTACCTGTCTAGCCCCATTTCTTGCCATCTTTAACCTCTTATTTTGTTGTTCTGAGCAACTATACTACTGGCAGTACTTGAAACACATCAAACTTTTTATACCTGTGTGTTATTTCCTCTGCCTGGAATGCACAACCATGCCCTGTCTCCATTCCCACCTTTCTTGAGGTAACTCTTTCCTTCTCATCCTTCAACACTTAGGCATCATCAGGAAGCCTTTACAGACCTTTCCTCTCCTTCCATACCCAAGGTAGGTTCTGTTAATACCTGTGTTTATGTTATAACATTTATCAATAACTTACTGGAGTTATCCATATAAAGATCTGCTTTCCCACCTTACTGCTTCTTATGAGTAAGGACTATGTCCTGTTCTTTGAATAATCAAAGCCCAGCACAATGCCTGGCACATAGGAATTGCCCAACAAATACTTGTTGATTGAACTGAAATAGACCTAATATTCTCTCTTTAACACAGACTCTTATATACAAGTGTCTGCTTAACATCCCCAC
This sequence comes from Homo sapiens, assembly GCF_000001405.40. Classification (NCBI taxonomy): domain Eukaryota; kingdom Metazoa; phylum Chordata; class Mammalia; order Primates; family Hominidae; genus Homo; species Homo sapiens. Next base: position 37,542,942 of record NC_000014.9, read on the forward strand.
TTTTACGTCCTACTGATACCACGAATGTATAAGACTTAACTTACACACATATTCCCCCCACACACATACTCCCCAGCGAAAATCTACTGTTCTTCCTCTCCATTATCTTGATTAGGGCATCACTATCTACATAGCCACCAAAACCAGAATCCTGGGAGTCAGCCATCTTGCCCAATCCACCTCACCTCATTCTATCCTCAGAGGTCATGAAGTGCTTTGGATCCCATATCCTAAATATCTTTCAAATGCATCTCCTTCTTTCCATCTACATTGGTACAGCTCTAATTCAGGCCTTCAGCTCTCACTGGGATTATTTTTTATTTTTATTTTTAGTTATTTTATTATTTTTTTTTAGACAGAGTCTTGGTCTGTTGCCCAGGCAGGAGAGCAATGGTGTGATCTCAGTTCACTGAAACCTCGGCCTCCCAGGTTCAAGCAGTTCTTGTGTCTCAGCCTCCCGAATAGCTGGGATTACAGGCATGTGCCACCACACCTGGCTAATTTTTTTTATTTTTAGTAGAAACAGGGTCTCACCATGTTGGCCAGGCTGGTCTTGAACTCCTGGCCTCAAGTGATCTGCCCGTCTCGGCCTCCCAAAGTGATGGGACTACAGGCGTGAGCCACCTTGTCTGGCCTGACATATTTTTTAATTGGGGTAAAATGTCATAACATAAATTTATCATCTTAACCATTTTTAAGTGTATAGTTTAATGGCAGTAAGTACATTCACACCATTGTGCTCATTAGGATATTTTTTAAATAAAAGGCTATGTGGTCTTCTGACCTACAGGTCAACCTGCCTTCATCCCATCTCTGCATTCTTGGCAATATGAACTTTCTAAAATGCAAATGATGTTACTAGATGAGTTAAAACCCTTTCATTGTGTTCCCCTGTCTACATCAGTTGTTTCATCACAAAGTTTTCACAGGTTCAAATTGAAGTAAATAAAAAAATACAATATACCAAGTTTTTCTTAAATATTTTAGCTGAAAGGTTGAGTGAGTGAATGGATGGCAACATTAATCAAGATAAGAAATACTGAAACATGCATAAGAAGTAAAATAGTTTTGTTTTAAATATACTGAGTATCATAGGCCAATTGTATAAGCAAGAGGAGATTTCTTGAAGGCAGTTGGATAAGTGAGTCTAAAACTCAGAAGAGAATTTTGAGAAAGGGGTCTAGATTTGGAAGTCATGAGCGTTTAAGTGTCATCAAGGGAGCAAAATGAAAAGAAAAGATGATAAAATACATCAACATTAAAAATACCAACAAAACAACAACCATAGTGATAAAAGAAACAAAAATCATATTTAAAGTCTTCTCATCCTTCTGACTGAGAGAGGGCAAGATCTTTAATACTAATGGCAAACCCTAGGTGCAGCATTTTTAGTGACTTTGTCTCCTCCTCCTCACAACCTTGTATAAGGGTTTACTTGTCTGTTCTTCAGTTTCTTCATATTTAAAATGGAGAAATCCTAATCCTAGCTCTAGCCCTTTTCCTGTTTCATGAAGCTGTTGAGAAGATATCACTGAGTAATATTTAAAGCAGCTGGAGCCTATTTTAGTGAGCTACATAATTTTTTAAGGACATTATTGATTTGGACAGTAAGAATAGCCTGCAGGCAAATCCTGCAAGGTGCTTCAACAGACACACACGTCTACCTTCCTGTTGGCACAGCCCATGTTTGGCAGGTGTATTCCATTCCTTACAGGAAGGAATAGGTGCTTCATTGTGTTACAGAAGTCAGTAAGCTTTCACAAAACTAAGTAATTGACATCTTTCTCATTTCTGAGATCAGGTTTTCATAAATCATTCGACCTGGATAAATTGAGATTGTAGTTGATGTGGTAATTGTTGAAATACAATGAGGACATTGCAAAACATGATATTTAACTATTTCCTCCTAATCTCTTACCTTAACAACATATAAGAGTTCTAAATGGAAAGATGTCCTAATGTAGAAAAAGGAAACAAAAGTAAGATGAGCCTGTCTGTAAAGGAGAAGCCAGAAGAAGCACAACACAGATTCATCTCAGTAATTTGGGATTCCACTGATTCTGAATTTGTAGTAACAATAATAATAACTAGACAACATAGAGCTGACTTTTATATTGTGAAAAAGGTTTTATCACTAGTTAGTAGTATAAATTATATTATGGAGAAGGGATACATTTAGCCAGTTTGCAAGTAATATTTTCTGGCTTTTAACAATATATGCAAAGCAATGCTACTAATATCTTATAATGATTTCTGCTGGGAGCTATTTAATGGTTATTTCAAGTTACTATCAGATTTTAACAATAAACTTAAAATTTCATAGTGTAGTTCTATAATTCATACTCACATTTTTCTTTCCCCTCATTGCACAACTCAAGTTAATTAAACATTGCCTTAAAGGATTCATGTAGTGCTATGAGTCATAATATTCAGAGTGTGTAAGTTAGCACTAGTTTTTAACCACTAGGGAAGGTTCAAGTATTGCAGACTAATCTGAGAATACAGTGAATTTTCTAATGACTCTTCTAGTTCAGGTATTTGTACCACTAGACTGTTTTAGTGGATATACAACATTTATGTATAGTTTGCATTTTAGAAAAGTTTGTAGTAATAAACTTAGACAAGATTTGCCTTTTTACTCTAAGATCATTACTGTGTTCTTAAAGCAAAGTTTTTTGATGCACTGAATAATTTTGTTTTATTTTCCTGTTTTTTGTTAACAGAATTCTTGATAGATACAAAATCATCCAATAAACTTCAGCTAGTTTTCAGCATTATATGCAGTTGATTTGTCCATTCCTCAGTGGAACTTCCAAATCATCTAAACCAGCTTTGTATGACACTAAGAATACCCTCATTCCTTCAGTGTCTAGCTCTGTGCTGTGTTTATTTGCAGAGGACCCTCATGCATGGATCCATATAAATGAGGCAAACTGTGAAGCAGACTAGACTGTGCCGCTTACCGTAAAGTCTTTGAGAGAGGAAGATTGTGTATATGAAAACTGCTAGGCATGATATTTACTTATAAGGAAGATTTCTATGTGTATAACATCAAGCAAGATTTTTGGTTGAGGTTTTATGCTTTCAGTAAAGAAAATAAAAGAAGAAAACCAATTAATGGTCTGATTCTATCATCTTTTGTCAAGCATCTCTTACTGATCTACATGAATGTGACCTCCCGCTCATAGAGTAGTCTAAGAACACTGCAGAATGGACTTGTGAACTTTCGACTCTCTTTTCAATTTAATTGACTAGTTTTTAGTCAACTAAAAAAATCATTTTCTTTGACTAAAATGTCTATGTAGGTAATTTCTAGTGCATCTATGCTACTCAGAAATAGAAACGTGTTTTTTTAATTAGAACAAAAAGTCTGGTTTTATTAGTATCAAATCATTGTGTATTTTTAAATTATTTCCATGCTACTGTAACTTGAAATGTTTCCCACCTAACCACTATTTCTGGCTTTATGTTTATCAGCTGATTCTATGAAAAGATGGGAATTTAGTACATAGAAGTTACACAGTATACCAACCAATGAATCACTTATCTAAGTAACAGGTGAAACATTGCTGATATTTGTGTTTTGAAATATGTGCTTTTCTTAGGTAAAATCAGTTTATTCTACATTTAATATGTGATCCTGTCATTGCATAGTAAATGATTCATTCACAACCTTAATGCAAGTAGCTAAATGTATTGAAATAAGTGTCCTATAAATTTTGTGTGGCATCTAATGCTGACATAATTCAAGGATCTGGGTTAAAGTTTGTGTCGTTGCTGGGTTTTTTAACCTCAAATACTTGGCACTCTGTAGCAGTGTCTCTCACAGTAATGCTTTGTTTCTTAACATGACCGTGAGGACTGCTTGGTCACAGGCAAATACTGTCCTTTATCAGCCAGGACATTCTTAACAATAATTGCCCTTTTTTTCCCCTTCTCACCCCCATCCCAACCCCAACTTAGGTTGGAAAGGCTGGTGGATGTACTGAGGAAGAAGGTTGGAACCGGGACCATGAGGACAGTGATCTGATTGAAAAAAAACGACAGTCTGGGGAAGCGATCACATCTGGTGACCAGGCTGCTTCATTCAACACTGTGTAAACACCAAAGCCTTAACTTAGCAAACAGTTGTTAGAAGTGGGACACTCCAACCACATTCCAAGCTGAGATAAAATCAAATCACAAATGTTTAACCACTTTGCTGCTGACTTGAGTTATTTATCCAAATATATTAACTATAGACTTTTACCAATGGGTAGCTATAAGGTTACAGCTTATTTTGTAACTATTTTATATCTCAATATCTTTAATATAAATCTTTTTACTGAGAGATCATTATAGAAACATGTTAAAGTTGGTTAGGATCATATCTTCACATATGGCCCTTTCTGAATCAAAGTGCGGCAAAGTAAATATTGTCTAAGCTTTAATCCACTGTGTTAGGTCAAAACTTCAAATACATGCATTTTTCAATATAGGGTATATTTCTTAACTGATGAGAGAGGCTTAGACATGAGTGTGTAGTCTTCCTTCAATGCGTGTATGTAATCTTTGTTAGTATAAAAGATATTAAATATAGGTGCCAAGAATTAAATGTATAATTTGTTTAATAAGAGATGGATATATTAAAATTACATTCATCAAGGCATGATTTTTGTTTCACTACAAATAATGCAAACTGTTTTCAATAAAAAGAGGAGACTGTTAATGTGTACTTATAAATTCACATTGTCAGTATTTTTTAATATTGGGTCTGAATAATTATCTGAATTCTACTTAAGCTATAAGTCTCTGTCATTTTTGCTTGAAAATTAGCATGCCTCTGTCTTAAAAGAGACCATCAAACCTATTAAGTATTCTTATTGTTTATCTTTTTTTAATTGCCATTTGATTTTTATTGTGGAGGAGGAGGATCTAATATATAATATTCAATACAATTGTAATGTAGAAATATAAGAATTTAGAAAAAAGTAAACTTGCCATTTGGTTAAGGTTACCTGCTTTTTATTTTATTCCAGAAATAAGATAGTTACAGCATAGCAGTCATATGAAGTTATGAATAGAACTGAGATTTTTATGTAATTAGTTATAGGCAAAATACTTTCATATTTTTAGATTAGACAGACGAAAGACCAAGAGGAAATGACTGTGCCTGGAACAGGATGAAATAGACAAGTAGAGATTTAATTAGCAAAAATTTTGTAGGGAAGTAAAATTTTTTCTAAGTCTATACGTTTTTAATTCATCTTTAAGATTGAGCTAAATTATCTACCATTGCCTATTTACAGGATAAGTACATTCAGGACAATTTATTGTACCATTCTTTCATATACCATAGCAGATTATCCATTTCAATTTTTTTTTACTCCACAGGAAAATGTAAGCTACTTTGTCATAGATCACAAAAGAATCATAATGCTAACAAACTCTATTTCTTCCTTATTAAATCTGTATCCATTAAAGTAACTTTTTTAACTATGAGAATTAGAAAATAAGGGACAACAGGGGTTAAAAATAAACTGATTTAATTTGCTCTATAGTCCTAAAGAGAATTATATCCTCTCATAGACCAATGACTCTATAATAGAGAAATATGTAATGATTTGGTCATGCATGGAGTCTTGTCTCTGGGCTCTATTTGAAACGTGTAACAGCTCCCTATGTGAAGAAACATTATCTTTAAAGTCATCTGGGAGGTGCAGGTAAGTAAAGAGAAACAATTTTTGTCACAAAGTAGTCCATTCCTGATCTCACTTAAAATAAATCACAAGTAAATTTGAATTTTCGGTTTAATGTTGAAAGCAGATGAACTTTTCTTGAGTTATTTTGTCTTTTAGAATACACAAAATATAGTATAAAGACATTTCACAATTTCCAAACAAATCTTTCTACGCTTAAATGATCAAATTAGAAAAACCAATTCCTATAATTAATATGCAGAACTTTTATAGAATATGATATTATAAAGTTAAATTTGCAAAATAATTCTAACATCCACTATTGTTCAGTATAGGTAATCTCCCAAAAATATCACATCCTCTTGAAAATGAATTGTCTACAAAATTTCAAATGCAAAGTATTACAGCCAAATATTATCTTAATTAATTTCTTACACTTAAAAGTGTCCATCAACAGTGTGTCAGATGGTCTTTATATATTTTTTCTGTATGAAGGAATAGCCTTGCCTACTGAAGATAGGTTCTCTATGTATTCAACAATAATGCAACTTTAGAAGTATTCCACACTGCTGAGAAATGTTGCTTTGAGTTTGCTTTACACATCATCAACTCTAAATCCTATAGTAACATGAGAATTCACTTCTTCTTGTAAAAATAAGTAATTTACAGGAAAGGCAAAATGCTAATACTAACATTTGTAGCACTTGATGATTTACAAAGTCCTTTTACATCTGTTTTTTCATTTGATCCTATCGACAATCATAATAATAATAAATTATATATATAACCCATATAATAACGATGGTGATGATAATTTTAGTATTACTGTCATTATAATTATTATTATATTCATTCTACAGATGAGGAAACAGACTCAGTAAGCCTTGGAATTTGCCAAGGACTGGCTAGGACCTAGAACTAAGATCTTATAACCACACTCCATGCAACTATGAGTCTCTAAATCTCTCTGTAAGAAAAAAATTTCAAAGTAAAGATTTTACTCTTGCAATTTCTGTTGTGATAGTACCATCTCTTTCACATACTACATACAAATTCCCTAATAATCAAAAGATTGTACACATTTTTTTCAATGAAGTACAATAATGTGAACTGCATGTGTAAACAGCATCACATTATTACCACCTCTCTATGGTATTATAGTGGCAGTATGCTTTGCCTCAGCCTTCACTAATTAGGAATATTGTGACAATTCATTGCTAATAAAACATAACATGAGTCTCTTTGTACTGTTTTTAATTTGGCCTGATGCTAAAACCTATCAGCTTAGTTTTTTAACATGGTAGTCTAAACTTCAAGGCTTGCTCTATCTCCTAGAGCAATTTAGAGCTAAAACCAGTAATAAGCAAAGTTATTGGTTATAAGCAAGGTATAAGCAGTTAAAGCAAAGTTATTAATTATTAATATATGAGAATTTAAAATTTTATAAATAAGTTAGAAATTATTAATGTATTTTAAATATGGAGTAAAATATTTTGCTAATTTTTTTCAATGATAAAGTTGATCCTTTGTATATTTCCTTATTCAAATAAATTCAGTCATCTTCTTATCAGGTTGCTTATTTATATAATTTGTTTATTTTATTAAAAATCTAGAATATTAAAGATTTATACTTTTAATATTGAATATAGTTTCGTAGAAAAACATTTTATATGTACTATTCTTAAAGATCACAATTATTTTTAAACTTTCTATTTTCAAATACTTGTGATTAATAAGGCATTCTATGATGAAATAGCCATGGCTTATATATTTTTGTCTTTTCACATATGATGTGTTTGGAACCCAAATTTTTTACTGATTTTATTGTGTTGTTGGTAACTAGTATTTACAGCTAACCTATCTATTCATATTTTACATATATATATATATATATACATGCACACACACCGATACATTTACCTTTTAAAAAAATGATTTATAAGTGAACTGTTAGGCTCCAGTGATTTCAGTGTTTTGTTCATGTTTTATTGGAAATGCACGTGGTTTCTTAGGCTTTTAAACAAATACATGGAATGGTTGAAAGATTTATTTTGCTCGTGCTTAGCTAAATATGTCATCTCTAGAAAAGATGTGGTTTGTTTTGGCACTGTTTTAAAAACTCAAATATTTTAAACATTTGTTAAGTTGGAGCTTGCACATTTAAACCAGCAGCATACGTTCCAGAAGAGCATCTCAAGTTACCAAATTTTTTGTAATCCTTTTACTAGAAAAATCTTTTTTGAAGAGTTTTTCTTGTGCTTGCTTCGGCAGCATATATACTGAAATTAGAAAAAGAAAACTTTTCTTTTTTATTATATATTTTAGTGTAAGTTAAGTTAAACTTCTAAAAGTTGAATTATTTAATGTAGGACTTCATAAATAGTATTTGACAATGATAAATGTGTATTTTTGAGAATCATTAAAATGTATACAATGATATTCCTTTGCAGAAGTCTTAATATGCATAATTTTTAATCTAATTGTCTTCTAAATATAGTTTTGGTGTATGCTGGTATTTTAGAAGCCACCAATTTCTGGACTATCTGATTATTAACAAAGATGTATTTTAATGCACAAACTCAAATGTTTAAAATATATATTTACTTTGTACTCAAATAAAATCCCCTATTGCAAATCCTATACATATTTCAATGCAATTCTTATACATCGATCTTAATCAAATTTATAAATGTACAATCCTGAAGACAGTGTACTAGATATGCACTATAAAATATATTGCAGTAAGGAAACAGATTAAGTTCACTGTCAAACTGTCTGACTTCCTTAACAAATTTAATAAAGATAAATGTCAATATGAACAAATTTGTTAGGTACCTTAGGAATCTTTCAAAACTATTTAGATATAAAATAAAATTATAGTAATAAAATATTGAAGAGAAATATCATTTTTAGTGAATATGGTTAGAAAGAACATAAGAAGTGAGATCAAATTATTTTAATTAAAAAAATAGGCCAGGTGCGATGGCTCACGCCTGTAATCCCAGCATTTTGGGAGGCCGAGGCGGGCGGATCACAAGGTCAGGAGATTGAGACCATCCTGGCTAACACGGTGAAACCCCGTCTCTACTAAAAAAAGTACAAAAAAGAAGTTAGCCGGGCGTGGTGGCGGGCGCCTGTAGTCCCAGCTACTTGGGAGGCTGAGGCAGGAGAATGGCGTGAACCCGGAAGGCAGAGCTTGCAGTGAGCCGAGATCACGCCATTGCACTCCAGCCTGGGTGACAGAGTGAGACTGTCTCAAATAATAATAATAATAATAATAATAATAATAATAATAATAATAGACTGACTCAAATCTACCATAAAGCACCTCTACTCATTTTGGAATATGTACGTGGAATTTTGCTTCAATAGCTGAAATCTAAAAACACTCTTTCTGTTGCATTTGATTATTCAATCATGATAAGGTAAATGTAAACAGACTGTGTAGCACTCTATCACCTGGAGTGAACTTAGAATTTACAGCTTAGAGTACATGACTAAAAGAGGAATGGAGTGGAAGTGGGCAGTAGGTGTCTTTGGGGCAAAAATTCTATAAACTGGTGTTATCTAAACTATCACATTACTTTGTTAAATTATTGTTTCATCACGTATGACCTTTGTGATTTGTCACACATTTTACTTCTACATATGCACATAATTGTAATTTTTTTAACTTTAAAAAGTCAATTATGTTTAAGAAAATTTTTAAAATAAGAATGAACGTATGTGATATTTACTGTGATATTTACTCGTGTATTTACGATTTCTGATGCCCTTATTTTCTTTACATACATCCGTGTATCCACCTGTTACCATTTTCCTTCTGCCCAAAGTATTTATCATCTATACCAGTGAAGAACTGTTGGTTCAACTGTTGTATGTCTGAAAATGTGACTCTTTTTCTGCCTCCATTCTGTGAAAAAAAAATTGCTGCATATAGAATTTGAGGTTAACATGGTTTTGTGGATTTTTTTCAGTATTTTAAAGATGTTGCTCTAATATTTCTGGTTTGCTTTGTTCCTGCTGTCATTCTTATTTTTATTTTCTGTACATTATGTGTCCTCTAGCTGCTTTAAAGATTTTCCCTTTGTCACTTGCTTTAACCAATTTGATTTTGATATGTAGTGTCGATTTCTGCATGTTTCTGTGCCTGTGGTTTGCTGAACTTCTTGGATCCATGAATTTGCAGTCTTTATCGAAAATTTCAGCCATTATTTCTTCCAATATTTTTCCCTATCTCTTTTCTTCTTTCTCTGGATCTACTATTCTCTGGATATTAGGCTACTTAAAGTTATCCTACAACTTGTTCATGCTTCGTTCTTTTTTTTAATTTTTAATTTTGTGTGTACATAGTAGGTGTATATATTTATGGGGCACATGAGATATTTTGATATAGGCATACAGTGCATAATAATCACATCAGGGTAAATGGGATATCCATCACCTCAAGCATTTATCCTTTTTGTTACAATTAATTATACTCTTTCAGTTATTTTTAAGTGTACAATAAATTATTGACTGTAGTCAGCTTGTTGTGCTATCAAATATTAGATCTTATTCGTTCTAACTATATTTTTATTATATTTCTTTTCAGTTTTTTTCTCTGTTTCATTTTGGATAGTTTCTATTGCTTTGTCTTCAAGTTTACTAATCTTTTCTTTTGCAGTGTCTAATGTGTTGTTAACCCATCCAGGCCCTCTTTCTTCACAGACATTGTATTTTTCATCTCTATAAGTTAGAATTGAGTTTTTAAAATTTTTTATGGCTCTCCTTAACTTGTTCATGCTTTACATTATCTTCAGGAACATAAAACATATACAGTGGTTTCACTTCCTTGGTTTTAGTTACCCACAACTAACCACAGTCCAAAAATAGGTAAGTATAGTATAATAAGATATTTTGAGAGACAGAAACCACATTCTCATGCCTTTTATCACAGTATATTGTTATAATTATTCTATTTTATTATTATTATTTATCTCTTACTATGCCTAATTTAGAAATTAAACATTATCATAGAAATGTACATATAGGAAAAAATATATGTAGGGTTCGGTACTATCCTTGGTTTCAGACATCTACTGAGGGTCTTGGAATGTGTCCCCCACAGATAAGAAGAGATTGCTGTAATAACTGTTTTAACGTTCATGTTTGTTAATTATGTCATCTGTGCAACTTCCTGGCCTGTTTCTATTGATTGATTTTTTTTTCTTACCATAGTTTATATTTTTCTGCTTTACATGCTGATAACTTTTTATTGAATGCCAGTTATTGTAAATTTTATCTTGTTGGGTGCTGAATATTTTTGTATTTCTTTAAAATGTTTTGAGTTTCTGAATATATTACCTTATATTCTTTGTAGTATATGATGACCATATGAAAATTTAGGTCCTTGTTCTCCCTTTTCTTTCCTGGTGATTTTTACCCTGGCCTTGCTAGTTTGCTCACATATGTGTGCTGATCAATACTCTGAGAAAGACTCAAGGAATGGTCTACAGCTCTCTAGAGCCAAACTCGCTCTCCTATGTATCCTCTCTCTCTTTTTCTCTGTGCAGCCCTCTCCTCTGCTTAGAATTTCTCCTCTCCAGTACCCTGAGTTGTAAATTCTGTCTGCCCTGGTGTCCCCAGATTCTCAACTCTGTGTCCTCAACTCAGGGAGACTTCCAAGCTCTGTTTGGTTGTCCCACTCCACTCTTTGTAAATTCTCCAGACCATAAGCTGGGGTAATCATAGGGCTCACTTCATTTGTTTGATTCACTGTCCTGGACTGCCTATTGTCCAAAGTCCAAAAACATTGTTTCATGTATTTTCAGTATTGCTTTTTATTTGGTTGGTGTTGGTTTTGGTTTTGTTGTTGTTTTTTTTTTTTTTAGTTTTTTAAGGACAGTGGCAGGATAAATCTGGTCCCTGTTATTCCATTGTAGCCAGAAGTGTAGGTCCTCCTGTTGATCTTTTAAAATGTCATCCTGTTAATATCTAGCTTCCCTCTTACCTGTTTAGAAATCAGCTGTCAGTCTTTTTTTTTTTTTTAATTTTTTTTTTTTTTTTTTAATTGATCATTCTTGGGTGTTTCTCACAGAGGGGGATTTGGCAGGGTCATAGGACAATAGTGGAGGGAAGGTCAGCAGATAAACAAGTGAACAAAGGTCTCTGGTTTTCCTAGGCAGAGGACCCTGCGGCCTTCCGCAGTGTTTGTGTCCCTGGGTACTTGAGATTAGGGAGTGGTGATGACTCTTAAGGAGCATGCTGCCTTCAAGCATCTGTTTAACAAAGCACATCTTGCACCGCCCTTAATCCATTTAACCCTGAGTGGACACAGCACATGTTTCAGAGAGCACAGGGTTGGGGGTAAGGTCACAGATCAGCAGGATAAGAATTTTTCTTAGTACAGAACAAAATGAAAAGTCTCCCATGTCTACCTCTTTCTACACAGACACGGCAACCATCCCATTTCTCAATCTTTTCCCCACCTTTCCCCCCTTTCTATTCCACAAAACCGCCATTCTCTTCATGGCCCGTTCTCAATGAGCTGTTGGGTACACCTCCCGGACGGGGTGGTGGCCGGGCAGAGGGGCTCCTCACTTCCCAGTAGGGGCGGCCGGGCAGAGGCGCCTCTCACCTCCCGGACCGGGCGGCTGGCCGGGCGGGGGGCTGACCTCCCCACCTCCCTCCCGGACGGGGCGGCTGGCCGGGCGGGGGGCTGACCCCCCCACCTCCCTCCCAGACGGGGCGGCTGGCCGGGCGGGGGGCTGACCCCCCCACCTCCCTCCCGGACGGGGCGGCTGGCCGGGCGGGGGGCTGATCCCCCCACCTCCCTCCCAGACGGGGCGGCTGGCCGGGTGGGGGGCTGACCCCCACACCTCCCTCCCAGACAGGGCGGCTGGCCGGGCAGGGGGCTGACCCCCCCACCTCCCTCCTGGACGGGGTGGCTGGCCGGGCAGAGGGGCTCCTCACTTCCCAGTAGGGGCGGCCGGGCAGAGGCGCCCCTCACCTCCCGGACGGGGCGGCTGGCCGGGCGGGGGGCTGACCCCGCCACCTCCCTCCCGGACGGGGCGGCTGGCCTGGCGGGGGCTGACCCCCACCTCCCTCCCTGACAGGGTGGCTGCCGGGCGGAGACGCTCCTCGCTTCCCGGACGGGGTGGCTGCCGGGCGGAGGGGCTCCTCACTTCTCAGATGGGGCAGTTGCCAGGCGGAGGGTCTCCTCACTTCTCAGACGGGGTGGCCGAGCAGAGACGCTCCTCACCTCCCAGACGGGGTCGCGGCCGGGTAGAGGTGCTCCTCACATCCCAGACGGGGCGACGGGGCAGAGGCGCTCCCCACATCTCAGACAATGGGCGGCCAGGCAGAGACGCTCCTCACTTCCTAGATGGGATGGCGGCCGGGAAGAGGCGCTCCTCACTTCCTAGATGGGATGGCGGCCGGGCAGAGACGCTCCTCACTTTCCAGACTGGGCAGCCAGGCAGAGGGGCTCCTCACGTCCCAGACGATGGGCGGCCAGGCAGAGATGCTCCTCACTTCCCAGACGGGGTGGCGGCCTGCTCGGCACTTTGGGAGGCCAAGGCAGGCGGCTGGGAGGTGGAGGTTGTAGCGAGCCGAGATTACGCCACTGCACTCCAGCCTGGGCACCATTGAGCACTGAGTGAACCAGACTCCGTCTGCAATCCCGGCACCTCGGGAGGCCAAGGCTGGCAGGTCACTCGCGGTTAGGAGCTGGAGAGCAGCCCGGCCAACACAGCGAAACCCCGTCTCTACCAAAAAAATACGAAAACCAGTCAGGCGTGGCGGTGCGCGCCTGCAATCGCAGGCACTCAGCAGGCTGAGGCAGGAGAATCAGGCAGGGAGGTTGCAGTGAGCTGAGATGGCAGCAGCACAGTCCAGCTTCAGCTCCTCATGAGAGGGAGACCGTGGGGAGAGGGAGAGGGAGAGGGAGAGGAAGAGGGAGAGCCTGTCAGTGTTATTGTCTCCTTGAAGTAAACTTTTTTGTTTCTCTGATTGCTTTTTACATTTTTTTCTTTTACTTTTTTTTTTGGCAGTTTTATTTTATGCCTTGATGTGGTCTTCTTTTTATATTTCTTGCTTGAGTTCAGAGACCTTATTAAAGCTCTGTCTTCTTTTCTCAATTTTAGGACATGTTTAGTCAATATCTCTTTCTCCTCCTGAGACTTCAATTACATATATGTTAATCTTTTCATTGTGTTCCCATATTTTCTATTCTTTTTTTCTAGTTCTATGTGCAACAGTTTTGATTTTTGTTTTTTTGTTTTTGTTTTTGTTTTTTAAGATACGGGGTCTTGCTAGGTTTCCCAAGCTGGTCTCGATCTCCTGGCCTCTAGCAGTTCTCCCATCTTAGCCTCCAAAAGTGCTGGGATTACAGGGATGAGCCACTACACCTGGACAATTTTAAATTTTTAAAATTACCTGTCTTTTATTTCACTAAGCCTGTCTTCTACTTTGAAGGCCATCTATTGAATTCTTAACTTTAGGTTTTGAATTTTTAAATTCTACAATTTCTTTTTTCTTTTTTGTACATTCTGATTCTCTAGTGAAATACTCATCTTTCTAAATCTATTTTCTTCCCCCTTTGCCTCTGTTTTCCTGAGCGTACTGGTCATCGTTACTTTAAAGTCCATGCCTATTAACTCCAATATCTGAATTACCTCTGGGTCTTTCTCTATCGTCTGTCTTGTCTCTTGGCATGCCCATTAATTCTTGATTGAATGTAATATAACCTGAACCTCCAGATGATTTTGTCTGCCTCCAAAGAGGGTTTATCCTTTACTCTCCTGCAATGACTGAATGAAACCCAGTCACATTTATCCAGTAAGGTACTGTGTTGACTTGAATCTGGCTTCCAGTTTGAATAAGGATCAGTTGTTTCTGGTTTGCCTCCTTTCTTGTTGCATAGTTCACTAGGGCCTTCAGTGGTGAAAGTGATACCTTCACTGAGCTTTTTTAGAAATTCTCATTTTAGCTTTTTTAATCTTTCACTTAGGACATCTCAGAATTTGCCAAGTATCTTGAAAGGAGAACTTGATATGTGTTTCAGGTCCTTTAGGTCTCCAATTCTGTCACTCCAGCCCTGCAAAACTGCCCAAAGCTCTGCTAGTTTTCCTATTCCTAGAAGCAATCTTCTGCTAGGACAGAGCCCACATTATCAATTCCCTCATCTTCACCCAGAACCAGCAAATGCCTCCAAGGGAAAAGTGGCTGCAGATCATCAGTTTACCTCTCTGTTGTTCTCCTTTCTGAAATCTTAGTCCCTCTATTAGTCTTTATCTTACACCCTCTTCAACACTTTTAAACAAATACTGTTTTTTGTACTTTATTCAGCTTTTCCAGTTGTTGTTGGCAGGAGGACTGGTCTATCACAAACTATTCTGTTCTGTCTCAAAGCAGGAATCCAATGAGTTTTAAATTTCATTATAATTTTCATTTCTAGAGGTTATATTTTGTTCATCTCCAAATGCATTTGATCATTTTTAGAGTTCCTATCTCATATTTTTAATTTTTTATTTTCTTATATGTTTTAAACATGTATTTCATACTTAATTTCTTATAATTTTGACATGTCAAGAATTTGCTGCTCTGATTTTGTTGTCTATTATTTCTGCTAGCTATCTTTATTTTGCCTCACTTCTTTAGATGTTTGGTGATTTATTAATGTGAGCTTATATCTTCTTAGAACTATTCTCTATGGAGTTTTTCAAAGCCTGTGTTAAAGGTGGGTTCCTCCATAAAGTTTTACATTTGCTTCTGCCAGTCACTTGGAAACATGTTAGATCACTTTTAAATCTTAATTTGACTTTCATTAGGCCACTTAGGTAATGTTAATTTGGGTTGAAAATCCACAGAAGAGCTAGCTTATGGTTATAAAATTCATAGGGGAAATTTTTTTTAATCCTTCATTCATTTTTTTAAAAATTATTATTATACTTTAAGTTTTAGGGTACATGTTCACAATGTGCAGGTTAGTTACATATGTATACATGTGCCATGCTGGTGCGCTGCACCCACTAACTTGTCATCTAGCATTAGGTATATCTCCCAATGCTATCCCTCTCCCCTCCCCCCACCCCACAACAGTCCCCAGAGTGTGATGTTCCCCTTCCTGTGTCCATGTGTTCTCTTTGTTCAGTTCCCACCTATGAGTGAGAATATGCGGTGTTTGGTTTTTTGTTCTTGCGATAGTTACTGAGAATGATGATTTCCAATTTCATCCATGTTAATCCTTCATTCATAGCCTGAGTTCAAGATTTCTCTCCCCGGATGGATTCTGGCTTTGTACTTTGTCCCCTGCTACGTTACAAGGCCCTGAAAACCCAAGCTCAACTTTACCCCTGTCATAAGACAAACACTTTCAAGATGAAAACTGCCTTTTGTGCTTTACTTACCACTTAGGATTACATTTTACTTAGGTTTGGGCCTCAGAGTATTATTGACTTATTGACTGCCAACATATTGATGAATTTGAAAAGATGTTTTTCATTTTCTATCCAACATTTTTAGTTGCTTACTGCAGGAGGTACCAGGTCCATCATAGCAGGAAACAGTAGTCATGGTTGAATGTTATTAAATCTAAACACGCACACACACACACACACAGAGAGAGAGAGAGAGAGAACTGCACTGCTAATAAAATGTTCTGAATTTAGTATCACTTGTATACATGATTAAAATGAGCAGATAATAAATTTACCTTCCAAGGTCCATAATTGCAGCTCTTTGTCCCCACCAGTAACTACAAGCAGTTTTTCATTAAAGAAAAGAAAATGATTGAATAATCCAAATTAGCCTGGGCAAGAAAATTAACAGCTGCCGAAAATGAAATGTTTGAGTTATGAGCCATGTACCACTTTGGTTTATCTGCAGCCAAAAGGTTCAGAATCCTTATTCAATTAACCATGTTGCTTGGGAGGGCCTGGTTGCCCTGAATAAGAGCTGCCTGGTGATGAGTAAGAGGTATCCGTGACACACAAGTTCAGACCTTGCAACTCTGTTTTTGTTGTTTGAACTTTCTTCTCCGTTGTAGCTAGGGATCCGGCAT
Organism: Homo sapiens; assembly: GCF_000001405.40. NCBI lineage: Eukaryota > Metazoa > Chordata > Mammalia > Primates > Hominidae > Homo > Homo sapiens. The sequence goes on from NC_000014.9 coordinate 37,559,664, forward strand.
GGAATTTAAGCACTTGTGTGGTAACTCCATTCCTTCAAGCCATTGTGTTGTTAAGCTCTAGCTAACGAACTTTTAACACTGGCTCCATGTAAAGCAAGACTTAGAAAACAGCAGCGATCAACATTTTTGGTTTTATAATAAGATTATATAATTTATATGTCTTCATGCAACTAAGATGCTCTTGCCTCCCTAGACCAACTGCTCCCTAAAAGGTAGCCTTTAAAATATATATATGAAAAGTAAAGAAATAAACCAAAGTGCACTAACAAAAATTAAGAAGTAACTTTCATTTCAAAAATCATACATACTGTGGCAGAAACTTCAAAAAGCATACCTGTTTTAAAACTTAGGAACTTTGCCTAAAATAGAGGAACCATAACTGTATAATATTTTTAAAAGGTGAGAACTGCCAAATGCACCAGTCATGTATACTTTATCTCATGTGGCCCTTTTCTTCCATGCCAATGTTTTTTGTTGCTTAGGGAGATCTTCCTGATAATGTCACAAAGAATGTCTCTCAGACCCATATAGATTAGGTACACTTTGGCTTGCTAAGAACAAATTTTTCTTTAAAATAGCTAAGCTTCATATTGCTTCTAACTATACTATCTTGAGACTAAAAGCCAAGTGACTGAAAGACAAGAGACTGAATTTCTTCTCTAACTCATAAACCAGTTCTGAAGATACTTCTGTGGGAGAAAATTCAAATATATTTTGAACAATGATATAATTTGACATAAAATATCTCAGTGTTATTTCTTTGAAGAATTACACTTTATCTAAATGTGTACACCGATTACTAATGTCTTAGTATGTTATAGTCTTAGCACTTTGCAAAATTGGATTTGCTTTTTGCATCTTTTCTTAAACTGTGATCATATTATAAAGAGTAGTTATGTAATTTTATTTAGGTGACATAGAGGAAGGTAGGAATATGAATAAGTAATTGGTGTCAAAAAGAAGTGAGGAAAAGCTTTTGAAATCAGAAGTTTCAGTTAAAGCTTCAATTATATCACAGCAATAATTGGTTTCTGCTTTTATAAATAAAATACTTTTATAAATTGCAACAACTTTTCAAGGAATATAGTTAGTTACATATTGCAGATATTATTTTCTTTATATTTTAGGAAAGTTGTCTGGGCTCATGTTGCATTTTTTTAAAGAACCAATTTCCCACATTATACATAAAAGTTCTATGCTACATTTTGTTTTCTTATGAATGGCAAGAAAATTAATAAAAGTGACTTTTATTCATAACATACTAATACCTGAGACCGTGTACTCCAGGCATACTCTCCATTTCAGTTCCTACCCTATATTTTCAATGTTTGAGTCATTTGCCATTTTTAACCCTCTACTCAATCAAATCCACCTTCACTTTTTAAATCCAATTCATCCATCAGGAACACTTATGTACCACCCCCTACATGAAGCTTTCCCTAATTCCCCACCCTCACCCCACCACCAAGTTGTAGTTAATCTCCCTTCTGTTTGCCATATAGCTCTTTCTTCATCTATTAGGGCAGTTATTAAGTTTTCTCTTGGTTTCAGTATTCCTTTACTATTTCCCATTAGAATGCAAGCTCCTGAAGATGAGAGATTCAGTTTTGTTCCGATTTCTTTGCACAGGTAAATACTTGATGGATAATCATCCTTGTTTAATGATGAAACCCTAAATTTTCAAACTATTTCAACTTTCTAAACATTTGTATGATGTGCCGTTCTAAAAATATGACATTAAAAGTTTAAAATTTAAATATTTTTCCTATATCAGTGATATTAAAATATATAATTATGTCAAATTATCTAGCACCTGGCACATTACCAGGTAAAACATTGTATTTACCTGAATACTATAGCTGTTTAACCATAATTAATTAATCAATTTAAAGTGAAGGGCTGTTGTGGGGTTGTTTGATGTTGTTGTTTAATTTTTTTGGTTTGGGTGTGTGTGTGTGTGTGTGTGTGTGTGTGTGTGGTGTGTCTGTTGTGGTTTGTTTTTTGTTTTGGGTGTTTTGTTTTGTTTGGTTTTGTTGAGACAGGGTCTTACTCTGTCACCTAAGCTAGAGTACAGTGGTGTGATCATAGCTCACTGCAGCCCTAAATTCCTGGGCTCAAGTGATTCTCCCCTCAGCCTCCCAAGTAGCTGGGACTGCAGGCACGTGCCACCAGCCTGGCTCATTTCTTTTTTTAATTTTTTGTAGAGACAGGGTCTTCTGAAATTGCCCAGGCTGGTCTCAAACTCCTGGACTCAAGCAGTCCTCCTGCCTTGGCCTCTCAAAGTGCTGGGATTACAGGCATGAGCCACCACACCCAGCCTTGGTTTGTTCTTTTAATCCAAACTTCTTGTGTAGCTGTTAAATATTGGTACCGTGCAGTCCAAAGTTTGAAATTTCACTCCATGATGAACTGAAGTCTGGTTTTATTTTGTTGACTACAAAGTTTATACAAAATTTCCAGAGAAGAAAATAGGCCATTTAAATCCTTATTGAGCAATAGTGATAACTACATTGCTTGTCCAAATTCAGGCAAGGAGAAGAATGCAAACAATGTATAAACCAGTGTAAATTGTTTGGATGTCCTCTGATGTTGCTGCATGTACTTTAAATCATGATTTCAAATTCAGTGGTCCCTCATTTTCTAAAAACAACCAAAGTTATATGAGTTCTTATTACTTTGATATACTTTCTTGACATTTTACTCTCTGGTTATATTATTCTTTCAATACCCAAGTCATATTTTAAGATATTTGGGAGCAAAAATAAATTGTGCATGAATATTACCTACCAAACTACAGCTTCAAAAATTGATATTTGGTTACTAATATTATTTTGTCTCTGATTCAGTCTCCACCAGTTTTCATCAGGTAACATCATGTTGAATGATGATCCTAAAGCTTAAAAACATGCCTGCCATTCTTCAACAAATAGGTCAGTTGTATCAGACTCTCTGAAACACTCAAGCAAAGAATATTCACTGCATTTTACTTGTATGACCATGACATTAACACACTTTAAGTTCCTTAAAGAAGATTTTCTTCTCATAAATCTATTCTGTCTGTGGCTAATCAAATTACATTTTTCAATATAGTATGTCCTTCTCCAATATTGTTTCTAGTATGTACCTCATACACAAAGTTGACTATCTTGATTATAATTGACTGCTGGCAGAGTGATTCACTTTTGATAAGAGTAACTGTATTTTGCTTGTGATTTTCCAGGAAATATAGCTTTTTTACCATGAAGGAACAGGAAGCCAAAACTTCCAGCATTGTTTTCTATGTTGAAAAATTAAAATTATATAGATGAATATTGCTCAAATGCTAGCATGTGGCCAAATGAATCATATTTGCCTTAAAGTAGCAAAAAGGTTAAGATACTATCTTAGTTCATACTTAATTTTTCTTGAGATTCATCACAGAAGAAATGAAAACGCTATTGCTTCCTAGCTCTTGTCTTGAACATCTAAGTGCTCTTAGCTAATAACTTTTTACTTAGAATTATATCTTTAATTCTAGGATCTCTAAATCACTTTGAAACCACTTAATTAAAACATTGTCCTTTTATGTAAAACCTTCACATTTGTGAAAAATGAGAACAGAGGAATTGAAAAACATTTATAATGTGACATAAGCAGGCATTTTGAGAGCTAGAATTGCAAACGTGCATCCATCCCTAAGCTGTTCAGGTTGTCAGCCATACTGCTTCCCTATCTGCGCTGTTTAGAGCTGAAACCTGTGCCATCATGGTTAATGTTTTGACAGATTTTATTATAAACCTTGCTGTTGTAAATTTGCCTTGAGCCAAAATTTAACATGTTGTAAGTTCAGAAACAGTTTTTACTGTTGGTGATCAGAAAGGGAAATAAATCAATTATGCTCTTTTGAATGATAGGAGTATAGAGTTTAACTCCTTAAAAGTTATACATTGCTTGAAATTTGGGACAAATTCTCATTCTCTATGTTCAGGACCTCTCATTTGTCAGTAAAACCACACATTAACACTTTTGTGACTATTGTAAAGGAGAATCTACCAAAGGAAGTATTATGTAGCTTATATATGCTCACTAAATTTTACAACCAAAATATTATCCCTAATTTTTTTAATGAAAAGGTCCGTTGCCTTAGTATATGGAAACAAAAATGTAAAACTCTTGGAATAGCCACTTTCTTTCCAGATAATTTATTCAGAATGCTCTTTAGTGAGCCCCTATTTTATAGTGTCTGTCATCTATTCTTTTAGAACTACTTATTTTATTAAACATGCTCCCAATCACTGCTGTTACTAACAGCCTGTAGATCTAGATTTTTTTCTCTCTAAAACATCTTCATTGACCATGACCATTAATATTTACTCATAAATGGATTTGTACACAGGCTCAACCATAGCACATCAGTGAAGACAAAAAGAGTTGTTACTCAGTTCTTTACCCTAGAATAAATCAAATCAACAAATATTTATTGAATGTCTACTATGTGCAAATAGCCCTGGACTGTTCAGCTTTTAAAAGCCATCCAACTTTTCACATTAACAAATCAAAGCATTATTATTTCAAGCATTGCAGAAGCTGCTTCCATGTCCTTAAGGTGACAAAGCATATGAGGACTTTGCAAGTACTTGGAGTAAAGGAAGAGAAGAGAATTCACAGAGTGAAAAGAGGAGAAAGAGTGCTCTAAAATATCACCAATGGACTGCAACATGTATGTATGTACACATAAGTTTATGTGTATGTGTCTATATTATGTATGTGTTTATATATGTGTATACATACAATGAGAAGAATGAGTGAATTTGGAGAGAAATAGCCTTCGTTAAAGTACAATAGGAATAGGCATTCACATTTCAGTCCAGAGTTTTGCGTTAAAAATAGGCTTACTAGTTTAGTGTTAAGTCCTATGATACCAATAAACCAAAATATATCATGGTACAACAGAAAGTTTGATCAATTTGGAGTCCCACATTCTAAAACCTGGCTTGCCCTGAAGTGTATTTTGAGATAACCTCATCAATCAATAGAATTATAATAAAAGAAATGACTTGTACATTGTCATTATAAAAAATTATTGTATAGGCCTAAAAAAGAAGTTAATTTTATCATAAATAAAAGAAGCTACTTAAGAGCTCATTTTAAAGATTCTAATTGCTATTGGAAATGAAATAGAAATTACCAGTAACAGCCAAAACTTGTGTACTTCATTAACCTACACTATTCTGTGTGCTTAATTTTATTAATCTATAAAAGATAATATACTGTCTATTCACATCAAATAATTAAATGTATTTTGTTAGTGAGGTATAAAAGAGAAACTGGTGATAATTTCCAGCTTTGCCAAACAGAATTCATCCTGGCTGTTTTGCACAGAAGGTATGTGTATATGTTGGCCATAGAAGATACTGTCATTGACATTCTCACAGGGGATATCTGGTATCAACTTTAAAATATTTGTTTAGGAGAACTAATTTTTAAACATCAATTTTTGCCTCCTATTCGTAGGCTAAGTTTAATTTCTAATGAAAATCAAAACAGACTCTTTAATCTTTTTAAATAGCAGATTTTCTCTTTCCTAAAGTGCCTCAGATTAATTTCTTAATTTTTGTGTTCAGAAAAAAAAAACTAGCATAGCTCTATTCAAACTTTATGCTTCTGTTACAAAATTGTTCATTATTAAGATCACCTTGAAGCAAAGATATCTTCTCATGTCGTCTTTTAATTACTTGCTACTTTGCCTATCTGGTTGTAATTTATCTTCAAACCATACCCCGATTGCTCTGTAGTAAATTTTGGATTTCTTCTCACATACAGTCTTTTTTTTCTTGGTAAAATTATCCCATTGGCCTTCTTAAACATAGTAAGCACTTTCAACCTGTTACTATTTACATTGGTTTGATATCTTTCACTTATTTTCTTGCTGTATTGTAATTAATGTCTTCTAGATGTTCTAAATAAAATTGCACTTGGGTGATCCAGATCCAATGCTTATGTTCATGAAGAAATACTATCTTTAGAGTTGTTTCTAATTCTCACCTAACCTTTCCCTATCTTTTGACCAGGATTCCCAATACTGAGACCCTCTTACCTAGGACCTAGCCTGGATTCACCTGCCCCCTTGTGGTGTTCCTCTCTGAGAAGTTAATTTCTGAAATTTGGGACAGTTAATTAATTTCTGATATTTGGATTTGGCATTACATAGCCTGAGAAGAGAAACCTCATTACCCTTGTCTAGTAGGCTAGAGTCGGAAAAGTTATCTTCTTTTAGCCACTGGCTAACATGAAAAGATGAAAGGTATTTTTTCTTATTCAGAGCACAAGAAGGAACTTGAGCACTATAAAGAAATGAGAAGTATAAAATAAGTGACGATGCTTAATTTTGTCTAGAATCAATATTAGTGACCTGCAGATTGATAAACTAAAGTGTTACAAAAATTCTCATATAGCAACTAAATCAAGTTTATTCTTTGTCAGTGTCTCCATTTTTTAGTGAGTGGAGAAGAAAGGGAGACTGGTATTCTATTTTATTTAAATTTTATATAGATTGCCTAAGCCTTTCATCAAGGATGAATATATAAATATAAAAAATAAATCAAATATTTTATAATGTATAGTCAAGTGTGTTTGATATGATTGATGCAAATAGATTGTTTCCTTTTCTCAAAAGGAATTCCTTCCTCACATGTCACAGCACTAACTTTTACTCTTCAATTGAAGTCAATAGAATTTGCACATGGAAAGGGGATGTGTATATTCAATGAGTGACTTTACCTAACCACAAATTCAGTGACATTTTTCAAGAATAAGGACTTCATAATTAGGCCTCTAGTTAATAACAACATAGAGATAAAAGCAAGGGAAAGGGGAAAGAAAAGTACTATTTTCATAAATAAACCATTTGTCTTTCTTAGGAGGAAGAGATAGATTAATAAATTATTATTGTTAGCAAGATCCCAAGTAAAATTTTAAAGATCTCCGTTTCTGTCTGTTAACTGTCAAATATTTTTAGCAGAAAACAGTTGTCTCTTTACATGGTGTTCTACCTCCCACCCTACCTGCACCCAAGCCTGTTTGGATCGAGAAATAGTGATACTCTGTGACATTTTAAATATCATGTCACCTGACCTGAGATCTAGAAGAAGAAACAGTATGCAAGCTTTAATAAAGCTATTTGCAGGCCAACTCCCAAATTTCTAGTATTTACCGCTCCTTTGCAGTTCCTCTTACATTTGTAACAGTTGACCTACTAACAGGTTCCCAGAAACACAGATTCAAATTTTGGCAGGCTTACCTCACCTCTTTGTCCTTCCAAAGTACATAAATGCTAAACTGGGTTCACAGTGAGAATGAGAGTCATTCTAACAAGACTTTTAAAACCAAGACCCTTTCTGCTCCCTACCAAGTTACTGCCATCTTCTCCGAAGAAATAAAGTTTTGTCAGTGTGCCCTTGGCATAATTTCTTCAGCCTGGATTAAACACAGGTGACTGAGAGTCCGCCTTATCTCCACAGGGCATTAGTCACTCTATAAAAGTTAAATTTATTATGAAATGCTTTGTTTGTGTTAACATATATCTTCTCTGGGAAGCTGGAAACAAAGGCATGTCCTTTAAGACTCCATATGGGGAAAACACATCCTCCTTTGGAATTTAACCTTAATTTGAACCAAGATCTGTGAAAGAAAAGTACTTTAGTGTATTGTTCCCTTGCTCCACCCTTCTATCCCCTTATCTAAATGGAGTTACTGTTGCTTCGTGTTTTTTTAACCCTTCCAATTCCAGTCCTTGCTTTCCTGAGTTTAAAATTTATCCTGGGAAAGAAATATATTAAAATAATTGTGGCAAACAATTATACTTTGCTTTTAAGAATGAATTTTTTTTGTAATATATTAATTCTGATATCCTTTAAGTTAAGTAAATGCACAGCCAGTTTATACATCTTCATTGTTCATTTTGTTGTTTTAAGATACATTGTAAAGAATATTTTATTTCCTAAAAATTTTATTTCCTGCATATCTTCTCTAAGATTCTCTGGCTAGCAAACATTGTTATATATGCATAGTTTACACCTTATTAGAAGTAAAAAAGAATTAAAAGTAAGAAAAATTTCCACTAGGAACAATAATGAGGTACTAGTTGAAAGACCAATTTTCGATCTGTTTTCCTTCAGTCTGTTTGCAAAGTCTTTGTAAGGGTTTCCTATGTATCTAAAATCCAGAGATGCTCCAACGCTCCTTTTCAAAAGCAAAAGCAGAACCTCCATTACTGCTGCCCCAGCATAACAGCCTGGTTGTTTAATAAGCATCAAAGAAAGCATTTCAAAAAGAAAATACTTTTATTTGACATTTTAAAAACACTGCTTCATATAAATGCTTAATATGTTTTAATAGTGTCTACCAACAAACATGTAATCATCCAAATGATTTTCCTTTCTTGACTTTTGTTACATTAAAGAAAAATCAGAAACTAAATTCAAATATGTTTAAGTATAATTTATTCTTAAAAACTGAACATAATTTTAAAATATACTTGTATGTAACCCCTCTCAAAATAACTATCCTCAGCATTATTAAATTGAAAATTTTGTAGCAAAAACAAAAGTAATAATTTTAGAACAAAGCATTTACAGATTCCTTTGCTCACATAGTTCATTATCTCACAGTATATTTTATTTAAATGGTAATATTGCAATTAGTTTGATAGACATATTTTTAAAATATGGAATATATATAAATAATGCATTTAAGGGACTGGGACATTTATCACAAGTTAATATCAAATCAAGATATCATTGTTTTCCCACCTCAGTTCCATCTATTTATATTAGTTCCACCCCAAGCAACCCTCATATAATGATCATTGAAGCTTAGTCCCTACTACTTGTTAGCACATGATTATATACTATCATTGTTATTTAAGTTCATAATATATATCAAGTTTCTTCATGGAAATTATAAACTCACATGGGGTAATAATGGACTGACAACTTGAATACTTCACCTCTTAGACTCTAAGTTTTTGGTTCTCTTGGACTTTGTGCTGCATTAGATACTAATTTGATTTAAAAAAATAAAACTTTCTTAAAAGATGACAGCCCTGTTCGTCTTGATGCCTTACTAAATGCTGTCCCCAATTTTTTCCAAGGATGATCTGGATGATTATCTTCATGGCATATGTAGATGCCTGTATAGTTATTCATAGATAGTTGTACCATATGATAGGAAGGTCATAGGAAGACCTTTCACTGGAGTAAAATGGTCAAAATAAGAGATGAACAAGATAATGGGAGAAGTGAAGATAGGTAAGTATAAGGTTGAATAGGCAAATGTTAACCAGAATTAAAGAAAATAATAAAAAGTGTGAGCTTTACAGGTGATGAGAAGAAACAATTTAGCAATAAAGGAGCAAAAGGAAGAGAAAGAACCAAACTAACTCTAAACTGTCATATGTATCCAGGGTGGTAAATTCCAAAACATTTGCAAAATTGGATGAAAAAGAGATTAATAGTGTGTGTGTTTATAAAAAATATAGACAAGAATGGTCTTCCCATGTTAAATTTCAAAGATGCAAATATTTGACAAAACATTAGAATAATAAAACACTGAATTTCTTTATTGATCATGAGGAATATTACTTAACCATTAGCTGTATTACTAGAGAAAACCATGTTAGATAAAATTAGAGATAAATAATGTTTGTTCATGAGAGTTGTTTATTTTTATCAATTCTTATTTATCTTTGAATCTTATAAGAGACACTTTAAAATGTTTAGCTAAATCAAAATAGTCCTTACCCAATGAAATCACAACATGATAGAGTCATGAGAAGTATGGATAATAAACTGTGGCAATGGGTGAGGGGTAGGGAGATAAGGAGACTGATTGTAAAACATCTGAGCTTTATCAATATATATTAATCATATAATAATTTACAAATAATGTACAGTACAATGAAAGGTAAAAGTAATGCTCTCAGAGGAAATGTTTCCATTCTAGTTCTATTTGGAAGTCCTTGGGACAATTTGTGTTTTGATTATATTTAGAAATCTTCAGTATTTTGTCTTGGCCAGGTGTAGTTGCTCAGGCTTGTAATCGCAGCACTTTGGGAGGCTAAGGCGGGTGGATTACCTGAGGTCAGGAGTTTGAATCACCCTGGCCAAAATGGTGAAACCCTGTCTCTACTAAAAATACAGAAATTAGCTGGATGTGGTGGTGGGTGCCTGTAGTCCAAGCTACTTAGGAAGCTGAAGCAAGAGAATCGCTTGGACCTAGGAGGCGAAGGTTGCAGTGAGTCTTGATTGCGCCACTGCACTCCAGCCTGGTGACAAAGAGAAACTCCGTCTCAAAAAAAAAAAAAAAAAAGAGTCTTCAGTATTTTGTCTAAAAGTGTATCCTGCAGAGAGGATTGAATGAGACAATAGAGGGGGGTTTATTGTTCGTATTTCTTAGTTATTTAGGCAATACCATACCTGGTGCTGGGGATACAAAGTTGAATAAGACATAGTCTCTGACCTCATGGAAATCACAGTTGAAAGGGAATTCACATAGCTTTAAATAATTGTAATACATTGTGTTAGGTGCCATGACAGACATAGGATCAAAACAGGTAAAAGGGCGTCTTGCTCTTTCTGTGACATTAAGGAAGGTTTCCCAAAGGAGATGATGTTTGAACTAAGTGCCATTGGGACTGGCTATTAAGAAGCCCTTGGTGACTTTAATGAGAGTGATTTCTGCTGAAATGAGAGACAAAAATCCAGATTGCAGTGAACTGAGAGGTAAATGAAAAATGTAGAAATGGAGACAGTAAATATAGACCACTTTTCCCAGGAAATTGCCTTCTACCTGTTCTTACTTGCTGCCTCTGAAAAGATATAGTAAGGAATTTCATGTTACATAGCACAATTAAGTGCTAATTATAGCAATGGATTATTTTCTGGGTGTTAGTGAAATAATGGCATTCTACTTGTACAAGCTCAGTAACATGAATCCTTCCATCAAGAGCCTCAGTACTTGAAGGAGGGTCATATCTACACCTTTGTATTATGAACATCTTTGATTCCCAATTCTATTTCTTTTTTCTACTCTGGAGCTTCACAGTCTCAATTGCCAAATACACCCAGATGAAATTTTCTCTTTTCTTCCTGTCTTCTATCTTTCTTATAAATTCTCCTTATACCTCTAACCATATCTCTTCAAGGGATTCAAATATTTTATCATCCATACATTATCTTTCTAATGTTAAATATTATTAACTGAATAAACACCAAACTTCTTAGAGCATTTAAGGCCCTTCAGACTTTTGTTCCAACCTACTTTCTCAGCTTTTATCTTTCTGTGACCTCCCCTTTCATGCTTCAATGTCACCTTGGGCTCTATGCACCCTGAACTTTCTGGCTTCCAATTTCTTACACTGTTAACTCTACGTGGACTTGTCCCTCACTGCAATCTCATATCTAAATCCTAGATCCTATCTGACATTTATGGTTTTACTCAGTTGTCATATTCTCTATAAAAGCCTTTTTTGTTTGTTTGTTTGTTTGTTTTGAGACAGTGTCTTGCTCTGTCTCCCAGGCTGGAGTGCAGTGGCATGATCATAGCTCACTGCAGCCTCGACCTTCTGGGCTCAAGTGATCATCCTACCTCTGGCTCCTGAGTAGCTAGGACTACAGGTGTGCACCAGCTTCCTGGCTAATGGTTTTGTTTATTTGTTTTCTCCATAGAGATGAGGTCTCTCCATGTTGCCCAGGCTGGTCCTGAACTCCTGAACTCAAGCAATCCTCCCACTTCAGCTTCCCAAAGTGCTGGGATTACAGGCGTGAGCCGCTGCACCCAGACATTTTTAATCTTTCTACATATAAATAACATTTCTTCTCAACTCTTACTATTTTATATGTGCTTCCTATGTCTTTCATTCATTCATTCACTTATTCGTTCATTCCACAAACCTGTGTTGGGCACCTACTATGTGTCAGAAACTAAATTGGCCATTTTCTCTTTTTCTTCTAATTATTCATGTGTTATCTCATCACTCCTATCACATTATAAATTCCTCCAGGTCAAGGATCATCTAACATAACTCTATAAATAGCTAACACAATGCTTTACCCGTGTTTTCAACAAATGTGCTGAATGTGTTAATGAATAAATTAATCTCAAATGGAGATTCATCCCTGAAATTCGATAAGGCGAAGATAGCACCCAAATCATTTATCCTCCCTGCCATGAATTTCCCTGCTGCCATTATCTGCAAGAATACTGTTTGACAACTTCTCAGCTTAAATGTCTTTATATGGCATTTTTTAAAATGGCATTTATCTTCCTTATATTTATTCTCTTAACCTCTTCCCTGCCCTTAGCTCTGTCATTCCACTGAAAGATGCTGCAAGTTATAGTATTAATCAAATTCTTCCACTTTATGTCCATTACCACCTCACTTAGCTGGTGACCATGCTACAATTTCTTTCTAAAAAGATTCACGCAGCCCCAGTGACTTCCTTCTTTCAATCGACACTACATGTGTTTTCTTTGAACATAGATTATATGCCTTTCCAAATTTCTTCTCTTCCAACACACATTTTAAAACTGTGTAATACGGCTGGCCGCAGTGACTCATGCCTTTAATCCCAGCACTTTGGGAGGCCGAGGCAGGCAGATCACTTGAGGTCAGAAGTCCAAGACCAGCCTGGCCAACATGGCGAAACCACGTCTCTACTAAAAATACAAAAATTAGCTGGTCATGGGGGTGCACACCTGTAATGCCAGGTACTCAGGAGGCTGAGGCACGAGAATTGTTTGAACCTGGGAGGTGGAGGTTGCAGTGAGCCAAGTTTGCACCACTGCACTCCAGCTTGGGCCAACAGAGTGAGACTCTGTCTCAAAAAAAAAAAAAAAAACAGAACAAAACAAAAAAACTGTATAATACCAACACTAACACACTTTCATTTCTTTCCTAATCCCTTATCTTCTATTTGTCAACAATCTTTAGCTTAAAATGTTAGTCACATCTGGAACATTCTATGTGTTCACTTCCACCAGCATAGTGTACTGTCACTTCAGCTTTCTAGAACCCAGTTCGTAATCCATTTCCAAGAGACTTTTTTGATTAACCTAGATTTGTGTATCACTACCCTTAATTGTTCAATTACTATATATTGTTTAACTACTATAGTAATTTGAACTAAATTTGTATTCAACTTGCTCTCTGTAAGAGTACTCCATTATGGGCATTATCTAATCCAAACTGGGCAAACTCCAATAGCAATCCTGTACACTAATCTGTATTCTAAGTGTGAAGATTTGCTCTTCATGATGATGTTAATCTGTGTTTCCTAGTCTTGAGAAATGGATTTTAAGCTGGGTTCTAGAGAGCTAAAGTGATAGTAAGCTGTGCTGGTGGAAGTGAAGATGTAGAATGTTCTAGAGGTGACTAACATTTTAAGCTAAAGATTGTTGGCAAATAGAAGATGAAAGAATAGGAAATAATTCCAAGATCTTCAACTCTTCTGCATTACAATATGTAACCAAATGATCTTAATTGTCTAGTCAACCAAAGTTTACAAAAAATAAATTCTGCCATAACTGTGACTCAAATATATGCGAATGCATAAAATATGGGTAAGAAAGTGAATTTGAGGCTTGAACACAGGTAATTAAGAGGATCTTATAAGAATTGCCAAGACTTGATGGCTAAGGACTCAGGTTTAGAATATAATAAGGAAAGGTCTTCTGCTTCTGGCTATGACAGAGTTGCTAGAATCAGATGAATTCATCCACTGAGAATAACTATAAAACTTGAGAACAACTATAAAACTTGGACAAAATACAAAGCAAAACAAAACAAAATCTGAAAGCTCTGTAGAACAACCAGTGCAGCCAGGACCTCAGGGACCAAGATCCTGGAGAGAAGGAAAACATATTGAAGTGAGTACTGCTCTGAGTACAGCTATTTCGCCTTGGAATGTTTGCTGATTCAAGGCTTGGGGCATAGAGGCATAAAAAATGACGCATTCTTGAGCCTGTGGCAGTTGTACTGGGCTGAGGAAACCAAAAATGGAGTTCAGAGTTAAATTAAGCAGTTACTACATGAGGGGCCAAGATCTAGAGAAAAGTACTATGGACAGCTAAAACCAATATTCTATGTGCATTTTTCCTTCAAGGCATTTTCTGATATCCAACAGGCTAAACTCAAGACAAGACACAGAAAAAAAAACAAGTAAAAAAATACCTATTAGGAAGATTAAAAACTGGGGAGAGAATCTGTCAGTTCCATGATTCTGAGGAGACAAAAGTTGGAGTGCAAGTCTCACCAAAGAGGAGAAACTCAGCTTTTGATTCACAACCTGGAAAATCTACATCATAAGAGTAAGGACAAATTATAACTAGATTAGCCTCAACTATACCAAGGTGATCTTCTCAAACTCTTAAAAAAATTAAAATCTCTGTAGAAAACAACAATATCAGCCAGAACCCCCACTATTTTCATACACAATATTTATCATTCAACTGAAAGTTATCAAGCATGGCAGACAATAAAACTAAATTACCAAAAACCAACACAAACAAAAAAACAGAAAATAGAAACAAATCCACGTGTGATTCAGATATTGCAGTTATCAGACATGGACTTTAAAATCATTATAATCATTGTAATCAAATATGCTCAAAAGTGGATTTTAAATGGAAATTTTTAAAAAATTAAACGGAAATCTTAGAACTGAAAAATATAAGAACTAAGTTAATAATTCAATAGATGGTTTTAGTGGATTAGACCTAGCAGAAAAGTGAACTCAAGAACTGAAAAGGAAATTCAGAAACTGAATTTCCTGAAAAGGAATTCAGGAACCGAAAGAGAGGCCAATGGAAAATATCCAAATTGGAGAAGAGAAAGAAAAAAAGATGAAAAATCTATAAAACATTGTAAAAGATACATAGAACATAGTAATAGACTTGGTGTGTGTAATTGGGGTCCCAGGACAGAAGGAAAATGGGATAGATAGAATCAACATTTGAAGAGATATTGACCAAGAATTTTCTAAAACTGATGAACAATATGCTACTGAAACATGAGATTCTAAAAACCTAAACACACACACACACACACACACACACACACACACACACACACACACCCCTAGGCATATCATAGTAAAACAGCTAAAAAAAAAACAAATACAAATAGACAAACCTTCAAAACAACCAGAGAGACAGCTCTACTTCCACTTAGGATGTAGAAAACCATAAGAAAGTGTCACACCTGCCTAAGAATGAGAAAAATAAATTATTATGTATCAAATCATAACTTTTTAGCCTATCAGAGAGTTGAGATTACAAAGCAACCAGGTGAATTAAATTCCAAAGAAGAATGAGTCCCTCTGAGGAGAAACGAAACACACAAATTGTCTCATTTTTTGGTAGAGCATGGGAGAAAGAGGCGGTAGCCATAAAGTGGGTAAGCAGGAAAGAAAATGTTAACAAAGCCATAAATGTACCCATGGACTAGCGTGACACTTCAGAATCCCTGGGAGTCCCAGAGCACAGAGGATGTTTGCCCACACCCACCAACACTTTTTCATGGGCCTCCACCGGGTACTTATGAGAAAGATTGATAGAGCAGGGACCTGAGAGAGTCTTCTTTTCGATGGCAGATTTCTGCAGGGCCTGCCAAGGTTTGAGGCTAGAGCAGGAGTGCCTGGAGAAGCACACCCAAGGTCCAGACCTCTTTTGAACACAGGTTGGTGAACGGCCACAGCTATGAGCAGGTGTGCATCTAGGAACAGGTATAAAACCCACCTACACTCTGGGTCCTCCACTGATTCGAGGCAAAGAGCATCTACCAAGTGGAGAGAGGCAAGAAATCTGCCCATACACTGGATCTAACCCTGCTTTAACATGAGGCAAAAGCTGTCTGCACAGGAAGAAGGGCAAGAACCTATGCCTTAGGCCTAGGTAAAGATTGGTGACATTTAGAAAGGTTCAAGAAACTCATACACACCGAAGACACTCCAATACTAGGCAGAATTTGGAGGAAGGGGCAAGGAACCTGCCTGTGTGTTTTTATGTTTTTAGAATCTCATGTTTCAGTAGCATATTGTTTATCAGTTTTAGAAAGCCTGCACTGAATAGGAAGCAAAGATCGTCTGCTGGAGGATGCTTAGGTGTACAGGTCTTGCCTAAAATCAAGAAGAGAGCAGGAGAACTGAGAAACTCCTCCCCTTCCCCCACCAGAAGCCTTGTGTCTAGTAACAGGTAACAACAGCCATCTACTGTTGGAGAAAGAACAAAAGCATGGAAAGGATGGAGCAGGGAAAGAGGGAAAAAACAACAACCACTCTCCAGCACTCCAGGTCTTAACATTAAGCACAAAATAGGAGCAGCCTAGCCCACCACCGGAGGGATTTCAAGTCTGTTGCACACTGAAAATAACCATGGCTACAACAAAACCCAATTCACCACAAATGCTGACTAAATTGACTAATAGCCCCATGCTAATAGCTTGATGGAAGGATAGATATTCCCACTTTGAACATTTGCTTCAGTGTCTACTTTTCTTCTATACAACATACCTGGCATTTAATTTAAAAAAAACACACATTTAAAAATGTTAAAAGACCTATGTGAAAAGATAAAATAGCAGAACCAGACCCAGAGGTGACTCAGAAGTTGGAACGACTAGAGACTACTAGAGACTCAAGAAAGAAACAACAAAGAGAATAAAAGGACATATGGCTTTCAAAAGAGTAGGAGTAAGTCTGTCTTCTCAGAGAAACAGAAGCCAGAAAAAATGAAGTAGCATCTTTAAAGGGCTGAAAGTAAAACAACAGCAACAACCTGGAATTAAATTCCCAGCAAAAAGTGAAAGAATATCACAAGCAGAACTTCACTAAAAGAAATCCTAAAGGAAGTCGAGTAGGCAAAAGAAAGGTGGTCACAGATGGATCATACTGACAGAGGAAAGAATGAATATACCAGGAAGGATAAATATGTGGGATAAAGCAAATGAACATTGACTGCATTTTAAAAATAGAATACATGAAATAAAAAGTTCATTTTATTCAAAACAAACATATCTATTGTAATTGAAAGTTGAATGATTAGAGCTAAGTAACTAAAGCATAAGTTTGAGGAAAATGTATATCCAAGTGGTCATCTCATATACACTTGAAGCTTCAATGTTGAGAAGCTCAGTATTTCCTGAGGTGACCTACTCAATCTAAAACCATGTTACAGATGTCTTCATATGAGCTGTAATCTGTAAGTCTCTAATTTCTACCCTCTGGCCCTAATTCTGCCCTCTATACTCACATACAATAAATGGTTCTAGTCTCCCTCACATATGCTTGAAATAACTGTAATATCCTTCAACTGTAACAGAAAGATTTTATTCTGTGGCCAAACATCCCCATTCTAAACCATCCTTCACAAGGCATGATTTAGCTCTCATCTATATTCACAATCTCCTAAAGGTCTTGCTTTTTCTGTGTTTCTCTATTTTTCTTTTTTCTTTTCCTTTGTGTGTGTGTGTGTGTGTGTGTGTGTTTCTTTTGAGTCAGGGTCTCTCTTGTCACCCAGGCTGAAGTGCAGTGGTATGATCATAGCTTACTGCAGCCTCCAACTCCTGGCTCGGTGATCCTCCTGCCTCAACCTCTGAGTAGCTGGGACTAGGCACATGCCACCATGCCCAGCTAATTGTATAAAAAATTTTATAGAGGCAGGGTCTCACTTTGTTTTCCAGGCTGGTCTTGAACTCCTGGCCTCCAGCAATCCTCCCACTTCAGCCTCCCAAAGTGCTGGGATTAAGGGTGTAAGCCACCACCATGCCTGGCCTATAGTTCTCAAAGAATAAGTCCTAACATATGAAACATGACCCGTGTTGACCAGTGCATTCTTGCTTTCCCCATTTCATGTATGCAGCCTAAGATGACATTATCTTTTCTAAGGGAGGAAAAGCATGCCAGTTATTCCTATATAATTTCTAATTTTACCTCTGTGAAAACTCTGGCCTCAAGAGGTTAGAACTTAACTGCACTCACTGGAAGCTTGTTGTTCAGGAACATTAGGCTAGAAATGATGTACAGACAAGAATTGGCCAAAGAGCATCTGGAGGGTATTTTAACAGATAATGGACAGTATTCTGGACTAAAATTGTGACCTCTGTAATGTCCAGAAAATAGAGATTGGGAATGGGAATTATTGACAGGGCATATTAATCAATTGGAGATATATGAGCAAGAAGAGAGACAAATCAATGATGACTATGACTTTTCGAGCCTGAGTGACTAAGAGTTTGAGAGAAATATAAAAGTCAGGAGGGATGCCCTGTTACTGAAAGAAATGTGTTTCTTTAATTTAAATATATTAAATAATCATGGAAATGCCTTGCAGACCGGTATAGAAATAAGAAGGGAGTTTTGTTCAAAGGGCAGGGGTGAACTTTTAGTTTGCTGTGTGATAATTCAAGCCATGAAACAAAGGAATGAAAGGCCTGTCAATATTCTCACACCAGACCATTAGAGGCATATCTATAGTTGAATAAGTTGGGTTTGTAACTTGTTGCAAATAAGGGAGACTACACATCATGCAGAATTGTGTGGCATTTCAGTTAAGAGGGTGTTAGAAATGACATTATAGGATTGGGGCTTGTGTTAGGTTATTCAGTGGAGAGTTCAAGATAGTGGGACTTTGGCTACAGCTGTAATTTGTAAATAAGCAACAGTTATTCTTATTAGCTGGGATGAGGGGATGCTTGCTATAATTGTAGTTTACATAGTGATCTTGTTTTCATCTGTGCTTAGACAAAATTACAAAGTGTTCTTGGTTTTGTCTCACTTCACTCTGGTTACAGAGTGGCCTTGTCTGATGTTGGTGTTCAATAAAATCGTTTGGTGGGTATGTTTGCTTCAGAGAGCAGGCAGGACTCCTTCTCATCCACGACCTTATGGAGGATACACTGGTATAGGAGTAGAAATGTTCAGTTGGGATAAGGGTAGATGAAGAAATAGATGACAGGTAAAATCATCTCTCTCTCTCTTTTTCTTTTCTTTTTTTTTCTTTTTCAGTGAAGTTAGAGACAAGGTCATCAGCCAAGACTGGGGAGAAAGGGAGATGAAAAAGCCTGGAGAAAGTTTAACTCATCTAAGAGGCTGTTAAGTGAATCAACAAAAGATGCCATTTTCTATTAAGTCATCTATTTTATTAAAGAGTTAAATGCAACTGTTGCTGTATATCATGAATTTATGAAAGATTTAGGAGTGGGAGTTCTTTTTTTCTCAAAAAAAATGAGACAGGTTACCATCTTTTTATATAGGAGTGGTACAAACCTCTTATTTGAAATACCCATCCTAGGGTAAATATTCATTGATACAAATAATTGGTAACCTTTGTTTTGGCTTTTGGACTGTGTCTCTCAAAGGAAAAAAAAAATCTTGCTGTTTTCAAAAGTTAAATAGAACATCAACCAGGGACCATGGCCATCCAGAAGACTGAGTTCCATAAAAATGGACTCCCCACTCCCACTGGAATCCTCTGTTTTTGTGTATCTAAATAAATAGACGCCTTGCTCATTCCTGGTATTAGGTGTGATTGAGAGATAACTCACTTAGCGGCAGCAGCAGCAGCAGTTTCTGTGCATGCTATAGCCCATGCTCTTGTGAGCATCAAAAGGAGATGAAGCCTGATTAACCATTTTGAAATCTATCGGATGAGAAGTCCTTACAAAACAACTTTTATACGCTTTAATTAAAAACGTGTTCCGGCAGCTCAGAGCTGAATGGGCTTCAGGGGGAGCAGGGCTGAGCCCGTTGCTATGACGACACCAAATCTTTTCACGCCTGGCCCTTCCTCAGCACACTCTGTCTAGCTCTCTCCAGCTATTAATTTGCCTCTGTCCCAGCTCTCACTCCCTCAGTCCCCTGGGCTGTGAGTCTATACATGACCTAATACCTTTTGCTGCTTCTATGGTACTTCCGTTTCTCTCATCTTTTCGTCACTTATATTTCCTTGGGAATCTCTGTTTTCTGTTCCTCTTGAAAACAAGTTACCCGCTTGAGTTAAAAACACTTAAAAATGTTATTTCAAAGCATGGTAATCATTGTTTATTATCCCTAATGATAAATTCAATTGTAAGGGTCTGCATATAGTTGAGAAGAATCTTACTATGTTCTACATTTTTTTATATTTCAGGTTGAACGTTGGCTACTACACTACTCTTTCTGTTGCTGAGGGTAAGATGAAAATAGGAAGGAGTCTGTTATACTCTGGGAAAGTTAATTTGTGCTTAGTGTTAAAATCTCAGGTTATTCCACAAACAGCATCACCTGGTAACAACTGTAAGTGAACATAAGACTTTAAAATATGTGTTTACTACAAATCCTGAAAAAAAAAGCAGACCTTACTTTATTTAAGAAGGCTCTTTGGATATTTTAAGGTAGTAATCATTGTACAGGGAATTAAATAAAACTCAACACTGTCACTTGCTATATCATATGAATCATCAAGAATTGGATAGAACTTTCCCCTCTCAATACCCCGTAGCAAACTGGAAGAAAGCTGATATCTGTGCAATCTTGTATTCAATGGATGTATATAAATTATACTATTATTACACAACTTCTCAATGTCACTCTTTGACTCATCAGAGACCTTACAGTCTTTCATTTTGCTTACAATTCCCATTCTCCTTGTTCACCTATTCTATTTTATAAGATGAGATAGGTGAATGGAATGCAGTGGAGATCATTTCTCAATATTTCTCATTTCCTCTCTCTCTGCTTACCTCACAGTCTGTTCTTGCTATGGTTATACTTCTAAAGTGAATTATCTGTCAAACTAAAGGAGCATTTCCTTCCGAATTGCCTGACTCAGTGGAAATGCTGAAGTGTAAAAGACAGGTGCAGACTCAAGGGTTAAGCCTAGGCCTGGCTTTTCACTGTCCAGAGGGCGGGCTACTCCTTTGGCGCATTGGGAGCCCAGAGTCTGGTTTTGAGTCTAGGATGCCAAATCATAATGCAGTGCTCCAGATCCAGCTTCTGAATCTCTGCAATTGAAATATAAAAGTTTTACTTCTCTTTGGAAGTTTTATAATGAACTGCCTTGGCCTATTTGCTGTTGAAAACTCTGACATAATATATTCCTGATAGGACACATGTAAACCTCTGGGTCACAAGGAACAAACACTCTGAAATCTCTCCAGTAAGAACAGTATTCTCAATGAACCAACTCCCAATTGGTTTCTAGTTTTTCTTTCTTTTAATTTAAGAATTTACCATATTTTAAGAAGTTGAGGTCCTGTAATGTCTTATCATAAATTATACTTAAAAGGCAAAGAGGCTTCATGACTTAGCATTTGGGTGACATCTCACAAATGGATCAAGTCTCACATTTATAATGCTGGTATCATTCAAAGGAATTTGGAGATTTAAATTTATTATTTCCCTCTCAGTATTAAGAATAGAAAATCAAATGCTTAATACATATTAAAGGAAGTTTCCCACCTGGGCACTTTATTTGGATCAATCTTATGTAGGAACTAAATAAAGTAAGTGTGTATAGACTGGCTGAATAAATGAAGAGACAAGCATTCAGGTATCTGAAACAGGTTTGAGAGCTAATAAAAATGGATCCTCAAAGAGGCATATTTAAAATGCAAGACAATTTTACCTTAATAAATAACCAAGAAAATACTCAGTTGGCAAAATGTTTTGCACCATGAATATAATTTCTCCAAGAAACTCAGGAAGTGGAAGGGAGTCCTTCAATTCTTGACATTTAAATCTATTCAAACCATGGCTTGGGAATATTCTGAGGAGAATAATCTTTAAGATGAGTGAACTAGAAGACATAAAGAGTCTTTTCCATCACCATTTTCCGTGGCTTCATGATTCATGATTCAAGGCTGAAATGGGCATTGGGGTTGCACTTTAGAGAATACTGAATTTTCATTTCTGTTGAAATGCTTCACCTCTTCTTCCTTCCTAATTCTGTTCCATGGCCTAAGACATCTACATGAAAATAATAGTATCTTTTGTTTAGTAATTCATCCATCCTATGGGGCCCTGCTCACCTGAAGCCACATAATCCTTTATGTGTGCTCAGACACTAGATAAATTGTTTATGTGATAAAACACAGGCCTGTCCTCTATCTTCTGTGGTCAGGTAGACTATATGTCAGAACTAAAGCTTTTGTGGTGGTTGTTTTGAACATATTGTTATGCAGGGAATAGTTCTTACCCTGGGTCCTGAGTCCTCTGAAGTCCTCAAAATATCATAAAAATTAATTCTTAAATAGCTATACCTACATATAACTTATTCTGATTATACATATTATGTTAAACTCTTATTCAAATTGTTAATATGTAAAATCTAATTCATCTTTACCCTGTATAAACATCTTTCTCTTCCCAGTATTTCTAAGCATGTGACAATGAATATGCAAAGGAAGCGCAGCAGTCCACCAGGTGTGGGATATGTGTGGCACAATTCAAGACAAAGATTAAACCTCCACTTGATGTTGCAAAAGAGATTTTATAAAAGGTGACTGAAGTAAGTCACCACAATGTAAATGAACCAGCCACCAAGATTCAAACCTATTTTTAATAAGTTAATAAAAAATAGGCTAAGGGTCCAAAAGAGAATTCATTCATTTTTTGACAACCTGTAGAATCCAGAGTTTAAAACTCATCTAAAGAATAGAATTTCCCATACACTTCTTTATTAGACACTCAAAATATCTGCAAGGTAAATGTTTTACATCCTTTCTGAGGTAAATGAAAACTAAAAAGACTTCACAAAAGTCAATATATATTTTAATATAAATTACATTCAGGATGCTGCTCTATAAGACAAAGGGGAAGAAAGAAAGCCTGGAGCCAAGAACTGAAGTCTTTTAATCTTACGTACTGGAGAGGAACCCCCAGTGCTGAGGCCTAAACATTGAAGGTTGTAGTCAGAGTCAATGGGTTAAATTTGTAAAGGTTACTCTATGCTGAAGAGAATTAAATAATTAATCCCTGTATCTCCTGATGAAAATAATGCCTCTCTGAAAGTCAAATCTGAAACACTTCTCTCGGTTGACCTCAAATCAGCATATTACTCAATTTCTTGCTTCCTTGCTTTCAGGACAGTTGTATAGATAGGAAGTTCTTGTGGATGCTCCTCTAAGTCGCTATATCAATTTGTGTGAATATATATATATAGCTATCTACCTGTCTATATACCTCCTACAGCATGTGTGTGCTGGCTCTAATTCTCTGAAGAGAAAGGTGAAGAGTCCATTGCTTGGAGGTTGGGATAGTCATGACTCATTAGTGAGGAACGACCAATCCACAGTTACTACCGCAGAGCATTTCAATAAGTCTTCTGTTTGTTTAAAGTACTTTAAATTGTTATTATTATTATTATTTATCTGACTGAAATAAAACTTCAGTCCGAACTTTCCCCAGTAATGGGGGTGAAGAGGGGGAGTAAGGTTGTGTAGGAAGCATCTCAGTAATGCCTTGAACTGCAATTTAATAAGACAACAGGCTATGAAGTCTTCTTTGATCATGAGTCTGAGAAATTCAAAATATAATCTCTCTCTTTCCCTCTTCTCTCTCTCTCCCTCTCCCCCCTCTCCTCTCTCTCTCTCTCTCTCTCTCTGTCTCTCTCTCTCTCTCTCACACACACACACACA
Source organism: Homo sapiens (assembly GCF_000001405.40). Taxonomy (NCBI): domain Eukaryota; kingdom Metazoa; phylum Chordata; class Mammalia; order Primates; family Hominidae; genus Homo; species Homo sapiens. Next base: position 37,583,314 of record NC_000014.9, read on the forward strand.
CACACACACACACACACACACACGAGGTCAAGACCCGCAGTGTCTTAGTGGGTTTTCACCTCCACCTCCGTACAATCAAGAGGGCAGAGAAGGCGGGGGCTGGAGGTGGCTGAAAGGGCAGGGATGGCGGTGAAACCCGGGAGGAGGCGACATTCGTGTCAGGTGGCGGTCCCAGGCAGTGTCCACAGGCCCGGAAGCCGAGGGGACCAGGCATCAAGCCCCGCGTCCAGATCCCTGCACCCGGGGGCGGGACCTGGTGTCCCGCGGTCCCCGCCCAGGTTCCTGGGGCGCTTTTCCGCAATGGCTGGCGTGGAAGCGAGAGGGGGCCCAGTTTTTCCTTGCCAGGTTGCGGGTACAGCCAGCTCCGCGCCGGGGTTGGGCGGCGCGGCCGGGATGCTGAGAGCCCTGCGTGCTCAGCCAGGGGCGCAGGGCGGCCCTTCTGCCCAGCGCGCCCCGGGCACCAGGGATGGCTTCCCAGCTGGAGGCCGGGAGGGAGGAGAGTAAATACCCATTCTGCGGGGGCAGCCCTCGGGGGATGGTTGCGAAGGGAGAAACGAAAAATAAATCAGACAAGAGAGCCGTCCCGCCCCTCCTCGCCCGGTCCTGGCGGGCGGCGCCACTGGTCCTGCAGCCTCGGGCGTGCCCGCGCCCCCCCGAGCCCAGGGGGCGTCGCAGCGGGCCGGGCGGGCCAGGACTGCGCCTGTGTGCGGGTCCCCAGGAGCACTGCTCGCCTGCCAGCCCCGCCCGGCCGGGCCCCTCCGGCGGGATAGAGCCCTGCTTTGCTCTTTTCGTTGGCCAAGCACAATTGTGTTATTGGAGATAATGAATTCAATCCCCATCAAAGGGCATTAGGCTCGCCCGGGGCCTGGAGTTGCTGATGCCTTTTTTTTTTTTTTTTTCAAACCAGGAATGAAAGGCTGAGGGGAAAAAAAAATTCTCTGGGGGAGCCTTTCCCCTGATCGCTGCTTTTGAAGTGAAGGGGCCCGGGCATTGTTGTTCACCTCGCGGCCCATACGGCTGAAGAAAGCCTGGGCTTTTGATGGGCTGAGAACCGCCTCGGCAGTGAGCACTCCGTCGGGCCGCGCGGCCTGCGGGCAGCATATGTCTCGGGGCACCCGGGCACCGTCTGGCGGGTGGGGCCCAGGGCCCGGTGGGGAGGGGGTTCCGCCCGGGAGGCCGGGGCTGGAATGAGGCCGGCACCCGGCGGCGGGGACCTTTGGGCTTCAGGCCTCCGGCCAGGGATCTGCCGTTCCTCCCGCCCACCTGGCGTAGCGCAGGAGATCCACCTGTGTGGCTGATGAGTCCGACTGGGAGGCCGCACAATTCTTTGGGGGTGAGGGTGGGAAAAGCTGGCTTCTCCTTGAGGGCAAGGAGCGGGCTGGTCTTTATTTTTAAGCACTGGAACCCAGCATCTAAGGTAACTGGCTCAGCTAGAGATTAATGAGTCTGAGTCCGTGAAGGTGTGCACTCGTCAAGAGGCCTTCGTGCGACACGTAGTTAGGACTTTTCACCCGTGACTCCGCACATAGCGCAGCGCGGCGGAGCTCTCGGCCCGGGGTGGGGTAGTGGGGGCGGACACTTCGCTGCAGGAGCGCGGCCCGCTCCGCCAGAGGGGCAGTTTCTCCGGCGTCCGCGGCGTCTGGCTGCGCAGTTTGTGCCCAGGACCGAGCATTAGCATCAGGTCACCTTTTCTAAAACTTGTTTCAGGCATTTAAGTTTACTTTCAGTGCCCCCAATGTGAACTTTCCCCACCTCGATTCGCTCCCCCACTCCTGGTCCGCCCCAGGGCTCTTTGGCCCAAGGGTCAGCAACCAGAGCTGTTCGGTTCCCTTCCCTGCCCTCCCCATCTCCAACCCCCTCCTCCCCTCCGCTAAGGATCCGGGTTATCCGCCCCATTAATATATTAGCCAGGCATGACACAAAGGAAGCGCGTGTCAGCAGAAGGCGGTGTGACTCCTGGGAGAGGCGAGGAAACCTGGACGAGGCCCTGCGCTACAATACGGCTCATTGCGGCTTGAGCTCATGAATCGGCCTCCACCTGCGAAAAGCGGCGGAGGACGCAGCGGTAGTTGGCGCCCAGGGTTGAGCCGCTGTTGGGTTACGGGTGTATAGCTGGACTGCGGTAGTGAAGCACAAAGCCCCCAAGTGGGACCCAGAGCTAGGGGAACGTTCCAATAATATCCTAGTCACCTGAATCATGCAAAGAAATTCCGCTTTCCAGGAGCACGGGACTAGGAGGGCGCCTACTTCCTCCCTGGTGCATAATGGGCCCTTAAAATTAAATATACAAAGGATACAAACCGCCGCAGAGCTCCTTAAAGTCTTTTCATTAAATTGTTTGTGTTTTAAAACAATCTTTGGCGTAAGAGAGAGAAACCAGAAAACTGACCCGGGATATGAGCAGGCAAGCAAAAGAATAACAAATGTACTCCTTTTTAAAAGTGTGTGTGTGTTGGGGGGGGGGGCGGGGGGATTGGCTAAGGAGGTTTCCAATTTAATTCATTGTTCCCAATTTGCAGGCAATAGCAATGCTTTGGGGGGAATTTCCAGGTTGTTTTTTTCCTTGGTTTCAGAAATTAAATAAAGAGAAAAGAAAAAGCCCCTGATGTGTAATCTTGAAGGGGAGTTGAGAGACGTAAAAAGTTAAACCAAGGCAACCTCACACTTAAATTCTGAGTCAGGCCTGCCGTTGGTGTCACTGGCCTGGTTCTTGATTTCGCCAGTGACTTGACCCGCATTCCACCTGGATTCTGATGTATTCGAGCACGATTCTACTTAAGCCCTTTCCTTCCTGGATTTTGAGGGAGAATATCTTGCCTCTGTCCTTTAGGTTGACTGGAACATAGAGAACCCCAAAAGATCACGGAGTGGCACCCAGAAAAAGGAGGGCTCCTTATTTCCCGGGACTGCAAGGGGGAGGAGTGCTCACTCTCACCATGTGCTTTGCTCTTACACTGTAGTCACAGCTAACATAATTGGAGAAATAAGGAAGTTAAATAGAAAAAGAAAGGTGGCAAGTGAGGATTTCCCCCTTGTCAGGTGTTTTAAAATGTTTATAACAGGAAAATTCATGCATTTTACAAGTTAAAATTGAATGGCATGGGTATTTTCCAGCCCCAGATTGCTTGGTAAAATGATGGTGGAGAACAAAAAGGTGAGGGCTGCAGTCCTAGCTGGCCAAAGTTCAAAGAACCATGCTGGGCTGGGGCTAAAAGAAAAACCAATGGAATTATTATGCCCCCAAACTTAGCTATTTGGAAGAAAAAACACAAGATTTAAGGTAATCTGTTGTTAAATGTTATTTGGATACACTAACATCGTGCATGAAAATAAAACTTGTGTAAGTGGCTACTTTAAGAAACGCTTTACCTTTCCAAATCAATTCTATTTATAAACAGGAAGATTGTGAAATATTCATGTTTTTTTCATTTCATTTTCTTACATTCTTACTCTCATGAGAATCTATTGATTCTAACGATTCTTTCAGTTTGAGAAAATTTTGTTTTTAAATTTCAGCATAATTTGATTACCTATTTAGTTCTAGATATCTTTAAAACAATCATCTTTTTGCATATAACTATCTTGGAGTAATTAGGCATGCTCTTAACTCCATTTAGTTGCAAAACACACTTTATTACAATTCAAATAAACAATTGGTATTTAATTTTTGAAGGCAAAATATTTCCTACAAAGGTATAAAATGTCTACTAACTTATTTAAGCTATTTTATTTTTCAACGAATTTTTTCCTGTTGACATTGAGGGATCACATTAAAATACATTATAGCTAAATGTTCTACAATATTACTGCTAAATCAACAGAAAACCAATTGATCTTGAGGAAAGGTTAATTAATTTGGGTGACAGGTCTTCTACTTTGGCCAGCATTGGAAGGAATTTGTATTGATCTCGGCAGTTTTTTGCAAAGAAACTTAAGCATGTTTGTGGAATTGAGACCAATTTTTTAAAATGCCAAAACAAGGGCTTACATTTTTATCACTTCAGGACTTCTTTTCTGTTATGGCTCGTTCAAATCTGTTAGACTTCTAAGAAATATAATGTTTTTATGCTTTCAGTGAAATCAATTAGGTATCTAGCCTTCAGAAAATGAAAACAGAGGTTGGGAGCTTTACTAGGATCTTGTTTGTTTTAATCCCTCCTTCCCTAATAATTCTCATCAGTTTATCCTGTATGAGGGGGATCACAAAGGGACAATGGAAATTAAATTTTGCCTTTGATGTAAACACTGTATTAGCCATCATGTAGAAAATGGACGGAACTGCCTTCTACTTCCGAACACCTGTGAGTTGTTTAGTTTTTGCTGAATAGAACTGGTGAGCTTTTCTTCTTCCCTATCTTTGGTTCTGTTTTTGTCACCTTAAAAATGTTTCATACCTGCCCTTCCTAAATGCAAGGTGAGAGTAACAATTGCAGCTCCCCTCCCCTGTCCTATGCTCACTCCCAAAACATTTGTTTTTTTCTTTTTTGTAAAAATGTTTGCTCGGTAGCGTTGGTGGGTCCGAGCGCCACCGGAGCTGTACACTTGGGTCAGGAGGAAGGCTTTCCCTCCTCGCCCCTCTTCGCCCCCTCCCTCCCCTCCCCGGGGACCCCTCCCCCATCTCGGGCGAAATTCCTAAGACCAGCGAGCAGGAGCACCGCGGCGGGACGGTCAGCAGCCCCTTTCCGGCCCTGGTCTTCGGGAGCTGGCGAGGTGAAGAAATGTGGAAACACCCAGACGAAAAGGGGATGGGGTGGGGGTCGCAGGAAGGCGGCGCCCTCAGGCAGGGTCTCCGCACTCCCTCGGAACCACAGATGTTTTCTTCCTGACCCAGGGGCGCGGCGCCCCAGCCCGGGCGCCCGGGTGTTTGTGTGTCCGGGTTTCCGAGGAAGGGATTACGCAGCGGGAGCAGCCGCGGCAACGCGGGCCGCCGGGGCCGCAGGAGCCGTAACGAGGCGGCTGGCCTTCTTTGTTGACTTTTAGGTCCCGGGCTCAACAGGAGATTTATTCGCTAGGAAGGGAAAATGCCCAAACAATGAAGAACTATCTGCACTTGTCACCTCGAGACGCTTGCTGTCCTGCTCTGTCCGCCTTCCCTGGCAACCAGCTGTCCTGGCCGCCAACCCGCGCGCGTCCTAACGCGCGGGTGGCAGGTCGCATCACCCAGAGGTGGCGGAGTGTGCGGTCTGAGAACTGCGAGAAGCCCACAAAGCAGGGGCTGGGCCTGCAGGCTCCCCGCGGTCCAGCTCCCGAGGCAGGTCTCCAAAGTGCCCCCGTCCCCCGCATAACTAGAAAATGTCTCCGGCAAGTAACAGAGCGAGAGCTAAGGCCAACTTAAGCTTGGTGGGGTGAAGGCAAGGCGCTGATGTTTCTAATACGTTGAAAAGGAGAAAGGGAACATCACAGAGAGGACAGCACAGAAGTTAAACATCTTAGATTCAGTGGGGGCGGGATTCCGAGGCCCAAGCCCACGCCTTTATATTACATTTGGAAGCTGAATTTGTTTACCTTATGTAAATAAGAGTAACTGTTGGGATTGGAAGCTTTTTCCTCTCTTTGGGACTTTGATGTCCTTCCGAGGTCTCCAAATTAGGGTTTGAAATTATTCAAACCAGTAATTTCCCTCCCCTCCTCCTTTCATTAACTGAAGTGAGTGGGGGTTTGGGATTTCTGGATTTTTTCAAGTGCTACATGGCACCCTTTCTCTCATCTGGGGAGGCAATTACGCGATAATTAAGCGACTCACACGGCTCTTTTTATCTTGTCCGCGGTGTGGAGTGGGGCGATCAAAGTAAAGGCTGTCCAAGTTCAAGCCCTGGTGAGGATGGAGTTCATACACAAGGGCTCAGGCAGGCAGGCCTCTGCTTGAGCTGGTGTTGTTATTGTTGATGTCAATCCGAACAAGACTTACAAAGAAATAGGTGGACTGGAAAGTGAGCCTGCTATCAAAGGAGATTAATGATTTTGTGATCCCAAGCAACTATGGAGTGTGAAGTTGCATTTAAAAGCTCCTTAGAAGGAAACAAATTATCAACTTTAAGTTCTTAGGAACGACATTTTTGAATCAAAATTTAAAACAATCTTCACAAAATGCAAAATAGCGGCTACCCTAAAATGTCCTGTCGGTACAACGCTTCCCCTGCGAGAGTGAATTAACTCCCCTCCTCCCACCTCCTCCAGAGCTACCCTGATGGCTAAGTTTCGTTTCTCTTTTAATGAGAAGAGAGTTCATGAGTCTCCGTTGGACACAACTTAATTCTATCAGCCACAGCTGATATTTTATTTTCATTGGAAGAATTCTCAGATAAAGAAAAGTGATACATTGGGGAAGGAGGAAAGGTAGTTAAATTAATATTTGATTTTGTAGTGAAAAGGCTCAAAGGAAACACAGAAGGCTTAAGCCGGTGTCAAAAAAAAAAAAAAAAATGAAGTAAACATCACTGGGAATAAAGAATCTTAAAAATCTCAACTCTTGGAATATTAAATCAACTTATACACTTTACTTGAATTTCTTTCACTCCTTTTTACTAGCTACACATTCATTATAACAACAGACAAAACAATTTTATTTTCATTTTTGTCATTTATATTCAGTTCTAGAATTTGAAAAATATCGTATTCAGAAATATTCACTTCGGATTTAGTTAAGTGAAAAAAAATAACAGAAATGCTCTTTTGTTAACATTTGATTTATTTAAAGTCCTTAACTGCAAATGATCAAGAACATTTTCCACGGCTTAAAATCTGGTATTATTTTTGTTATTTAAATCAAAATATTTTTAATTACAATCACATTGATAAAAATTAACAATTTAATTTGTAATTTTAACCATCATTTAAAGCAATTTCAGCTGTAAAGAAAAAGAATAAACCATGCAATAAATTAACATTGAGAAAGCAAAGAGAAATAATAATGAAACCCGTCTGGCTATACTAACACCATGTCCAACTGTGGAAAGTGCATAACACTGGATGAAACAAGCACACGATGGCAATGATTAAAATGGCCACTATCAATAGGATTTTTGAATCTTGGACCACGTTTTGAAATCCAGCTCCCTATAACTTATCTCTCCTCCAACATTGTAATATTCCCTTTTACTGAAAAAAAAATTCTTTAAATGGTATACACTCATAGAAACTAATTTTATGTGTTATGTGACCTCAGAATGACATGACCATGGCACTCTGCAAAGCAAGAAGCAGAGTTCTTGAGGGCAATTCCTGAGGAATTGATTCCCAGGGCCATCTGTGGGTAGAGAGGACAAAGGGGTTGGGGTCCTTGTAACTTTCGGTCAAGCAACTCTTGAGAATGTATCATGTATATCACCTATCTATTACCTCTATATGTTATGTAAATATACGGAGGATGTCTACACATCTGAGCATGTGCATAATTAAGTCCATACACAATATACATGTATTTCATTTAAAGACATCTGCTATCTGCATGTATCAGAAATGTAAACTGAGAAGCAAATGGCTCTGATGTTTATAATCTGTTTATGTCTTGCTATATAACAGCAGTATTGTCTTTCAATACTTTTAAGAGCCTCTAGTGTATACTTGTTTCTTCACCATTTCAATTCTTATGGTTAAGAGTATTGCCACAGACCTGTAAACTCGTAGGGGGTCAGGTAAGGAGGGGGAAAAAGCACAAACAAATATTTTACAAACTTGACCATCTTCCTTTTTTGTTTTTTTAAATAACCCTCCACAAACTAGAATGTCTGGAGGGGAAAGAGGGAAGAAAGAGAGGGGGGCAAGGAAGGAGGAGAATTTCATATATACACTTGTGGATCATTAAACTTCGCAGGAAAAAAATTGGTTTGGGGTTGTCTTTGTAGTAATATACACAATGAATTTTGAATACAATAATAAAGTAACAGTCTTTTGCACTGGGGGAAAGGTTGTGCATGAAAAATGAAATAAAAATAGTTGTTGGGATTTTATTATGCTGTTGACGGTTTGGTTTGTGTGGTTTTGTTTGCTGTTGATTTTTTCTCTCTTGCTACCAGCATGGCTATGCCAGACAAACCCCCCAGTCCCGGGAGCTAGGAAGTGTTTAGGACGGGTCTGGAATACACACCTTGGTAGTACGCCGGCTCCAGGGCTGAGGGCTCGATGGGGCTCCTGGTGGTCACCGAGGCGCTGCCTAGAGGCAGGCTGGCGGGCAACGTAGAGCCGTAAGGCGAGTATTGCAGTGCCTGTTCGTATGCCTTGAAGTCCAGCTTATGCTGCTGCTCCGAGGAGGACATGAGGTTGTTGATGGAGAACGGGTGGTTGAAGGAGTAGTGGGGGTCCCCTTTCAGGTGCAGCTGGGACTCGTGGGGTGCCAAGCCGTGTGCCGGGTGAGAGGCGGGCACAGAGGCCAGCGCCCCGGGCCCGGAGCTTATGGGGGGCGCAGTTGAGGAGGCTGGAGTCTTCAACTCCGAGGCGCCCCCTGTCGCCGTCGCCCCACTGTGGTCCAGAGTCTGGGGGCTGGCGGCGGGCCCGGGGGCCGGCGCGCCCTCTAGCTGGCCGGTCTTCCCGTGCACACCCCGATGGAGGGGCGAGTCGGCGCTGGGGTTAGAGGCGCCAGAGGGGTCCTTGCGGCTCTCAGGGCCGCCCTTGGCGCCGCTGCCCCCGCTTCCGCTCCCGCCCCCGCCGCCGGCCCCCGGCTGCTTCTCGCACTTGAAGCGCTTCTGGCGGCGCAAGTAGCAGCCGTTCTCGAACATGTTGCCGGAGTCCGGGTGCAGCGTCCAGTAGGAGCCCTTGCCCGGCTTGTCCGGGGAGCGTGCCACCTTGACGAAGCAGTCATTGAAGGACAGCGAGTGGCGGATGGAGTTCTGCCAGCGCTGCTGGTTCTGCCGGTAATAGGGGAAGAGGTCCATGATCCACTGGTAGATCTCGCTCAGCGTGAGCATCTTGCTGGGCGCCTGCTGGATGGCCATGGTGATGAGCGAGATGTACGAGTAGGGCGGCTTGGCGTGCGGGTAGCTGCGCTTGAACGTCTTGGCGTCGCCGCCGCCGCCCGCGCGGCTGCGGCCCAGGTTGGACGGCGCGTACGCCATGGGGCTCATGCACGGGTTCATGGCGGCCGCGTAGGGGCCCAGGCCATTCATGGAGGCCGCCTGCTGCGCACCCATGGCGCCCATGCCGCTCGGGCTCAGCGCCGTACCCATGGCCGTCACGCCGGCCGCAGTCATGCTGTTCATGGCGCCCGCCGAGCCCCCCGGCATGCCGGCTACTGCGCCGGGACTCAGGCCGGCCCCTAGGCCCGGGTTGGCATAGGACATGTTGAAGGACGCCGGGGTCATGTTGCCGCTCGTAGTCATGGTGTTCATGGTCATGTAGGTGTTCATGGAGTTCATGGAGCCCAGGCCTGAGTTCATGTTGCTGACCGGGACGGAGGAGTAGGCCTGGAGTGGAGACAGCGAGTGAAGAAGCCCCGGAGGGCGGGGTTAGTGGTGGGCACTGGAGGGCGGCCGTCCGGGACCTAACCCGGGGGCAAGTGCAGAGCACTTTGCAGAACACGGGACGCCCCCACCCGGGGCAAATGGCTAAGCGCCCTCCCCAGACCGAGCAAAGATGTCTTGCACGGCAGGGGGAAAATCCTAGCGCGGCAGGCATGAAAGATAAACGCTCACAGAAAATATGACCCCAGGAAGATGTGTAATCGCCTTACACGCCAGGCTCAGGGGCTGGCTTCCAGGGCCCCCTCATCGCCTCCTCCATCCACGCCAGGCGGTATCCCAAGTCTCCACCCCAACCAGCCTCGGCAAAGCGCCCTTTGGGGGGAAATCGTTGATAGAGCAAATCACCTATGGACATGGGACCCCCTGAATCATCTGTTTCCCAACAAGTGGCTTTATTGTCCTAGGGGTTTTTGCCTATGGTGACTTTTTGTTGTTTATTGTATTTAGAAGTAGTGTTTTCTACCTGCTTGTAGCAACTGTAATGTTAAAAGGGAAGCAAACTCAGAGTTAAATAAGTTTTGGAAAAATAAAACTAAAAGTAGATCCATAACAGAAAGGGCTGGGAGGGGGTGCTATAATAATCTCAAAGTGCTATATGCATTTTATTTTAACATGACTTTACATGTACACCTTTGCAAGCTATTTAGAAACTCGCATTAATTTTGTCACCACTTTACAGTCCCCTGTTTGAAAAATTTGGTGACACAGTTTGTCAAAATAAATCTTTTTTTTTTTTCACATGCTGATGTTGCTGCCGATGATTTCAACGCCTGGCTTTGAGATTCCGTGAGTAGTCTTGAATAATTTAAAATTCGAAAATCAAATTCTACTTATTTTCTCTTAATGCTATTGTATTTCCTAATTCTCAGCTTTAACATGTAAGAAAGTACTTTCGCTAGGGGTCTTAATTGAATGGTGGGGTCGAGATGACTGCGTCAGAATTAAATCTCTGGAAGACCTCTGAGCTCCTTTTAAAATCATCAACAAGCGAAAATCCTTATCAATAGCGATGTGGGAATGCATTAGGTACAGTATTTTAAACATACAAAACCTAGGCATATTAAAAAGCACTCCTCTGGTAATTTAATAAGGAATAATGATGTCCTTAAGTTTATTTTAATCAGCAAGTATGACTCAATTTGAAAATATGAGAACAAATAGATTTAAATAGGAACACCCAGTAAACTATGGTATGCAAATAAACTCAGAGGTAAACTTGTGAATACATAAATCTAAATAAGTCAGTTACCATCAAAATATTACGTGATCCTATATTTTTCTGTCCACGTCTTAAAAGTATTTTTTACCTTGGGGCTTTATTTTCTTTCCCTCTTCCCAAGATTATCCAAGGCAGTTCCAATACGCGTTTTCAATAATGGTAATTAAACTTTTGGAGGGTAATCGCCAGCTGTTTCCAGAAAAATACTTTTAATAGGTGGTAGTCCTCCCTGTAACTGGTTTTCCCTGTAATCCTTTTGTGCACATTGTAAAAATAACCCCCATGAACGTGCCACCAAGGGGACAATGAAGAGAAACAGGTTCTCGGCCCAGAGTTGTGAAGAAGATTTTGGTCGCACTAGCGCCACCCAGCGGTTTTAGAGAAGGAGCACACTTCTCCCCAAATAGGGCTTTTGAAGAACAAGTTTTACAAAATTTAGAAATCGTTTCATTATTGAGACACCCAACTTGGCGGCAGAGCGCTTTAATCAGAAGACGTCTGCGAATTAAACGGTGGGACGAAGAGGTCGCCTTGTGGGTATGCTCCGGCTTTCTCAGAGTTGCTTCCAACTCGCACCGGCGCTCGCCCGCCCGCTGCACCCCGGGCCCGGCTCCTGCTCCCGCTCGCTGCTGGGAAGAGGCAAGCGCTTCCTAGAGCCGCTGTTTTCAAAGCCCGGAGTTTCCTAAAACTCCCTCTCCGGCTGCGAGAGTCGGGACAGAGCAGGGCAGCAGGTCCCGCTTCCAGGCCCGGCCAAGGCCCGGCCGGGGCCACACCGGCGGGCGGGCAGCGGTGGCACCGAGAAGGCGCCCCCGGCCCGCCTGCCTGCCTTGCCTGGCGCCCACCGCTCCCCGGCCTCCCCCGGCACGGGCTCCAGCGGCGCCCCACCGGCCGCCCGCCTCGCCTTGCCTCTCACCTCCTGCGTGTCTGCGTAGTAGCTGTTCCAGTCGCTGGTTTCATGCCCTTCCATCTTCACAGTTCCTAACATCCTGGAGCCACCCTGCCCAATACAACCATCCAGCCCTGTGCGAAGCGACGGGCGGCCGCGCGGCGCGGGGCGGGGGAGGGGAGCTGAGCAGCTGCAGTCACCCGAGCGCCCGCGCGGGCCCAACGCCACCCGGGCGAAGAGGAAGCCCAGAGCTGCGGGGCGCGGCGTGCGCGGCGGCGGCGGCGGCGCGGCGGGCGGGGGCAGCGCCGGGGGCAGGCGGCTGCCGCGGAGCGCGGCGCCGGGGAGCGCCTCCGCGGGAAGTGAGCGGGCTGCCTCTGCGAGGCAAGTGCAGTTGAGCTGATGTGGATCTTACGTCGCTTGAGTGCCCACCTCCTCGTCCTCTCCCCATTTGTCCGCCGCACAAAGACGCTCGCACCTACAAAGCCCGAGGTGCACCTGCAAGGCGGCCGCCCGCCAGTCCGGCCGCCGCGCCTCCCGCCCCGCCGCTTCACCGCTGCGCGCGACCCCTCCCCCGCGACCCCTCCCCCAAGCGGGGCCCTCACTTTGTTTGCAAAGCAGTGTAATTGGTTTAGGCCCGGAGGCTAGGGAAAGAGGGAAATGGGGAGGGAGGGGGTGTAACCCCCTTTGGAAAAAGAAAAAATAGGCGGGGCCAGGCGGGCGGGCGGGCTAGGGCTCTGGATCGGAACCTCGCAGCCGGAGAAGGCCGGGGGCGGTGGCGTCGGAGACTGGGCTTAGAGACCTTGTGGGATAACTGACCCCGGGGTCCCTCCCCAGAGGTACACGCCACCTTCCGAGCGCGGGCTGCGGCCCAGTCTCGCGCCCCTCCTGCTCTTTGCTTCCTCCCTCCTGATTCCTGACCCAAAGTTCAACCCCGGGAGACTGGAGAATACAGACTTTTTTTTTTCTTTCCTCCTGAGAGCTTCAGACTAGAAAAGGGAAAAAGCCCCACTTTTGCTTCGTCACTAGAAACCGGGTCATCTGAGTCAGCCGAGCCAAGTGACGTTAGGCCGACCCGGGCCCCGGGCTAGCAGAGCGGAGGCGCTGCCACGAAACTCGTACCTGCGGCTAAGAGCAGGTGAGTCACAGCACCGGTTTATATCTTTATGACATAACTTTTTTTTTTTGTTCCGCCTCGGTCCGCTCCTCTCCCCTTGTCATCTGTAGCGACCACAAAGAGGAAGAAACTGAGAGCAGATGTCTGTGTGATAGGGCAGGCGGACCCAAGTCGGGCCGTCCTCCCCCTGCCGGGCTCCTCCTCCCGCCCCCCTTCAGCCGCTTCAGGGAGTGAGCTGGAGACGACCGTCTGGTTTCTGATAGGAAAAGGTCAGGGGGAGGGGACATCTCCCATAACACGCGCGTTAGCTGGGAGAGCAAGGGCCTGGGCGCGGGAACGCATCTGCACTGCGAAAGAGATGCCAGGCAGAAGCCCGAGACTGCCCGCAGCGGCGCTTGGTCCTGTCTGTGACCCGGAGGGTCCGGGCTGAGATCTCAGGGGCTCGCTTGGTTCCTAATCGGTCCTGGACGTCGGTGGGAGAGTCTTCCCAACGCAAAGTCTCTTTACTCTCATGAGGCCCTGGGTGGTGGTTGCCCACTTGTCCTGGGAGAGAGAACAACTGAAGTGACCGGGTGATAGGCAATTAGTTGGTGATAGATTGGGAGATGGTGCGTGTGTTTTGAGTGTGTGACCGTTTGTATATTTCTGAGCATGTGTGACTGTGTGTGTTTCTGAGTGTCTGTGACCATGTGTTTGTTGTACTGCCTGTAGAACCACTAGGTTTCCTTAAGTAACAATAAAATAAAATCTAAAGTAATTAAGAATCCGCAAAATCTTCTTGTTTTGCAAAGTTTTTAAAATGTTATTAATCTCATTTTAAGAAATGTGTTTTAACTTGTCTTCCAAACAGATACCTTTTTCCCTGTGCTTTGTTCTTTTAAATCTCTTTTACTTGAAATCTGGCAAGAGAATCACTTTAAATCCCTGAACCAAACAAATCTCTTAAGTCAGCAGGGGAGCAGAGAGGGTGAAGATGTGCAGTTAAGGAAATAAAAAAAGATAAAAGCATTGGATTACATTTTTTTTTTTTTTTTTTACAAAAAGGGTGGGGGGGTAGAAACGTCACATCATAAGGAAAGGAATGAGTGAAATTAAATCCACCTGGAACTCAGTAGGGCAGGAACCCTCCCTAATGCAGCCTGCTCCTGTGACTGCAAGTTGTCCCATCAGTTTGTGTAAATGTATCTGCGAATTGTGTGTCAGAAACTAATTCTTTTGTGCAAAGTTCCCATTAGTAGCTGACTTTAGTTCCATTTGTAAAGTATACGGATGCTTAGCTTCCTGGGCCTGATCCGGGGGACTTTCAGTGCTAATGAGCTTCCTTGTTCCTTCTGGAGGTGATTCTCCAATACCCTCTTGGCTCTTCAATAACACCGAGCAAGACTAGGTTATTTTCTACCGAGAGTAACAATTTATGGATAGTAATAGCTTTTATAGTGCACAAAAAAGTTGGCGCTTTAAGTAGGGGAAAAACACTGTCACCTTAAAGGGGGGGTCAATTACAATATCAAATGTTCTTTTAGCCCACTTCCCAAACCTACTAAGTCTCATATTTTCAAAAAAAAAAAATTGACTTAAGAAAAAAAAATCCACTTTTCATAGCGTGATGGCCGAAGCGGAATTTCTCCTAGGCTTCTTCAAAGCCCAAGACCGGTGATGCAGAATGGACTCTGCCAGCTTCGGAGACTTGATCCAGGTCAGGGATCCCAGGTTCGCAGCCGGGGGATTTCCACGAAAACAGCGCCTCCTGTCGTGGAGAGGGAAAGCTGAATTTTCCCGCAGGCGCCTCCGGGGAGCACCGCCAGGCGATACTGGATTGAACTCCGCACGCATCCCAGTCAGGGATTTAGGTTCTTAGAGCCGAGGCCAAGATGGAAGGAGAGATGGCCGTTCGTCCAGCTCCCAGCCTCTCTCCATCTCAGTGGCCGCATTGCAAGATACCTAACAAATTTAGGAGGTGAGGTTCTAGTGTACCCAGATGCCAGCCAGTCACTTTCCCTGAGGTTTAAAAGCGAATCAGCAGGGTCGTGTTGGGTCTTTGACTTGGAAATGCATACATACATACATAAAGTAATGCTGCTGTCTGGGAGTTGCTGGCCAGTCGGTAGCCAGGTCCAGCGGCTGCAGCCTGCTCTTTTCCAACCTCTTTTCCCAAATAGGCACCTACACCATTGGAAACTGTGCTTTGCAAGGATTGTGCTGCTCGTTGGAGGAAACCAGGCCTGTCTTCAGCTGTGGGGAGGATGGGTGGACTCGGGGCAGGGTACCCGCGAGGGCAGGCACGTGGCGGCTCCTGCGGTGTCCCGGGTTAAACTTGCCTGTGTTTAAGACGGGTCTGCGACAGCTTGGGGCGGTCCAGGTCGCGGGGAGGGCGGGCTCCTCAAGTGGGGGATCCGCGGCAGTGAGGACTGTAGGGTGCGCGGGTACTCCGGGTAGCCGCCAGCGGAGGAAGCGGCTCCGCCCTTCCCGGAAGCTGCCCTTGCTACACCCGTGGGGCCTGCTCCCGGCGCAGTCCCGCAGTACCTGAGCGGCACTCGGTCCTTTGACCACGCTTGGCTGCCTCAGCTTACACTTCCCAGCAGGATCTGGCTGGGAGCCCCTTCCTCAGATATTCACCAGGCAGGTAGAAGCAGAGGGAGACGACGGCGAAAGGTGGAAGGAGAGGCCGCGGCCTCGGGCCTCGGGCCCCGGGCCCAGACGGCGGCCTCTCGCGGCGACAGGGTCCTTCCTATTTAGCAGGACCGCAGGGTTGGCAGACAGCAGGGCCTGGGCCGGCGGGGCTCTGCGGTGCCCATTCGAGTCTCTCCAGGGCTTCCCTCTGTGGCTGTCCCTCGCCTGCCCCCTTTCCTTGCCTACCCTTCCCTGGACGGGGTTGTTGTCAGGTGACGGCTTCAGCAACCCAGCCATGCTTGGTGTGGAGTGGTTCGAGTTCCTCCGCGGGCCCCCACCCCCCACCCAGATAAGAAGCTTAAGTCCTCCTTCTGCAGGGGAGAATCGGATGCAATGAAACTAAGACCTGTGGTCGTTAACGCGGTTCAAAGCCGACCCCAACTGGGACACGGCTCAGCTTAGAAGTGAGGAAGGCCTGGGACGCTGGAAACAAGGGGTCACACGTGCGTGTGCCTGGCCTTCGCAGGTGGATGTGTGCGCCGAGCTGGGGAAGGGGCCAGGGAGCCGCGAGACTGCGGTCCCCCGCGAGAGAGAAGTATGGGCCTGGCCAGGGTTCGAACTCCGTTCCTTCGCTGCCTTCCTTTTATTTTTCTTCCTCATCTTCCTTCCTCTCTCCCTTGGTTCCATCATTAAATCTTTAAGGGATTAATTCACAACTCTGTAGTAGGTAGGGGCCCTGGGACCACTTGACGGGCCTTTGCAGGCAGTTCTGTACAGAGTCCTAACCCGTAACGGGCCTCAACCCCGGCTGTGTGTGCGTGTGCTTGTGTCTGTGTGTCTTTGTGTGTAAAAGCAACGCATAAACATACCCAGGGCTTTCACTTATTTTATTGAAGCAAACAAACAAAAACAGCCACTGGGTTTGTCTTTTCCCCTACTCCTGCCTGAGCGCCGCCGGGTTTCTGAGCTGCTCCGGGCGCGGACCTAGCTCACCCGCAGCCGGATGTCGGAGCCGGAGCTGCTCCCCACCCGGCCTCGCCCGCGGGCGACAAAACCGTCCCTCTGGCCACGGGAGAGCATCGCCTTGCCAAAATCAACTCGCATTTTCATGTATTCAAATGAGAAAGACTGAGAAGGGCGATTTCCCCTGCTGGGCAGTCGACAGCGTTGGAAGGAAGAAGTGCCCCCTAGGGCCTCGCGGAAACGGGAACAAACCTCCCTCGAGGCCCCCGGAACCGATATGGCGACCCCGCCCAGACCTGGGTCCCCGCGGCCGCGCGCGTCTCCCGCCGTTGTGGCCCCCGAGTTACTGACTTTTGTTCACACCGGTCAGCGCCTGTTGGAGGACGTGCTCAGCCCCAGCCGGTCCCTCCTCATCCAGCCGATCCCCCTCCTGGGGAGCGCGGTCTCTGCTCTGTGCTGCTGAAAGGATCCTCGGGCTTTCCCGCTCTACTTTAAAACCCCTAGGGCTAGGGGCCTAGGGGAGGGACTGGCAATGCACGCTTCACACAAAGAGGTGGAAAATTAGAGGGAAACGTGACACCTCTTAGGTATCCGTTAGAGCAGAAAGGACCTGAGCAGCTGAGGTCCTACTGCGTGCCACAGACTTGGCAGGGTGCTTGGAGATCCTGGCGTTTCCCCACCTGCTGCTCCTGTGTGCAAGAGCTGGGAGGCTGGAAACCTGGGCGAGGGTAGGTCAGGACCTCCATTCCTCTCCATCAGCAGAAGCCCGCGTTAATGCAGAGCAGTGATGGAAGCCGAGGGGCTTGGAAAAGTCAACTATTTCATCTCCTGCCTCAAGGCTGGCAGCTTAAATCTAAATCCTTCCTGAAGGGTCGACCAGTGTTTAGCTTCTCCGTCCCAGGCCGGCCAGCCCCCGCCAATCCACTCGCGCCCCTCCCCCCACACACCCAGGAGCTTTCCCACGGTCTTTCAGTTGTCCCTGGTGGTTTAGCTTTGGCTATTCATATGTGATTACCCTCAAATTACATGGCACTATTTAACAGATGCTTTAATAAGAATCATATGCCATATCCTTCACTTAGAAAGAAAATAAAAATATATTCTGCCGGAAGTTTTTCATTGTATCAGTTTTCTGATTTCCCCCCATATTTTGAAATTATGCTTTGGACTGCTGACTAATTTACTGGCATGCCTAGAGGGAGATTATCTTCATTACTTAAAATTCGATTGGAGAGCACTGTTGGGTGGCTGCTTCTGGGACTTCCAGCAGCTATTCCAAGAGCTAACATCAGAGGAAAGTTTTGTTTTAAGAGTTGTGCATTTGCATAAAGTTTTTTGATTTTCCTTGTTCTATGGACCACAGAGCAAAACTACTGCTTAGCTTACCTTGCAGTGAGTTTGCTTCTAAACAGAAACACTATGAAGCAGCCTCCTTGGCAGCATTTGCTTTTGCTGGGTTACTAGCAAGATTTGCAGGAACTCTGACCACTTTCTGAATGTTGTAATTTTGGTTGCCTACCAGAATCATGGATCAAAGTAAACAAATGCAGCAGCCACCACTGGACACTACCTGTGGTGGCAAGTCCAGAGCAGCCTCCTGGAGTCCCTGTTAAAAACTTTGCAGCCTTTCACAAACAACTGAGCCCTGCCCTCCTTAGGTCCACACCTTGCTCTGGATGCCTTGCCAGGTTCTTATCACACATCGACAGCAAATTCTATTTGTTTATTTTTCATTTTTTTTCTCTCCCTTACTGGTCTAGTAGCTCCTTGAGGGCAGGCACTGCTGTGTCTCCTGCTGCCAGAGCAAAGCCTGTAGCATAGTAGACTTTGAATAAAGATTTGTTGAGTCAGTCAACTAACTAGCCCATCCCTGAGACTGGCCAGGTTAGCTTCAATCAGGGAAGAATTCCTGAGTCTAGAAACCATATCCATCACATCCAAAGTCCCCAAGTGAGAGGATCTGAGGGACTTGATTCAGCTAGGTGCACTAGGAAAACAAAGGTTTTGTGGAATGAATGGGCCGATGGACTGAGTGAAGAATTGGATGGGAAAGATGCCCTGGCACAGCGAACAGGGTCTCAGACACCTGAGAACCTTGAGCTTCCAAACCCATTGGGTCTGGCTCTTACCCTGTCATCAATGCCTGATTTTAAGCAGTATAATCGGGTGGCATAACAAATAAATGCTCCCTTTCCTGGGCACCTGGACGTGGGCAGAATCAGCAGCTCGCTTTGCCCATATAGGGTGGTCAACGTGTGACCCAAAATCAAACATTTCACTTTTCCTCGCTGTAGAAAGGCAGCATCCACACCTTTCAATAGCAGATATTGACTAAAAGTTGAAGAACCCCACGAATTTTCTGTCAGGCAACACTTTTCACTAGGAGCTGGAAAGGAAACATCGGTGTTTAAATAATATGTTTAAATTGGCAAACAAATAAAGCCGAGCCCACGTAGTGAGAAGGAAAAGCCTTGCACTAGAGCTCTCTATTAGTCCGAGGCTGCGCACCCGGCTTAGAGCGCGCTGAGTGTCCGTTGGGGCCCCTGCTCTTGGGGGCGCCTGGGGCTCTGCGCGCCCGCAGGGCAGGTTTGCGCACCGAGTGTCACAGAAGTGATCTTCCTCGGTACCGGCCTCTTAGCTGGCCGTGGCGGAGACAGCGCACTTGAAACTACCAGGCGTTGACCTTAATTGCCTCTCTGTCTTATATCATAAGATACAGAGTGTTTTATTCTACATAAGATACAAAGTATTTTATTCTACATAAGATACAAAGTATTTTAGTCTACACACTTGCCATGTGTAATGTAATGATTTCCTTACAGGACCACCAATCTCAGAACCTGCAGTGTTGTGGCAAGGTAATAACTGGAGACCTCTCGTGTCATTTTTTCATCCTTAAATTTTATTTGCCACGAAAGCAGGAGTTGGGGGAGACGTTACAAGAGTAAATATGCCTACCTCCTCTTCTGGGCTGCTATCACTCGAGAAGGCACAAGGCTGTGCGATCCTCCGCCGCATCTGGTGTCCTCGATGTTCCTCCCACCCCCACTGTCCCACCGGGTGGATGAACCCACTGAACCCACGGTTCAGCCGTGGCTCCGATGCGGCGGAGGATCTGCACCCCAACCTTCCTGCTTTCAGGTCCTCTTCTCCAAACTGCACCTTACCCCTGCCCCAGTCACCGCGGTGGGGGAGAGGGGGTCGGAACTTGGATCAAGCCTCACCCACCTTAGAGACTCAGGTTTCGAGTTTTAGCAGATCTGGTGTAGATTTGTTTTCTTTCAAATGCTTGAGGATGCAGTTGGTGGCATGGATCCCACTCTTCTCACCCCACTGGCCTCCTCCCGCCAAAATACCTTCCATTGTGAATTGCTGGTCTCCACTGACCTCCTCATGAACCTCTCCCTACACCCCCGCCAAGAGAAGTAGTTTCAATAAATAAAGCCCAGTGCTGGGGTTGAAGGTCAGTTTACACTGCAGCAGGAGCTTCACAAATTCCTGCAGGTGCTGGATGGGAATAAACCACTGTCCCAAGAGATGACAGAGAGAGAGAAGAAGCGAAGACTGCAGAAGCTGTGTGGAGATGCGGACCTGGCGTTAGGATTGGGGTGGGGCAGCATGGTTCTGACGCTGACCGCAGTGCTGCCGACCTCTAATATGCTAGGGAACCCAGCCAGGCCCTCTGTGCCTCCGTTTCCTCTTTTCCCAAGTGAGGAGCCTGGACCTGATGCCCGGATTCTGGCAATCGTCAGTTGTAGGAACAAAGTCTGGAGTAGTGGCTGGCATGAGAGTCAGCCCTGACGACCTCACCCAGGGAAATGAGGAACCCGTGTGAACCTAAGAAGGAAACCGCTATGGTGGTTGTGGTGGTGGGTGGCTCAGCTCCAGAAGTGGTGAAGCGACTTTCCCGAAAGGGAGGAAGACTCTGGGATAATTGGCACCGCAAAAATTTCCTTCCTTTTTGCTGAATATCCAGGTTTGTGGTATACGGTTTATGGTAAATTTAGGGCGAAAGCTTTCCTCCTTTTCACTGCCTGTCGTCTCCAAAGACAGCAGCAGCAGAAGAGACAGACCAACCTGTCCTCCCAATTTCCAAGCCCAGGCAAAGCCTCCTCAGCGAGGCGAAGGCTCAGCACTCTACACACTCCTCTCCCTAGGGCTGGCAGGCTCAGGCCACTTGTGTCTGAGGCTGAAGATCTCTGAGACTTTTACTCATTAGACAAACTCCATTGGGGGCGTATTCCATGCAATCGACAGTGCAGTCGGACATGTTCAATGCAATTCCGGCTTGGAATCAGACCTGGATTCCAATCGAGATACTGCAGGGGACTAGCTCTCCCTGAGCCTCAGTTTTCCCAACTGTAAAATGGGCATGGGAGTACCCACCTCATACCAGTTGAGTGTAGAATGAGTATGCAATAAGTGGCAACAAAAAGATCCCCCACAATTCTGGGAGCCTGAGAGGTGCTGGATGCTGGGACATGTAGTGTCAGGGGCTGCTGACCAGGTATGCCTCCTGTGCTTTGCCTTCTAGATCTTTTGCATGTTGTCACCATTCTCTGCGTTGTCGCAGTTCCTCCAAGCTACAGTCCAGGAGGAGAAGGGAGCTCTCCCATGGGAACTGGGCTGCCGGGGGGCGGAGTCTCAGTGTCCACCAGGACCCTGCCTGGAATTTCCTAATTTCCTTGACTGGTGGAGCTACTCTCCACCCAGTCAGTGATGGATGACAAAAGAAAAGCACCATCCGAAGGAGATCCAGAGACTGCATCAAGTTCACATTAAGGACCTTCTGGGGTAAGGTGGTTCAAGGGGAGAGGAGATGAGAGGTCTTGAACCTCCTACCCTTTAGGTCCTTCTGAACCAGACTGGGGTAGCAGAACACATTGTCCCTTCCTCCCCCTAGGCGAGAGAGGGAGGATGCCTCCCCAAGAGTCTGCCTGTGCCTTTCCTGGGCTCCTGAGAGTATTGTCGGAGCCCGCCTGAATTTACTAGCTGAACTTGTAGGCGTTGGGTGTCTGGGCATGCCTCTCTCAGAGACCCCGATCATCGCCCTGGCTATGTGTACCTCAGGCAAACACGGGGTTGTGGTTTGGATCTAGGAGGCACCCGGGAAGGAGAGGGGAGATGAGGAAGAGGAAGAAAATGAAATCTGGGCTTCTGAGAAGCCAGTCCATCCTCAGCACCTGAACTTGGGGAGAACTGAGATGAGAAAGCAAGACTCTTGATTTCACTTAGACACTTTCTCCTTCCTCCTCTGCCCTTCTCATGGACAGTAAGGACCACTTATGATTCATTTAGAGAAGTATACTTAGACATTTTCTAAAATCCTGAAAACCCAAGATGTCATTATATCAAGGAAGCTTTAGTTGCTCTCTTCAAAAATTATTTGATTTAAATTCCCTAAAAGTTTCTTCCTGGGAGTTGAAGTCCACCTGAAATGAAACGAGCATGCTGGGCTTATGGTGTATGCTTCCAATATTAAAGACTTAAATGTTACCTTGCATGTGCAAGAAAGCTTAGTGGGATGCTAAAGTTTAATTAAGACAGACAATATAGTCTGTGAAAAGACCAAATCACAGAGGGGCTTCAGTGATTTGTCTGCTCAGATATAGATATGTCTGCTCAAGTGAAGACCAGAAATTGATTAAACCCTCCTATTGATGAAGTTTGGAAGGGCTGCAGTTCAGCTGTGGATCCAGGACTCTTTCATGAGAAATGTCCCACAAATTTTAGACAACGAGTTTGGATGGGCTAAGAAGGTCCTGCATAGCAGCTTCAGTAAGTTTCTGAATTCTGCTTCACTCAGTAATCAGGATCCGGGTGGATAAAATAAAATATATCCTTCACTGGAAAACAGAAAAACAACACATCTTCAAAGCTTATTAATTTTTCTTGGATTGGTATGTGGGTGAGTGAGTATGGGGGAAGTGGGATGGTACACAGAAGTCTCAGGCAGTGATCTCTGGCTAAATGCAGCTTCTGTTTTTACAGCTTACTTGGGAGAGCTGTTAGTTTTTCTAAGCATAAACCAGGCATTGGTTCTCTAAGCTCAATGTTTAGGCTACAAAGCACATACAACAGTCTTACATATCTACCTTTAGAAAAGGAATGTCTCTGACCTCAAACTCAGTAAAATCTCTAGTGTATTACCATAGCTGGAGAACATCTAAGCAAAGCCCTTTGGAGGTGTAAAGTGTAAATGGAATGCTAAACATCAGCTACTACCTCCAAGAAAAATAAATCCTTAATTCCTGGCCAAGTACACCTGCTTTAGACCAGGCTCATTAGTGTTATTTGTATCTTTTCTTTTTCAAATGGATAGTTTTATTCACAGGTTTTTTTTTTTTTCTGTCTGCTCAGTGCTTGCTATTTTTATCCTGCCTTAAGAACCCCCGAGGTCATGCCCCAATGCCAGACTTCCAAGGTGCTCCAAAGAAGAGTGGTAGCTGACTTCCCAGGGGTCCATTTCTGAACTCCATAAGCTTAGATGTTAGAACCCCGTTGGAGTTTGGGATCTGGAAGGAAGCTTGGCAGATGTTAATTAGGTTACCATGGGTAAGGTGGGGTGAGCAGGTGCTTGAAGAAGTCTGGAGGTAATCAATGCCAGGGAGAACCCTAAGGCAATGGAAGGTGTCTCAATGTGTTCATTTCTGTGGATCAATGGCAGTACAGGCAACTTTTGGTAGGGGACTCTGGGGGTTATTCTCTGTTATACTCTCTGGCTGCCCCCTTTGCCTACTTCTCTTTAGGCCACGTTACTTAGTCTTCCTTGCCTTTGGACTTACAAATGGGTTTGACCAATGGAGGACAATGGTGCAGGACTGAAGGGCAGGAGGGTAGAGTGTTAGGAGTACTTAGGCTTCCTGCTTTCTCCCTGCATCACTGTGGTTTTGTCCTTTACTTCCCCTCTCTGTCTCTACAGTCCCATCAGCAGCTCCTCTTCCACAGCTTCAGCTCTCGCCAGTCTCTGTTAACACCTCCTTTTCCCCCGTTGCCCCTTCAGATCAAAAGTGTCAATACCTTCCTAATATTGCTAGACCTTGAGTGACTCATTTTCTCTTGTTAGTTCCCTTTAATCCCACCTTCAAATTTTTTTCCCTAGGAAAACCCTTTCCTGTATGCCATCTGTTTTCTGTGGGGCCCTGAGTGATGAGGAGAGGAACAAGGATTCATGGAAGTGAGGTATGATGTCTTCAGTTCTTTCCAGTTCATCCTCATCCTGTAAGTCATCAAAAGGCTCTACTCCTTCCCTGTCACCATCTTGGAGTACAGCCATGAAGGCTCCAGGATTTCTGTGGTGGCTGGTTTCTACAGGAAAGGCTGCCTATGGGTCTAGCAGGAAAGCACACTCTGAGTTTATTTGCATTACATTTGCCATTTTAATTTGCTGATTTGCATTTGACATAATTGTTAAAGTAACTGATGCTAAAATAAAATATTGATAGTATCAAGTTTTTTTGACTTAGGCTACAAAGCACATACAACAGTCTTGCATATCTACCTTTAGAAAAGGAATGGCTCTGACCTCAAACTCAGCAAAATCTCTAGTGTATTACCATAGCTGGAGAACATGTAAGCAAAGCCCTTTGGAGGTGTAAAGTGTAAATGGAATGCTAAACTGAGCTTTGCTATAAATCAAGGACTGAGACTTTTGCTAGTGGTGAGTTGTGTTAATAGAAGCAGACACTAAACTAGGTCCAGTGACCGAGGGGCTCATGGGAAATGTCCTTGTGTGTTCCCCAAGGCCTCAGCATCTTTGGTTCCTCATCTCTAGAACATTAAGTCTAGAGCTCAGTCCTTTTCAGGTCTGTGTCTGGCAACAACTCAGTCTTGACTAGTGCTAAACCAGTGACATTATTTAGGTGTGACCATCAATGAGAATTCTATGTGCCAACATTGTGCTAGATACTAAAGATACTAAATTGAAGACAAGATTCTGCCTTCCAAAGATTAAAACAATGTTTCAATATTACTATTTGAAAATTTTGCATACTTCTATGTAGGAAAAGTTCATGAAAGTAGAATTTCTGGGTTAAAATACATGCAAGTATTTAGTCTTTTTTTTTTTTTTTCTTTTTCTTTTTTTGAGACAGGGTCCTGCTCTGTTTCCCAGGCTGGTGTGCAGTGGGGCAATCATAGCTCACTGCAGCCTTGGACTCCTGGGCTCCAACAATCCTCCCACCTCAGCCCCAAGGTAGCTAGGACTATAGGTGCATGCCACCATGCCCAGCTAATTATTAAAATTTTCTTGTAAAGGTGGAGTCTTGCTATGTTGCTCAGAATGCTATATTTAAGACATTTGAGACATTTTGCTATATGATATCTAGCAGGATGCCCTCAGAAATCTATAAGTAATCCTGTTTCCTCACTCCCATGCACATACTCTTACTAACTTTGTAATTTGATTGATGAAAATTGCATAACATTGTTTTAATTTGTATTTATGAGATTAGTTGAGTTGAATATTTTTATATCTCTATTGGCCACAATAGTTCTTCTTTTTGGAACTGCCATTCACACCTTCATTAGCCAATTGAAAATTTGGAGTGTCTACTTCTCATCTACAGAATATTGATCCCATGTCTGCTATAAATATTGTGAAATTTTTACCAGGTTTTTATTTGCATTTCAATTTTATTTTTAAATGCATAATGCACATGTTTCAACAATCGGTATTTTTATTTATAGTTTCTGCCTTTTATGGTTTAGCGCTTACAAGTTTTTTTTGTGTGTGTGTGTGTGTGTGTTTTTGTTGTTGTTGTTTTTTGAGACAGGATCTCATTGTGGCACCGAGGCTGGAGTTCAGTGATAAGATCCTGGCTCACTGCAGCCTCGACTTCCTGGGCCTAAGCAATCCTCCTACCTTAGCCTCCTGAGTAGCTGAGACTATAGGTTCATGCCACCACACCTGGCTAATTTTTTTGCCAGGTGAGTCAGGGTTTCACTATATTGCTCAGGCTGGTCTTGAACTCCTGGGCTCAAGTGATTCTATTGCCTTGGCCTTCCAAAGTGCTGGAATTACAGGTGTGAGCCACCAGTGCTTGCAAGCCTTATCTACACAAAATCAAAATCTTTCATCCAATTGGAACTTATTTTGTGCGCAATATGAAGTAAAGACATGATTTTAATATTTTATTTCCCAAGTATATAAACCTTTAGGTGGGCCCTAATTGTGGGGAGCCTCAAATTCTCTTTGGAGAACTGTGTTCGGACTTTGTTCTGTGGTGATACATCAAAGGTGTGGGAGCTGGAAAGTCACACTGGCCCTGCTTTCACTCATACTGTAGTGAACTACAGGGGGCTTTGAAGCTGGGTAGCAAGAGGACTGGTGGGTGGTGGTTGGAAAGTGGCAAAAGCTAGAGGAAATCATAGTGTTTCAATGACTACTTGAATGATTTTATGCTGCTCGTTTGAGTCTAATTCCCCTCTCTTTAAGATGTACTTGAAGTATTAACATTTCCATATGAAGGCATTATAATATCAACAAGTTTGAAATACCTTTAAATCAATAACTAACTCCTCCTCCTCCCACTTTTTCTGTCTCCCACTCTCACCTTTTTAAAATGAAGCTAGATCTGCCAGGCACAGTGGCTTGTGCATGTAACCCAGGCACTTTGGGAGGCAGAGGTGAGAGGATTCCTTGAGCCCAAAAGCTCAAGCCTGGGCAGTGTAGAGACCCCTGTCTCTACAATATATATATATAAAATTAGCTGGGCATGCTGGTACACTCCTGTAGTTCCCGCTACTTGGGAGACTGAGGCAGGAGGATTGCTTGAGCCTGGGAAGTCAAGGCTGTAGTGAGCCGTGTTTGCCCCACTGCCCACCAGCCTGGGTGACAGAGTGAGACCCTGTCTCAATCAATCAATCAATCAATCAATAAACTAGACCTAGAACAGAGGTTCCTAGCACAGGATTACTAGCTAGGGGACCTCAGGTGAATTCCTTAATCTCTTTGTACAATCTCTTATCTGTACAATGAAGATGATAATACTGCCTAGTTCATGGATTGTATTATCCTATGGTATGGATACCTGAGTCCTTAGTTACTGTTTTTTGATTACATAAAGTATTAATGAACACTATTTATTTGTCATTTAAATTGTTTCCTGACTATATGATAGACATATTTCAAGGTTACATTAATTTGAACTATTTTTTCAGTTTAGGAACATGGCATGTATATTATTTTTGTGCAGCATTCGGGATGGTACCATGAACAATTAGTCACTTCACAAGCACTTTGGCTATTTGTTTATTATTTTAATTAGCAGGGAAAAGTAATTTACTCCTGGCCTGAAGCGGCTACTCCTACACTTAGAGTAAAGCTGCCCATACAGAGTGCTCACAGGGCAGTGAGATGTGATGTAAATGCAGTAAAATCGCAGGGTTGGCAGATCTTTTTCTGCAGAATGCTTCTCATCTTGAGAGCATTCAGCAACCATTTTTGAACACATTGTATTAGGGAGTGAAATAACAGACCTTAGAGGGTGGATTATGATCTCAATTTTACAGATGAGCATGCAGAAACCCAGAGAGGGAAAGCAACTGGCCCACATGGTAAAGCTGTGTGTCCCAGGCTGGCTTTGTCTGTTTCTACAGCAGGAGCTACCTTCTGGGAGGCCTGAGGATGCCTGAGTGCATCAGTCTCCAAAGCAAGGCTGTTCAGAGGCCCCGCTCTAGGGAACTGTGGAGCACGAGACTTTTATCGTGAACTTCTGAGAAACATGTTGCCCTCTTCCAGCACAGATCTCATGGAGGATCTCTAGAGCGTTTATTTCTTTTGACTATTCATGGCAACAAACTCCAGTACATTTTATCTGCCATTCTCCCCACCTCATTTTTTAGTTGCCTGAATTTGGAGAGAGAGGGGTTGGTACAGAGGAATATAAAATAAACATGTGTGGGCCTGCTAAGTGTACTGAGCAAAGCACATTCATCTACACTATATTATCTAATTGGTTTTTCTTTTTCTTTTTGAGCTTTTAAAAAATGGTGAGATATTACACAAGAAAATGAACACAACACAAAACAATGGTTTATCACAAAGAGAAAATCTGAGAAGCCATCACCAAGGTTAAAAAGCAGAATGTTAACTAGCATCCCGACTGCCGTAGTACTGCCTGCCCACTCACCATCACCGTCCCACTCCCAAGATGGCTACTCTCTGGACTTTTATGGTTATCACTTTCTTGTGTTTATTTGTAATACACCAGCTGAGTCTACATCCATAAGCACCACAGTTTTTGAACTTTGTGTGATGAAATCATACATTATGTACCCCTCGGTGTCTGGCTTCTTCGCTCAACATTATGTTTGTGAGACGTTCATCTGTGTTGCTTCCCAAAGCTGAAGTTTTAAGTCTCGGGGTCCAGCATTATTCTTTTAAACGCAGAAAGAGCAAGAGTGTTAAGTAAGCAGTTGGTTAAGCTCCGCAAAAGCTGCCAATCCAGGCGGCTTCAGTCCAAGAGGCTCTTCGGGAGCAGCGTCTTTTTAGCGCCGGGAGAAGTGAGGCCTGGGTTTGGGGTCCAAGTCCGAGGCTGCCCCGGAGCGGGTCCCGCAAGGCGGGTGCACTTGAGGTGGGCGCCACGGTGCTGGGGGCTCCTACAGGGCAGAGGCGCGGAGAGGCGGGGCGGGGGAGGGCGCGCGGCTCGTTGCTGGGCGACCGAGCGCGTCCTCTCTTCGGTGGAGCCAGTCGAGCCCACCCGGCCCCTAGGCACAGGAAAGGCCTGTTGGACACTCGCCGAGCGGCGGGGCCAAGCTCACCGCCACCTGAATTGGAGCGGAGGCGCCCTCGATGCCGGGTGAGAGGAGAACGCGGCCTGGGGCGCGGTGACTTCGTGTGGGCGCTTTGCGAAGGAGAGGTGCGTTGTTTGGGCGGAGCGGTTGTCCCCTCTGTTCCGCCTCGCTAATCCGCTGTGGCAGGTTCACCCCGGCAGAAATCAGGGTAGAAAAAGGGGCTGGGGCACTGGGGCTGGAGTTTGGGCTGCCTTTCGTGGGAGAATGAGCACGGGTTGAAGAGGAGCTGGAAGGATTGAGAACCTGGTGGAAGGGAGAGGTAGGTGCACGACGCCCCACGGGGCTGTGGGGACAAGAGAAAAAGAGGCTAGGAAGGAGAAAGAGGGGGATTCAAAGAGACTTCGGGAGGTGAAAGGTCACAGTGGAGGGACTTTAATTTCCATCTACCTGACCTCTGCTGTCCCTTTACAGGGCAGCTTGTTTTGAGTAAACCTCAACCACCAGTAGGTGGTTGCCCCACTAGGGTCGATGTGTGTAGTTTCAGAATAGAGACCAGTTTCCTGAGTTTGGCTCCAACTCCTTGGTGGACGGTGAGACACTGTGGGCTTAATGCAAGGATTGTTGGCATTGAAACCCACGACCCACAATGGAACTGTTGCAAACTACTGCTGCAGAAATTTAAAGGAGATCAATAGTTTTTTTTTTTAACATGCAAATCTAAAAGTTGAACAAATTGCTTTTTTCATATCTACAACTTTATAGAGGCATAATTTATATTCAGTAAGTTGCACAAATGAACAGTTGTACAATGTACAAGGTACAGGCATACAATTTGATGAGTTTTGACAGATTCATACACCTTTGAAACATTTCCTGCAATCAATATAACCGAACCTTTTCATTCTTCTGCCCTCTTTGCTCTTCATCCCTGCTTTTAGCCCACACCATGTAACCAATCACGGATCTGCTGTGTGACACTATAGAAGAGGTTGCATTTTCTAGAATTTTATACACAAGAAAGCATACAGTATATGCTCTTTTGTGTCTGACTTCCTTTACTTGGCATAATGATTTGCCATGACCTTTGCCTTGATTACTGTAGCTTACTATAATAGGTTTTGAAATTGGATAGTGCAAGTCCTCTAGCCTTTTCTTTTTAAAAATCACATTGGTGATTTTAAGTCATTTGAATTTATGTATACATTTTAGATTCAGCTTGTAATTTCTATTTAAAAACCTGCTGTATTTTTTATTGGGATTGCATTGACTGTATAGATCTATTTGGGAGAATCGTGATTTTAAGAATATTGAGTCTTCTAATCTATGGACATGATATGTCTCCATTTATGTAGATCTTTAATTTCTGCAAATAAGATTTTGTAATTTTCAGTGTAGAGATTTTGGACATTTTTTGTCAGATTAATTCCTAAATTTTATGTTTTGTGGAGGCACTAGTGTAAGTGGAATTTTAAAAATATTTTCCAGTTGCTTGCTGCTACTATATAAACATGGAACTGATTTTGTATGTTGTTAACTGTGTATTGTGCAACCTTGATACTTTCACTCTTAGTACATATAGATTTTTGTAGATTCCTCAGGATTTTTATCCTAAAAATTATGTCATCTGCAAATAGGGACGCTTTAACCTTTTCCTTTTCAATCTTTATTACTTTTATTTCTTTACCTTGCCATATTGCAATGGCTAAGACCTTCAGTATGATGTTGGATATGCATGAAAAGAGTGAGACATTTTTTCCTTGTTTCCAATTTTAGGGGGAAAGCATAAATATAATGTTAGCTGTAAATTTTTTGAGGATTCTCTTAATCAGATTGAGGATGTTCTCTATGATTCACAGTTTGCCTAGAGCTACTAATTTATTTTTATCCTGAATGGTTGTTGAATTATGTCAAATGTTTTTTACTACCAAAATAATCATAATATTTTCATGTACTCTGTTAATATAGTGAATTATATTGATTTGCAAATAAATATAATAAAATCAGATACTTAAATCAATTTTTCAACCCTTGGATAAACTCTATTTGGTCAAAATGTATTATCCTTTTCAAAAATATATTTTTGGATTTGATTTGCTAATATTTTGTTAATGATTTTTGCATGTATGCGCATAAGGAATATTAGTATGTAATTTTCTTTCTTTAAAAAATGCCTTTGTCAGGTTTAGTATTATGGTTATGTAGGTATCATAAAATAAATTTTCCTCCCTCCTCTATTTGCTGAAAGAAATTTATGTAAGATGGGTGTTATTTCTTTCTTGAATACTTGAGAAAACCATCCAGGGCTGGAATTGTCTTTGTGGTAAGATTTTTTGATAACAGATAAAATTTTTTAAAAATATAGAGCTATTCAGATTTCCTGTTTCTTATGTTAATTTTGGTAAGTTGTAGTTTTCAGAATTGCCCATTTCATCTAAATTGTTAGATGTTGTTGGTATAGTGTTGTTTATCACATTTTTAAAATTGTCCTTTAGTATCTTTAGGTTTTATAGTGAAATCCTCTTTCATTCCTGATATTGGTGATTTTCGTTCTCTTAAACAGGCTAGCCAGATGGGTTTTTAAATTTTGTTGAGATTTTAAAAGAACCAACCTTTGACTTAGTTAATTTTCTCAATTCTTTTTCTGTTTTCCATGTGATTGATTTATATCCTTATATTTATTATTTCCTTCCATTAGTTTGAGTATGCATTATTCTTCTTTTCCTAGATTCTTAATATGGAACTTTAGGTTATTGATTTTAGACCTTTCTTCTTTTTGATTTCATCATTTAGGGTATAAGTTTCCTTCTAAACACTGCTTCAGCTACACCCCACACATTCTGATATGTTGTGTTTTCATTATTATTCAGTCTAAAATATTTTTTAAGATTTAATAATATCTTTTGTTTTTCATTTCCTTACCTATTGGCTTTTTAGTTGCACCTCTTTGTATTACTTTAAAAATGGTTTCTCCAGTAATTACAATATACCTTCTTAACATTTCAAAGTCTACTTAAAGTTGATATTGAACTAGTTCACATAAAATGCAGAAACTGTACAACCATATAGTTCCTTTACCCACACCTATCCCAGTCTTTTTGGTTCTGGTTGTCATATGTACTGCACCTACCTACATAAACATCCCACAACACAATATCATAATTTTCGTACATTATTTTTAAACTTAAGAGAAAAAAATAGCTTCATGCACTTACTCAGACATTTGACATTTCTCATCTTCATTCATTTTTAAAGATTTAAATTTCCTTCTGGTATCATTTCTCTTCTGCCTGAAGACCATTCTTTAGCATTTCTTGTAATTCCTATCCGCTGGTGAGTAATTCTCTTAGGTTTTTTTTTTTTAATCTGAATATGTCTTTATTTTGTTTACCTTTTAAAAAAGAATATGCATGCTAGGTATAGAATACTTGGTTGACAGTTTAAATTAATCAATTAATTAATTTATTTATTGAGACAGAGTCTTGCTGTGTTGCCCAGGCTGGAGTGCAGTGTCACAATCTTGGCTCATTGCAGCCTCTGCCTCCTGGATTCAAGAAGTTCTCTTGCTTCAGCCTCCCACGTAACTGGGATTACAGCTGCCCAGCACCATGCCCAGCTAACTTTAGTATTTTTAGTACAGATGGAGTTTCACCATGTTGGCTGGGCTGGTCTCAAACTCCTGACCTCAAGATATCTGCCTGCCTGGGCCTCCCAAAGTGCTGGGATTACAGGCATGAGCCACTGCACCTGCTCTGGGTTGACATTTAAAAAAAATCTTTTAGCATGTTACAAATCCTGTTTCCCTGTCTTCTGTTCTTAGGGGTGTCTGATGAGAAGTCCATGGTCTTTGAATTATTGTTTCCCTGTCAATAATGTGTTGTTTCTCTCTGTCTGCTTTTGAATTTTGTCTTTGTCTTTGTTTTTCATCACCTTACATATGATTTTCTTTACATTTATTCTGATTGAGATTCACTGAGCTTCTTGAATTTATAAATTTGTCTTTCTTCAAATTTAGGAAGTTCTCAAACATAATTATTTTTTATTTTTTGAGACAGATTCTCTCTTTGTCACTCAGGCTGCTGGAGTGCAGTGGAGCAATCATTCTCCTTTTTCCTTGGGATACTAATTATCTGAATGTTAGCGCTTTTTGGTATTATCCTTACAGGGATATCAGGCTTTCTTTTTTGTCTTTTCTTATAATGGATAATTTCTGTGCATTTATCTTTAAACTCAGTTACTCTTTTCTCTGACATCTCCATTTTCCTAATCAAATTTTTTTGAAAATATATTTTCAGGTATAAAATTTCTATTTTTATTTTTTTAATTTCTTTGCCAAGATTTTCTTTTTATTAATCTCTAGCATATTTTCCTTTACTTCATTGAGCATAGTTATAACAGTTGCTTTAATGTCCTTTTCTAATAATCTGAACATCTGAGTCATTTCTGGACTGGGATCTGTTCAATTTTCTTTTTCTTTTTATTAATCTCTAGCATATTTTCCTTTACTTGATTGAGCATGGTTATAAGAGTTGCTTTAATGTCCTTTTCTAATAATCTCAACACCTGAGTCATTTCTGGACTGGAATCTGTTTATTATGTTTACCTCTGAGAATGATTCAATTTTCCCAAGGCTTTTCATGCCAAGTATTTTTGGACTATATCCTGGACATTGTGAATGTTTTGTCATGTAGAGTCTAGGTTCTGTCATATCCTTTCTGAAGAATGTTGTTATTTTCCATTTAGCAGGCATTTCACCAGTCAGTTAAACTCACTGTAAGTCTTGTCTTACTCTGTGGTTGGTGGTTCAGTTCAGCTCTTTAAGCCTTTACTGTGCTACTTTGAGTTTGTCCTGCATATACGTGAATCAAAGGTCAGTCGGAGACGTGTGGGGTTTAGATAGAATTTGGGGATTATCTTCTCTGGGTCTCTTCCTTCTGGAATTTCTCTCTCACTTCTCAGTGATGTTTGTTGTCTGGGCTCCTTTCCCTGATTCTTCTGGCTAGAATGATGAAGGGCTTCCTATCAATGTTTTTGACACTTGCACTATGCCATTTCTGCAGTTATGGACTGTGTTTGAAGAAAAACCACAATAAACCTGGAAACTTCTCTCCAGGCCAGTTTACACAAATGTTGACTTTCCTCTACAATCTTCCTGCTTTTGTTTACTCTGAAGAATTCTTAGGTCAATAAAAAAAATTTCTCCAGACTTTATATGTTGCTGTGAGGAATTGATCTGTAAAGATGCATCTGTGAATTAGCCAGGCATGGTGGCGGGTCTCTGTAGTCCCAGCTACTCAGGAGGCTGAGGCAGGAGAGTGGCGTGAACCCGGGAGACGGAGCTTGCGGTGAGCGAAGATCGCGCCACTGCACTCCAGCCTGGGCGACAGAGTGATACTCTGCCTCAACACTGCACTCCAGCCTGGGCGGAAGAGTGATACTCCATCTCAAAAAAAAAAAAAAAAAAGATGCATCTATGGCTCTCCAACAAATTGCTTTTGAAACTGACAGCAGGCAATATTTTAACATGTCAAAAGTACAATGACCATTAAACATACACACGCATCATTTTATTTTTATTTATTCTTAAAAAAAATTATTTTTATTTAAGACAGAGTCTTTGTCACCCAGGCTGGAGTGCAGTGGCACAATGATGGCTCACTGCAGCCTTGACCTCCTGGGCTCAAGCAATCCTTCTACCTCAGCCTCCTGTCTAGCTGGAACCAGAGGCATGTACCAACATGCCCGGTTAATTTTTTACTTTTTGTAGAGACAGGGTCTCCTTATGTTGCCTTCGTTGGTCTTGAACTCCTGGGCTCAAGCGATTCTCCCTTCTTGGCCTCCCAAAGCGCTGGGATTGCAAGATGAGCCACTGCACCTGGCCACATTTTATTTTTAAATTTTGGCTTTTTAAGCAATTAAAGGGAGTCCAAGAAGTGAAGATAGAAAGTGGGGAGAAGAAAAACGCAGGGGAGTATTTTGTTGTTTCATTAGCTGTTATGTATTTATATATGTATGTATTTTTGAATGTAAGTATATTCACAAGGGATATAGGCATATTCTAAGTGACTGTTATAAAGGGCTGAGCTTTTATAGTTATTGAAATTTCTGTGAGCTTTTGAATAGCTCAGAGAGAAACCTCTTCTGAGCCTGAAAAATAGCTTTTTCTCTATTTTCTATATCCTTTTAAATGAGCACATGTAAGTGGTTTTTACTATTATTGATATTAACAGGATTAAAGGCAGCTAAACAAGTATAGAAAGTGCAGAAAAATAGAAAAAAAATCACTGTTTTCCCATTCTCTTAGCAAAATTATTAATATGTTTATATATTTCTTTTGAGGCTTTTTTTTGGTAAATGACAATGAGGACACAAACAGATCTCATTTCTCCCACTGATATTTCAGAAGCAAATATTGTTTTCAGAATATTTTTGTTTTCCTTGCAAGGCTGAAGATTTTACTAAATGAGATAGATTGTCCTTGGGTTAAGAAGTTTCTTTTGGAACTTTAGTACTGTGCATTGGAAATTGACATTGGCCTGAAGTTTAGGAGGTATGTCAGTTGAGATGATATTTGATTATGGACCTAGGAAAACCCAAATCTTGTTCTTAAAAGGTTATCCTTCTCAGTGTGGTCCCCTGACTACATATAGGAAGAGGTCAAGGTCTGGTAATTCATATTACTTTCTGGGCCCATTCCTAATGTAATACTCTGATGAGCTAGGCCTAACATATGCAGACTGCTTTCCCTTTTTGAGGTGGGTTTGTGTAGCTTGGAACCAAGTCATGTGGTAATCTGCTCCATTTATTTTGACTTTAGTTACAGTCTAGAGCAAAGTTTTGGATTTTCCGTTCCAACAGGAGAAATAGACACAACTGCAAGAACCAGAGAGTAACCTGCAATGGTCTAGAGAATTCAAGTGTGCAGCCCTGCCTGAGTCTTTAGCCATTTTTGGCTGGAGAACTTTCTTCTGATGGCTGACCTGGTCTTGTGAGAGAGAAGAAAAGGCTGGCTCTTGACCCTTCTGACTGCTTCACTGCTCAGGCCTTGAACCTTCTGGCAGAAGAGAAAGGAAAAGGCATAGACAGATTTTAAGAGCATTCTGTCCCGTTTTAAAGTGTAGGGTAAACATAATCAACCTGGTTTGTGAGCTGCCTATTTGACACATCATGTAGATGAATACTTTTTCCTTTAGAGACAACTACATTATTTTTCCCTTGGTATTGCCAAACTAGAACTAGTCTCTCTTAGTAAATTGCTCCTATGAAAAAGAGAACATGCTATTTTCTCATGAGAATGAATGTTTAAAAGTCATTTTATGTATTTTGTGTTGTAGGAGTGGGTGGGGGAATAAAGGCACTTAGCTTTGATGGACTGGCCCATGAAGCACTGGTATACCACTCATCTTGAACGCACAATAGAAGTTCCTGTTGAATTTAGAAGTTCTATTTCCTGTTGGTTTAATTTTAGATAGAAAGAGCAACTTTCCTGTTAAGAACTCATGGGAATGTACTGAGAAGTGTTAAACAATGAACACTTGTTAAACTTCAATAGCAAACCAAAGGCCTGGGAGAAGTGGGAAAGCAGGAACTAAGAAATAAAAGGGAAGTGCAAGTGGGAGAGTCAAGTCAGATTCTCATCAGGTACTAATGTACTTCTGGTCTGTGCTCTGTTCCAGTTACTACCTTTCAACCTTTTGCAGGAAGAAATGCAGATAGTGTTGATATGAACATATTGCCACCTGTGCAAACAATAAGAGCCAAAATACTATGCGGGGCGGGGGGATTATACAGCATTTTTTAAAGTAGGGAAACTTGCTTAAGGGCTTTAGAAATAATTTCTAATGTTCATATCCTATGGCCTGGAAAACTGGCAACAGATTATTTTCACTTTTTAATATGAACCCTTGGTATGGATAGAATTGAATTGTCCAAGGTCTAGTCAGTCATGGAGCTAGGTAAAGAAAGAAAGCCTATTGATTCCCAGATATGATGAGCTCTTCGTGTAGCAGGGTCTTCAGTTAAACGCAATACGACTATATTTGGGGGATAAACAGGAGATTTTCTTCATACTATCAAACATCATGATAAATGAATAATTACAATTATAAAGATAATTATTTCATGAATTGATATGAGTCCAACTAAGAAATGTAGATAAGTGATAAAAATGCAAAGTAAAATAAAAATATATTTTCCACATTTAAGTTTTAAGTCCATATGGATTTATTTGGGTACATGTCATGAAATACACCAAAAAATTGCACCAAATAGTTGTCCAGTTGTCTCAGCACAATTTATTGAAAAATTCTTTTATCATCAATTTAATGCTGCCTTTATAATATAACTAATATTATATTTAATCCTTTTTCTCACTTTCTCAGTGTAGCTATTGATTTTAGCAGCAGTTTTTCAGTTCTAATTCTTTTATCTGTAAACCTTTTATTTATCTGGTTGCTCTTCATTGAGGGACAAGTGCTCCCTTGTCATTTATGTTTTCCATTTTTTTTTTTGGCTAATCCAGCCTGTTTATTATTTCAAATGAATTCAGAATTACCTTTCAAAGTTCAAAATATCATTTTCAGAGTTTTGCACTGGCATGAAACCAAACCAGTATTTTGGGAAGACCTGATATAATTAAAATATTTGGTCTTTCCATCAAGGAACATTAACTTCCTATTTAGTTGAATCTTTCTTCAATGTCCTTCAGTAAAATTTTAAAAATTTAATCACCTAGTTTCAGTACATTTTTTTGTTAGGTTTATGCCTAGATACTTACTTTAAAAAATATTACAAATGAAATTTTACCATTATAGTAAAAAAATTGTTTTAAATAAGGACAGGGGCTCTGTTGCCCAGGCTAGAGTCCATTATGTTTTTGATAGGACCATTTTGGTACAAAGAAATTATTGGGGGATATATACATATATATATATTTTAAATTCAAATCTCTTGCAGAATCCTATTAGAGTTCTAGTGTCTGTGTTTTCAGTAGATAATCATATCTGGAAATAATGATGACATTCCAGAGGTGTTTCTGCCTTACTGTTTTATTTATTTTCAAAGAAACTTGACCTTAGGTATTCTCTAAAGACTTCTAGTTCATTGTATTTTGTTTTACTTTCATTGTTTTACCCTGATTTCTTGAAATGCTCCTCTTGGTGTGTTCTGTGGAACACTGTCCTCTTCGTTTTTCTAACTCTCTGATTACTCTTGCCCCTCCCGCCTCACACAGGTAAGTGTGCCACAGAACCTGCCATCGGTTCCCTATTTATATTTACTGCTAGCCTGGCTTTGTGTAATGATCTTTCAAGATCTCAAAATCTACTTATGATCATAGCTAGCTGGCCCTGCTGAATAACAGAATTTTTTAAAATTGTAGTTAAAATCCACATAACAAAATTTGTCCTCTTTACCATTTTAAAGTGTACAGTTCAGTGAATAACAGAAGTTTTATTATGACTAAGACTTCATTAGGCTGACTCAAAGTCCCTATTTTTTGAAGGAGCTTTCATTGCTCCCATTCATTCCTAATCATTGGCCAGGTCCTGTCAGTTTTACCTTGCTTTGTCTCTGTTTTTACTGTGCTTCATTATCAAGGTCAGACTCAGGCTCCAGCTACCAGATTCTTACTTGTCCTGCCAGCCTTTATTCTTTCTTCTAGTCAATATATCAAGTTACTTTTCTGCTAAAAATTTTGAGTGGTTTCCAGTAGCTCACAGAAAAAGTACAGAGAGTGGCACTGAAGGCCTCATAATCTAGCTGCAGCCTGCTCTGAGGCTTCCCCCATTCCCTTCCTACACACTGCTGTGGCTCAGGTGACACTTGGAGGGAGTGAGCTGGGTAAGGAAGGGGACACCTGGGACCAGCTGGAGAGAGAAGGGGAAACAGCTGTCTAGCCACAAGAACTGGGATTTGGCCCTTGCACTGACAGACCCTTCATTTTTCTTTTTTTTCAGAGAAACTGCAAATCTGAATTGGTTTATGAAAATCTTCCAATTTAAAATAGCTGGCTATGAATTAAGATTGTGGAAGTAAGCCAGACATGGTTGCTCATGCCTGTAATTCCAACACTTTGGAAGGCTGAGGTGGGAGGATGGCATGAGCCCAGGGAGTTAGAGACCAGCCTGGGCAACACAAGGAGACTGAGTCTTTACAAAAAATTAAAGTATTAGCTGGATGTGGTGTACCACATTTGGTCGCAGCTACTCAGGAGGCTTAGGTGGGAGGATCGCTTGAGCCCAGGAGGCCGAGGCTGCACTAAGCCATGATCATGCCACTGTACTCCAGTCACATGGGCAACAGAGCGAGATCTTGTCTCAAAAAAAGAAAAAATTGTTGAAATACTCTGAACTATATGGGCTGAATGATCCAGGCCTCAGGCCACAGTTTGTGACCTTTATTCTGTTGTAGCAGGGGTCCTGGGGATTTTCTAAGCTATGTTTAGTATGATGCTGCTTGCCTGGAAGTGGAACATTACTAATTAGAGTCTAAAGAAATGTTAAAAGAAATCCAATAGGGGTTTGGGAAGCCTCCACCGAAAAAAATGACTGTTTTAGAGGTTTTTCATGGTTCTTGTGAAAGGGCCAATAGGTGGATATAAAATTACATGATAATTTTACCCGCTTGTGCCTCAGGGAGCACGGTGAGGTTCTCTTATGAGAAGCTTTGCTGAGCTGAAATTTTATTCCAGTTTTGTTTTATATTTATGTATATACGCACACAACATATGTGATTGTTTTGGGGGCTTACTTTACAGGTCAAATTTGTCAAGATGTCCACAATCCCGAGACACTTTGGCCTGAAATACAAAGAGGAATCGTATATGTTTAAAGAGCTTGAGAAAGTTCGGCAGGAAACTAAAAAGGATTTTCTCCGATTCAAGCAGAAGTTGGCCTCCAAGCCGGCTGTAGATGAAAGCCCAGTCCACAGCCTCCATGCCCCCGGCCCGGCCCGCCCCGCGCGCGTTTCCTGCGCCGCAGCCCGGACGTCGAGAAGATACCCTTCGCTTAAAGGCCCTGCGATGTCCGCGGCCGCCCTCCTGCAGGAGGTGCTCGGAGGCGCGCCGCGTCCCTCGGGCCTGGGTGAGGCGGCGGCTCCAGGCAAGACCCGGTCGTTTCGCCCCCGGGACTTTTACTTGCGGAGCTCCGCGTTCCTACGGCACCAGGCCCTGAAAAAGCCCCCAGTCATCGCCTCGGGGTTCGGCACGGCCAGACCCGTGGTCCTGCTGCCTCCGCCCGAGCCACCCGTGAAGCGCAGAGCGCGCGGGGTCTTGGAGAGCTCGCGGCACGCGGCTCCCAGGCGGGTCTTCCACTTGGGAAGGGAGCGCGAACAGAGCCAGGAGGTAGCTCCTCTCGCAGGGCCCTGCATGGCCAAAGAGAGGAAGGCCAGCTCCGTCTCCGCAGAGGACGGCTACATGGAGGCCAGCAGCGGGCGGAGGAAAGTGAGGATCCGCAGCAACTTCGTGAGCGAGAGCGGGGCCCGCGAGGCGCGGGAAGCGGCGGGGTTAGGAGCCCAGGGAGAACAGGAGAGCTGGCCGCCCAGCGACGCGCGGGAGGCCGCCTGGCAGGCGCTGCTGCCCTCCCGCGTGATCCCCACGTCCATCGAAGAGATCATCGCCTCTCTGCAGTCCGAGGCCCAGCTGGCCTCCGACCAGACCATCAAAGAGCTCATACGGAGCGTCCTTGGCCAGAACTACGACATTACAATGGAAGTAGGTGAACCAAAACAAGAGTAACATTTTTCCCAAATGCAATTTGGGTTACATTACATATGTAAGAGTAGTTTATTATGGATAATATTTCAGTGCATAAGGTGTCATGTATTATAACACAAAAACACTGGGGTGTTATTCAACTTCTTTGCATTTTGTTTGAATTTTCCATTTGAATTTTTGAATTTTCTGTCTTATCCTCTTTTCAAAGTGAAGGAAACTGAGCCATGATCCCAGAAACTGGTTCAGAGAACATTAGCTGAAGACTTCAGTAATAACGTCACTAGGAGCCTTCCCCTTCAAAGGTTTCGTGATTATTTAGTGTTAAAGGAACAGGCATTTTATGTGAAAAACTCTTTTTTCTGTTACAGTTTAGTATTATTAGTAGTAAATTACAGCAAAAGTGCATTTATATTCTAAGAAGATCAGCATGTTACTATTTATAAGAATTCTATATTTTCAGTGAAAGTCATTCTCTTGAAACATTTTTAAAAACTTTATTTTCTATGTCTTCCCAATCATAGAGATTTGTAAGTGCTTCTTGTGTGCCAAACTCTATGGGACACACTTTACATGCATTTTTGTCCCCATGACAACCCTATCAGGTCAATAGATACTAATAAAAGTCCTGTCTGACGTGGAGGCCTTCTAGCTTTAGTGAAGTTAAAAAAGATTGGCACAGTGTTCTGGAGCTAATGCATGGCAGAGCTGGGATTCCACCCCAGGCAGTCTCATCCAAGACACTGAGCTGGAACCATGCCCAGGACAGCCCATTGATTCACTATGACTTGTCCCTGGCAGGAAGCTAAGCTAGATGGGGTCATATTTAAGTTTAAGATATTTTGTCCATTATACAGACTTTGCTGTGGCAGGGACATTGACAGCAAAAGCAGTAACAAGGGAACTTGAGCCCCAAACCCAAAGAAAGAAAGAAAGAAAGAAAAAATATGAGACACGGTCTTTTTTGAGAATGACAGAAGCAAGAAGATTCTATTACTGTTCTTGGCTGCAGCTACAAATATCTTATTAGTACACAGAATACTGCTACTGCATTATGTCTTTAAAATTGTTTCAGCCCCAGAATACACTCTTGGCTGTGATTTAAGGAATGTGACCATAAAGGGAAGCAAAAACAGGTATGAACAAGAGTCTCTGGTGTTGCCTTTGGCCTAATGTTTGTGGGCAGAGTATGACAAATGTTCTGAGTTGAGACTCACACCTCCCCATTGTTACTGAACAAGATTAGGGTGACTGCTCAGGCCATTTCAAAATGGGTATTTCTAGTTAGATTTTCTATGAATCTAATAAGAAAACAAATCAGGGATGCCCAATGAAGAGCCTTAGCAAAGAGAAGAAAGGCCTCGGTGCCCCTACTTCTGACATAGGCTCCATGCTCTACGACATAGTTAAGGTACTTGACATGAAGAGAGGATGGTATTAGAAACTGGTCCAGAGGTCCCGTACAGTTGAGGAAAGTTATACCTCAGAGCAGGGTCCCATAAGAAAGATTGTATTTTGACAGGCTCAAATGGACTTAGGGATATATGAAGAGAGACTATTAAATGAATAATGAACATTGCAGTGTATTCAGCTCTTTTACCAGAAGTGTTAATTCCTCTTGTGTATTCTTTTTTTTTTGACGGAGTTTTGCTCTGTCGCTCAGGCTGGAGTGCAGTAGTGTGGTCTCCGCTCACTGCCACCTTCACCTCCTGGGTTCACGCCATTCTCCTGCCTCAGCCTCCCAAGTAGCTGGGACTACAGCCGCCCACCACTATGCCCGGCTAATTTTTTGTATTTTTAGTAGAGACAGGGTTTCACCATGTTAGCCAGGATGGTCTCGATCTCCTGACCTCGTGATCCGCCCGCCTCGGCCTCCCAAAGTGCTAGGATTACAGGCTTGAGCCACTGCGCCCGGCCCCACTTGTGTATTCTTTTTATGGCATTTCTCCTACATATTGTTTTATGTCGGAGAGTGGCATGGATCATGGAGCATTAGAATCAAGTGTATCTTGGACAGCATCAGGTGTCTCAGTCCCATCTCTGCCTCTCATTATCTTGATTTTTTGAGTGCAGCCTGGATTTCGTTCTTGGCTTTTAAAATTTTGACACCCCCACCCCACAACAATTCCAGAAGATAGAGCTTGCATTTCTTAAAGTAAAAGTGGCTTCAGAAGTTTTATTAGGGTGAAAAATGTACAATGGGGAATTTGTTGAAATGGCACTGGGTGGTAGGTGAGAGATAGCAATAAGAATGCAAGTATAGGCCGGGCGCGGTGGCTCACGCTTGTAATCCCAGCACTTTGGGAGGCTGAGGCGGGTGGATCACCTGAGGTCAGGAGTTCGAGACCAGCCTGGCCAACATGGTGAAACCCCATCTCTACTAAAAATACAAAAATTAGCCGGGCGTGGTGGCAGGCGCCTGTAATCACAGCTACTTGGGAGGCTGAGGCAGGAAAATCTCTTGAACCCGG
Source organism: Homo sapiens (assembly GCF_000001405.40). Taxonomy (NCBI): domain Eukaryota; kingdom Metazoa; phylum Chordata; class Mammalia; order Primates; family Hominidae; genus Homo; species Homo sapiens. Next base: position 37,625,475 of record NC_000014.9, read on the forward strand.
GAGGCGGAGGTTGCAGTGAGCCTAGATCGCACCATTGGACTCCAGCCTGGGGGACAAGAGCGAGACTTCGTCTAAAAAAAAAAAAAAAAGAATGTAAGTATGCAAGTATAAAAGTCGTGTCCAAATTATGATTTTAAAAATTCTTAAGAAGATTCGAATAAGGACTTTTGTTTTAAACGTTTGGGGCTTATGTAAATGATGTTCTTTCCAGGAAAAACAAGGAACATGATTCTTCCCTTTAGAAATCATAACTTGCAGCCACATAGCAATCCCTAGAGGGAAGCTGAGAGGTAAGATGATCTCAGCAGGCTGGACTGTCTTTGTTGAGAGCTTGGGAAAGGACATTCCACATGCAGCACTTGGAGGTCCATAGTTACCTGGGCCTGGAGTTGCAAAGAATACGGAGGGTTAAACTTAGCTGTCAAATGTCAGACATCTAAACCAGGATTTCTCAACATTGGCACTATTGACATTTTGGGCCACTTAATTTTTCATTGAAGGTGGCTGTCCTGTGAATTGTAGGATGTTTCAAGGCATCCGTGGCTTCTATACACTAGATACTAGTAGCACCTCCCAAGTCATAACAATAAAAAATGTCTCTAGATGTTGCCAGATGAGCCCTTGAGGCGGGGGCAAAATTATGCCACCCTCTTTTATCCAATTGAGAACCACTGACCTAAACAGTATGCATATACCATGGCAGGAGAAGTAGAAATGTTATGAATGTTTGTTTGTTTTGCTAAGACATTCAATAGTATCAGTCACAAAAATACATTCTAATTACATGTGGCTGGGGTTCACAGACCACTTTCCAGATGTTAATTGGAGGATGAAGTATCCAGGTGGTCCTTGCTTCTGTCATGCGTAGTTGTTTTTGATCATATAACTCAAAAGGAAAACGGCTTAATATGACCTAGATAAGAGAAAATTCATAGTCCAAGGTCTCCCATAAGCAAATAACATACAGTCTACAAAAATGTTATGTTATAAAACTTAAGCTTATGTTTGCCTCGGGGAAGATGAAATAGATATCCTTTTTCTCTATTCTTCCTGCTAAGTAAAACTAACTATAAACCCTGAACATTATATATAAAACAAATACCAGAAGACCCCAAAACGTGAATAGCAGAAGACAGCTCATCTAGGGACTTTGGGACACAAGGAATGAACTGGTGGTGAATTCTCTGACTTTTCTTTTTGCCTAATTTCTCCCAGACTTGTAGCTAAAGAAGCTGGTAACATACATAGGAATGCCAATGGTTACAGCTAGAAAAATCTGCAACAAAAGCCTGCTCTTTAGCCAAAGGATCAGGAAAGGGGCAGCCTAGCAAGACAAAAAATTTTTAGACGATAACTATGTTACTCCAGCTAAATACTGCGGAAAAACCTATGGCGCCACTCCCACCCCACCACTCAAGGCTGAATGGGGAGCCTGTATTTCTAATATAATTTCGGTATTTGTTCACACTCAAATCTCATGTTGAATTTTAATCCTCAGTGCTGCAGGTGGGGCCTGGTGGGAGGTGTTTGGGTCATGGTGGGATCCCTCATGGCTTGGTGCTCTCTTTGCAACTGTGGGAGAGTTCTTGCAAGATCTGGCCATTTAAAAATGTGTGGCCCCTTCCCCCCACTCTCTCTTGCTCCTACTTTCATCATGTGAAGTGCCTGCTCCCACTTTGCCTTCCACTATGATTTTTAGCTTCCTGAGGCCTCCCCAGAAGGCGATGCCAGATCTGTGCATCCCGTACAGCCTGTAGAACCATGAGCCTATTAAACCTCTTTCCTTTATAAATTACCCAGTCTCTGGTATTTCTTTTTTTTTTAAATTGTATTAAATCTTTTATTTTTATTATTATACTTTAAGTTCTGGGATACATGTGCAGGTTTGTTACATAGATATAGAAGTGTCATGGTGGTTTGCTGCGCCCATCAACCCATCATCTACGTTAGGTATTTCTTCTAATGCTATCCCTCCCCTAGCCCCCCACCCCCTGACAGGCCCCGCTGTGTGATGTTCCCTTCCCTGTGTCCATGTGTTCTCATTGTTCAACTCCCACTTATAAGTGAGAACATGTGGTGTTTGCTTTTCTGTTCATGTGTTAGTTTGCTGAGAATGATGGTTTCCAGCTTCATCCATGTCCCTGCAAAGGACATGAACTCATCCTTTTTTATGGCTGCATAGTATTCAATGGTGTATATGTGCCACATTTTCTTTATCCAGTCTATCACTGACGGGCATTAGGGTTGGTTCCAAGTCTTTGCTATTGTGAATAGTGCTGCAATAAACATATGTGTGCATGTGTCTTTATAGTAGAAGGATTTGGGGTATATACCCAGTAATGGGATCGCTGGGTCAAATGGTATTTCTGGTTCTAGATCCTTGAGGAATTGCCACACTGTCTTCCACGGTGGTTGAACTAATTTACACACCCACCAACAGTGTAAAAGCGTTCCTATTTCTCCACATCCTCTCCAGCATCTCTTGATTCCTGACTTGTTTTTGTTTTTGTTTTGAGATGGAGTTTCGCTCTTGTTGCCCAGGCTGGAGTGCAATGGCATGATCTCAGCTCACTGCAACCTCCACCTCCCAGGTTTAAGCAATTCTCTTGCCTCAGCCTCCTGAGTAGCTGGAATTGCAGGCATGTCCCACCACGCCTGGCTAACTTTGTATTTTTATAGAGACAGGATTTTACCATGTTGGTCATGCTAGTCTCGAACTCCTGACTGAACTCAGGTGATCCGCCCACCTTGGTCTCCCAAAGTGCTGGGATGAAAGGCATGAGCCACTGTGCCTGGCCTGTTTCCTGACTTTTTAATGATTGCCATTCTAACTGGCATGAGATGGTATCTCATTGTGGTTTTGATTTGTATTTCTCTAATGACCAGTGATGATGAGCTTTTTTCATATGTTTGTTGACCACATAAATGTCTTCTTTTGAGAAGTGTCTGTTCATATCCTTCACCCCCTTTTTGATGGGGTTGTTTTTTTTCCTGTAAATTTATTTAAGTTCCTTGTAGATTCTGGATATTAGCCCTTTGTGAGATGGATAGATTGCAAAAATTTTCTCCCATTCTATAGGTTGCCTGTTCTTTCTGATGATAGTTTGTTTTGCTGTGCAGAAGCTTTTTAGTTTAATTAGATCCCAGCTGTCAATTTTGGCTTTTGTTGCCATTGCTTTTGCTGTTTCAATCATGAAGTCTTTGCCCATGCGTATGTCCTGAATGGTATTGCCTAGATTTTCTTCTAGGGTTTTTATAGTTTTATGTTTTATGTTTAAGTCTTTAATTCATCTTGAGTTAATTTTTGTATAAGGTGCAAGGAAGGGGTCCAGTTTCAGTTTTCTGCATATGGCTAGCCAGTTTTCCCAACACCATTTATTAAATAGTGAATCCTTTTCCCACTGCTTGTTTTTGTCAGGTTTGTCAAAGGTCAGATGGTTGTAGATGTGTGGTGTTATTTCTGAGGCCTCTGTTCTGTTCCATTGGTCTATATATCTTTTTGGTACCAGTACCATGCTGTTTTGGTTATGGTAGCTGTGTAGTATAGTTTGAAGTCAGGTAGCATGATGCCTCCAGCTTTATTCTTTTTGCTTAGGATTGTCTTGGCTATACGGGCTCTTTTTTGGTTCCATATGAAATTTAAAGTAGTTTTTTCTAGTTCTTTGAAGAAAGTCAGTGGTAGCTTGATGGGGATAGCATTGAATCTATAAATTACTTTGGGCAGTATGGCCATTTTCACGATATTGATTCTTCCTATCCATGAGCATGGAATATTTTTCCATTTGTTTGTGTCCTCTCTTATTTACTTGAGCAGTGGTTTGTAGTTCTCCTTGAAGAGGTCCTTTACATCCCTTCTAAGTTGTATTCCTAGTTATTTTTTTTTCTTTGCAGCATTTGTGAATGGGAGTTCATTCATGATTTGGCTCTCTGTTTGTCTATTATTGGTGTATAGGAATGCTTGTGATTTTTGCATATTGATTTTGTATCCTGAGACTTTGCTGAAATTGCTTATCAACTTAAGGAGATTTTGGGCTGAGAGGATGGGGTTTTCTAAATATACAATCATGTCATTTGCAGACAGAGACAATTTGACTTCTTCACTTCCTATTTGAACACACTTTATTTCTTTCTCTTGCCTGATTGCTCTGGCCAGAACTTCCAATACTATGTTGAATAGGAGGGGTGAGAGAGGGCATCCTTGTGTTTTGCTGGTTTTCAAAGGGAATGCTTCCAGCTTTTGCCCATTCCGTATGATATTGGCTTTGGGCTTGTCATAAATAGCTCTTATTATTTTGAGATACGTCCCATCAATACCTAGTTTATAGAGCATTTTTAGCATGAAGGACTGTTGAATTTTATTGAAGGCCTTTTCTGCATGTATTGAGATAATCATGTGGTTTTTGTTGTTGGTTCTGTTTATGTGATGAATTATGTTTATTGATTTGAGTATGTTGAACCAGCCTTGCATCCCAGGGATGAAGCCGACTCGATCATAGTGGATAAGCTCTTTGATGTGCTGCTGGACTCAGTTTGTTAATCTTTTCAATAAACTAGTTCCTGGATTCATTGATTTTTTTGGAAGGGTTTTTCGTGTCTCTGCCTCCTTTGGTTCTGATCTCATTTTAGTTATTTCTTGTCTTCTGCTAGCTTTTAAATTTATTTGTCCTTGCTTCTCTAGTTCTTTTAACCGTCATGTTAGGGTATAGATTTTAGATCTTTCCTGCTTTCTCCTGTGGACATTTAGTGCTATAAATTTCCCTGTAAACACTGCTTTAGCTGTATCCCAGAGATCCTAGTATGTTGTGTCTTTGTTCTCATTAGTTTCGAAGAACTTATTTATTTCTGCCTTCATTTCATTATTTACCCAGTAGTCATTCAGGAGCAGGTTATTGAGTTTCCATGTAATTGTGCAGTTTTGAGTGAGTTTCTTAATCCTGAGTTCTAATTTGATTGCAGTGTTGTTTGAGAGACTCTTTGTTATTATTTCCATTCTTTTGCATATGCTGAGGAGTGTTTTACTTCCAATTATGTGGTCAATTTTAGAATAAGTGCGATGTGATGCTGGGAAGAATGTATATAGGTTTGATTTGGGGTGGAGAGTTCTGTAGATGTCTATTGGGTTTGCTTGGTCCAGAGCTGAGTTCAAGTCCTGAATATCCTTGGTAATTTTTTATGTTGTTGATGTGTCTAATATTGACAGTGGGGTGTTAAATTCTCCCACTATTATTGTGTGGGTGTTTAAGTCTTTTTGTAGGTCTCTGAGAACCTGCTTTATGAATCTGGGTGCTCTTGTATTGGGTGCATATATATTTAGAATAGTTAGCTCTTCTTGTTGCATTGATCCCTTTACCATTATGTAATGCCCTTCTTTGTCTTTTTTGATCTTTGTTGGTTTAAAGTCTGTTTTGTCAGAGACTAGGATGGCAACCCCTGTTTTTTTTTTTTTTTTTTTTTTTTTTTTTTTTTTTTTTTTGCTTTCATTTGCTTGGTATATATTCCTCCATCCCTTTATTTTGAGCCTATATGTGTCTTTGCTCATGAGATGGGTTTTCTGAATACAGCCTACTGATGGGTCTTGACTTTTTATTCACTTTGTCAGTCTGTGTCTTTTAATTGGGGAATTTAGCCCATTTACATTTAAGGTTAATATTGTTATGTGTGAATTTGATCCTGTCATTGTGATGCTAGCTGGTTATTTTGCCCATTAGTTGATGCAGTTTCTTCATAGTGTTGATGGTCTTTACAATTTGGTATGTTTTTGCAGTGGCTGGTACTGGCTTTTCCTTTCCATACTAAGTGCTTCCTTCAGGAGCTCTAGTAAGGCAGGCCTGGTGGTGACAAAAATCTCTCAGCATTTGCTTGTCTGTAAAGGATTTTATTTCTCCTTCACTTATGAAGCTTAGTTTGGCTGGATATGAAATTCTGGGTTGAAAATTCTTTGCTTTAAGAATGTTGAGTATTGGTCCCCACTCTCTTCTGGCTTGTAGGGTTTCTGCTGAGAGATCCACTGTTAGTCTGATGGGCTTCCCTTTGTGGGTAACCCAACCTTTCTGTCTGGCTGCCCTTAACATTTTTTCCTTCATTTCAACCTTGATAAACCTGATGATTATGTGTGTTGGTGTTGCTCTTCTCAAGGAATGTCTTTGTGTTGTTCTCTGTATTTTATGAATTTGAATGTTGGCCTGTCTTGCTAGGTTGGGGAATTTCTCCTGGATAATATCGTGAAGAGTGTTTTCCAACTTGGTTCCATTCTCTCCGTCACTTTCAGGTACACCAATCAAACATAGGTTTGGTCTTTTCACATAGTCCCGTATTTCTTGGAGGCTTTGTTCATTCCTTTTCATTCTTTTTTCTCTAATCTTGTCTTCACGCTTTATTTCATTAAGTTGATCTTCAATCTCTGATATCCTTTCTTCCACTTGATCAATTTGGGTATTGATACTTGTTTATGCTTCATGAAGTTCTCGTGTTATGTTTTTTCAGCTTCATCAGGTCATTTATGTTCTTCTCTAAACTGGTTATTCTAGTTAGCAATTCCTCTAACCTTTTTTCAAGGCTCTTAGCTTCCTTACTTTGGGTTAGAACATGTTCCTTTAGCTTGGAGGAGTTTGTTATTACCCACTTTCTGAAGCCTACTTCTGCCAGTTGGTCAAACTCATTCTCCGTCCAGTTTTGTTCCCTTGATGGCAAGTAGTTGTGATCCTTTGGAGGACAAGAGGCGTTCTGGTTTTTGGAATTGCAGCCTTTTTGCAGTGTTTTTTCCTCATCTTCTTGGATTTATCTACCTTTGGTCTTTGACATTGGTGACCTTTGCATGGGGTTTTTGTGTGGACATCCTTTTGGTTGATGTTGAGGCTATTCTTTTCTGTTTGTTAATTTACCTTCAAACAGTGAAGCCTCCCTGCTGCAGGTCTGCTGGAGTTTGCTGGAGATCCGCTGCAGACTCAGTTTGCCTGGGTATCACCAGTGGAGGCTGCAGAACGGCAAAGATTGCTGCCTGTTCCTTCCTCTGGCAGCTTTGTCTCAGAGGTGCACCTGCCAAATGCCAGCTGGAGCTCTGCTGTATGAAGTGTCTGTTTACCCCTGCTGGGAGGTATTGCTCTGTCAGGAGGCACGGGGGTCAGGGACCCACTTGAGGAGGCTGTCTGTCCCTTAGCAGAGCTCTTGTGCTGTACTGGGAGATCTGCTGCTCTCTTCAGAGCCAGCAGGAAGGAAGGTTTAAGTCTGCTCAAGCTGCACCCCCAGCCGCCCCTTCCACCAGGTGCTCTGTCCCAGAGAGATGGGAGTTTTATCTGTAAGCCATGAGTGGGGCTCCTGCCTTTTCTTCAGAGATGCCCTGCCCAGAGAGGAGGAATCTAGAGAGGCAGTCTGGCTACAGCCAAGCTGTGGTGGGCTCTGCCCAGTTCGAACTTCCAGGCGGCTTTGTTTACACAGTGAAGGGAAAAACTCCTACTCAATCAGTGCCTCAGTAAGGGCAGACAACGCCCCCTCCTCACCCCCACCAACCTTGAGTGTCCCAGGTTGACTTCAGACTGCTGTGCTGGCAGCAAGAATTTTAAGCCAGTGGATCTTAGCTCGCTGGGCTCCGTGGGGGTGAGATCCACTGAGCGAGACCACTTGGCTCCCTGGCTTCAGCCCCCTTTCTAGGGGAGTGAACTGTTCTGTCTTGCTGGTGTTCCAGGTGCCACTGGGGTATGAAATAAAAACTCCTGAAGCTAGCTTGATGTCTGCCCAAATGGCCACCCGGTTTTGTGCGTGAAACCCAGGGCCCTGGTGGTGAAGGCACCCGAGGGAATCTCCTGGTCTGCATGTTGCGAAGACCGTGGGAAAAACATAGTATCTGGGCTGTAATGCAATGTTCTTCATGGCACAGTCCCTCACGGCTTCCCTTGACTAGGGGAGGGAGTTTTCCAACCCCTTGCACTTCCCAGGTGAGGTGATGCCCCACCCAGCTTCAGCTGACCCTTTGTGGGCTGCACCCACTGTCTAACCAGTCCCATTGTGATGAGCTGTGTACCTCAGTTGGAAATGCAGAAATCACCTGCCTACTGCATTGATCTCGCTGGGAGCTGCAGACCGGAGCTGTTCCTATTCAGCCATCTTGCCAGCAGGTATTTCTTTATAGCAACACAAGAACAGCCTAATACAATTTCCAGTATCAACGGGCTGTTACAAGTTCCCCCTACCCCTTCCCAGTGGGATGGAGACAGTGGAGTGTCTAAACTTTCAACATCGTCCAGAAGTAAAGAGGCCACTCGCTCCCTCTTCCCTCTGGTGTCAATGGAGGCCATGTGGAGAACAGTAATGAGACACTCCTATTCTTTCCAACTAGGATGGGATCAGCAGAGGCCTAGTGGGGAGCCAAAACTCCTAGTCCCACCATGCAGTAACAAGGAGGCCCCCATCCCTGGTGCCAGTAAAGGCTGAGTGGGAACCTAGACTTCTACCTCCAGTTGGTAGTAACAGGGGAAGTGCCTCCCTGCGCTGCCTCTTTTAGAGCAGTGTCAGAGAAAGCCAGCTAAAACAGAAAGTCAAAGTAATATCCAGACTCTCATAATATCCAAAATGTCCAGGTTTTAATAGAAAATCACTCATTATGCCAAGATCCAGAAACATCTCAATTTGAAAGAAAAAAAAGACAATTAATAGATGCCAAAGTCAAGATGACAGAGATGTTGGAATTATCTAACAAAGATTTTACAGCAGTTCCTCTACCAAAGTACCTCAGTGAGCAATTATGAATGTACTTGAAACAAACAGAAAAGTAGAAATTCTTAGCAGAAAAGTAGAAAGTCTCAGTAAAGAAAAAAAAATCAAAGAAGAACCAAAGGAAATTTTTAGTACTGGAAAATATAATAACTGAAATAAAAACTCAGCAAATGGGTTCATTAGCTGATTGGAGAAGACAGAGAAAAGAATCAGTGAACTTGGAGAACAATACAATATACTTGAGCTGAAAACAGAGACAGTAGACTGAGGGAAAAAAAATGACAGAGCCTTACGGACCTGTGGGACTAAAACAAAAGACATAACTTGGTGTCATCATAGTCCTGGAAGAAGGGGAAAAAGAGGGCAGGACTGAAAAAGTACAAAAAGAAATAATGGCTAGAAACTTCCCAAATGTGGCAAGAGACATAAACCTACATATATTCAAGAAGATGCTGAGTGAACTCCAAACCAAAGAAATCCACACTAAAATCCATAATAGTAACACTTCTGAAAACTAAAGTCAAAGAAACAAAAATTTAAAGCAGTGAGAGAGAAACAATATGTTAACCAATATGAGAAAATAATTTGAGAGTAGATTTCTCATTGAAAACTATTATCGTCAGAAGGCATTGACACAGCATTTTGAAATGCTGAAAGAAAAGAACTACCAGAATTCTATTTCCAGTGAAATAATTTCCTAAGAATGAAGGGGAAATCAACACATTCTCAGATGAAGTAAAGTAGGACTTTTTTTTTCCAGCAGTTCTACCCTAGAAGGATGAGTAAAGGAAGTTCTCTAAACAGAAAAGATTAGAAAAAAGAATTCTTGGAGCACTAGGAAGAAAGAACATAATAAACAAAACTATGGCTACATACAATAGATTTTCCTTCTCCTCTTGCGTTTTCTAGATTGTGTTTGATGATTGATGCTAGAATTATAACACTGTCTGATGTGGCTCTAAATGCTGGTAGAGGAAATATTTAAGAAAATTACAGATAGAGGAGTTAAAGTGGATATAAAGGGAGGTAAGGTTTTCATGTGTAACTCTAATTGGAACAATTTCCATTCTAGGAGACCGTGCTAATGGTACTGGTATCATGTACTATCTACAGAAATGACTAAAAAAGGTATACAAAGCGATTCACTCAAAAAACAGTATAGACACATCAAAATAGAATTCTAAAAAATGTTGTTACCCATAGGAAGGCAGGTACAAACAGAAAGAACAAAAAGAAAACAAAAAAATAAAGTGGCAGACTTAAATCCTAAGATATCAGTAACTGTAAGTGGTCTAAATGTACCAACTGAAAGGCAGAGATTGGCAGGTGGTTTAAAAATATGACTCAATGATATATTGTCTACGAGAAATGTTTTTCCAATATGATGATATTGGTAGGTTGAAAGTAAAGTATGAAAAATATATATCATGCATATATTAGTTGGGAGGAACCAGGAGTGGCTATATCAATACCAGATAAGGTAGACTTCAGAGCAAAGAAAATTACCAGAGATGGCTGGGTGCGGTGGCTCACGCCTGTAATCCCAGCACTTTGGGAGGCTGAGGCGGGTAGATCATGTGAAGTCAGGAGTTTGAGACCAACCTGATCAACATGGTGAAACCCTGTCTCTACCAAAAATACAAAAATTAGACAGGTGTGGTGGTGCATGCCTGTAATCCCAGCTATTCGGGAGACTGAGGTAAGAGAATTGCCTTAACCCAGGAGATGGAGGTTGCAGTGAGCCAAGATTGCGCCATTGCACTCCAGCCCCTGGCAACAAGAGCAAAATTCCATTTCCAAAAAAAAAAAAAAAAAAAGAAAAAAAAAAGAAAATTACCAGAGACAAACAGGACTTTATAATATTGTAAAAGGATCAACACACCAGGAAGACAAATCACAGTTTTAGGCATGTATTTACCAAATAACAGAGCTACAAAATATGTGAAGTAAAAACTGGAAGGAGAGATAGACGAATTGAAAATTATAGTTAAAAACGCGTAACACCCTTCTTTCAGCAATTGGTAGAAAAACTAGACAGAAGATCTCTAAGGATATAGAAGAACTCAAGGACCCTATCAGCCACTAGGCTCTAACCTACATTTTTAGAATACTTTACCCAACAACAGGAGAATACACATTTTTGTCAACTGCCCGTGGATCATATACTAAGATGGACCATATCTTGGGCCATAAAATGAACCTTAATACATCTAAAAGAATTGAAACTATATAGACTGTATTCTCTGACCCTATGGAGTCAAACTAGAAATTGATAACAAAATGATGATAGGAAAATCCTCAAACACTTGGAAACTAAACAATACAATTCTGAATAATCCATGGGTCAAAGAGGAAGTCTCAGGGAAATAAAAAAAATTGAGCTGCTTTGTAAAAAAAAAGTCAAAATTTGTATACCACAGCCGTAGTAATGATGAGGGGAAAATTAATAGCACTAAATGTATACATTAGGAAAGAGAAAAAGCATCAGATCAATTATCTAACTTTCCACCTAATGTTATAATGGCTGGTTTACTGAAATAAGTAACATGGTATCCACTTGAAAGAAAATTACATTTAAAGCCATTTGATCCAAGCAAATTTTATTATAGTTATAGAAAAACAGATTTCTAAAATTTAATGAAAAGGCAGAGGAAGTAGAATGGTTGAAATAATTTTGAAAAAGAAGAAAAAAGTGGGAGGTATCAGTGTACTTTATTGCAAGCTTTATTATTTAGGTATAGTAATCAAGACTGTGTGATATTGGGGTGGAGGGGAGAGAGAGTGGAATAGAGAACACAGAAGTGGAGCCACACAGATATGCCCAATTGATTTGACAAAGTGCAGAAGCAGTTAACTTCATTTCAACAAATGGTTCTGGAACTAGTAGACATCCACAGGCAAAACAACAACAACAAACAAACAAACCAAACCAAAAAAGAAGAACGAAAAACAAAAACCAAAAAACAAAACCACAAGAAAAAAAACCCACCTCAATCTGTCTCATGGACTTAAATGTAAAACAATAAAACTTTCAGACAAAAACATAGAAGAAAATCTTCTAAATCTCAGGCTAAGAGTCCTTAGACTTGACACCAAATGTCTGATCCAAAGGACAAATTGAGACATTGGACTTTACCCAAATTAAATTTTTTTGTTCTACAAAAGACCCTGTTAAGACGATGAAATGACAAGCTGTGGACTGGGAGGAAATATTTGCAAACCACACATTCAGTAAAGGACTGGTATCTTGAATTTATAAAGAACTCTCAAAACTCTACAGTAGAAAAATCCAATTAGAAAATGGACACCATTGTGGTGGGTCATGCCTGTAGTCCCAGCCACTCACATGGCTGAGGCAGGAGGATCTCTCGAACCAAAGAGTTTCAGGTTACAGTGAGCTATGATCGTGCCACTGCACTCCTACCTGGGTGACAGAGTGAGACCGGGTCCTGAGGAAAAAAAAGAGAAAAAAATAGGCAAAAGACATGAACAGATATTTTACAAAAGAGGATATACAAATGCCAAATAAGCACATGGAAAAATGTTTAAAATCATTCATCATTAGGAAAATGCAAATTAAAACCACAGTGACATGTCACTGCACAACTACCAGAATGTCTAAAATAATAATTAAAAAAAGTGGCAACACCAGATGCCAGCAAGGAGGCAGAGATGCTGGATTACTCATACGTTGTTGGTAGGAATATAAGATGACATAGCCACTCTGGAAAACAGTTTGGCAGTTTCTTAAAAAAGTAAGCATGCTACTACTATGTGATCTAACAATTGCACTCCTGGGCATTTATTGCTCAGAATAGAAAATTTATGCTTGCATGAAAATCTGAGACAAATGTTCCTAGTGGCTTTTTTCATAATAACCCCTAACTGTCAACAACCCAGATGTCCTTCAAGGGGTAAATGGATATATAACTTAGGAAGAAAAGGAAATGAAGTATTGATACCTGCAACAACTTGGATGAATCTGCAGATAATTATGCTGAGGCAATAAAAGCCAATCTCCAAAAGTTAGATACTTTATGATTACATTTATATAATGTTCTTTCTTTTCTTTTTTATTTTTATTTTTTTGAGATGGATTCTTGCTCTGCCGCCCAGGCTGGAATGCAGTGGTGTGGTTTTGGCTCATTGCAACCTCTGCCTCCTGGGTTCACGAGGTTTTCCTGCCTCAGCCTCCCAAGTATCTGGGACTACAGGGACCCACCACCATGCCCGGCTAATTTTTATATTTTTAGTAGAGAGGGGATTTCACCATGTTGGCTAGGCTGGTCTTGAACTCCTGACCTCAGGTGATCTACCCGCCTTGGCCTCCCAAAGTGCTGGGATTACAGGCGTGAACCACTGCCCCCGGCCTATATAATATTCTTCAAATGACAAAATTACAGGAATGGAGAACAAGTTTGTGGTTGCTGGGAGTTAAGGGTGGGGGCGGGGGGGCTGGGAGGGAAGTGTTTGTGGCTTTAAAAGGGCATTTTGTATCTTGACTGTATCACTGTTGATATCCTGGTTGTGATATTGTATTATAGTTTTGCACAATGGTACCGTTGGCAAAAGCTGGTAAAGAGATATCTCTGTATTTTTCTTAGAACTGAATATGAATCTACAGTCATCTCAAAATAAAAACTTTAATTAAAGATGTTAGGAGATTCTTTATAAAAGTGTGTGCCTGTTTTTATAAGAAGATACATATGAAAATAATATATTCTCTTTAAACCCCCAACTCCCCAGACTAACCAATACTTACTGTTGTTTATCCTTCTACACTTCTCAATTTCTTAGTACAAATGTGTGTGTACATACATACGTACAAATACGTTTTTCTTTGTAAAAATAAGAACATACTATACATATTATTCTGCAACTAACTTTTTGGTACATATCAAAGAACATACATTGCTATGTATAACTTATTATGTATTCTTTTAAGGAGCTGCATATTGCAGAATTCATAGTATTTAAATGTTTTCTTGGCCCTTTGCTTTTCAAATTTCATCTTTTCCTATCTTAGGAACATACTTTTGCACATTGAAGGTATAAATCAAATAACCTACCAGGATCTGGGCAGAGAAAAGCAATCTGTGTTGTTTGAATGACACCAGTACAATTGGAAGGGACTCATTTGGGCAAATCTTTTCTACTGAAAACTACAGACACTTTTATTACACTTTTCTCTTAACATTCCCTTCATGCAGTTTTTGTCGTCCTCATAGATGTAACAGCTTATGCTAGCACAAATGATATAATAATTAAGAAGTTTCCCTCTATTGCCAAATTAATTATAGTTTTTTTCTGTGTAAATGTAAAAGTTCTCACATAACATTTGGATGCTTTCAGTAAATACACATGCTATGTATTTAATTTTTATTCATTTTTAAAAAATGGAAAGTGACTGGGTGCGGTGGCTCATGCCTGTAATCCCAGCACTTTGGGAGGCCGAGGAGGGAGGATCACTGGAGCTCAGGAATTCGAGACCAGCCTGGGCAACATGGCTAAATTTGTCTCTACAAGAAATACAAAAAAAAAAAAAAAAAAAAATTAGCCAGGTGTGGTGGTGTGCACCTGTAATCCAAGCTACTCGGGAGGTTGAGGCAGGAGAATTGCTTAAACCCAGGAGGCGGAGGTTGCAGTGAGCCAATCTTGTGCCACTGCACTCCAACCTGGGTGACAGAGTGAGACCCTGTCTTAAAAAAAAAAAAAAAAGGAAAGAAAAATAAGATATATCTATATATCTATATATCTATATATCTTCATTTTCTTTTATATAATATATACTAGGTCACATATATGTATATGTATATATTAGGTCTTAAGGAAAATACCTATTTCTTTAGCTGGTTTTATTGTAACAAGGATTTCGAATCAAGCTAGAAGTTGTTTCTTCAAAATAAACTTATTCTTTGTTGGATACAGGTGCAGCTTATTTTCCATGAGAGTGTTTTTTTCAAGATTAGAATATAGAGTTACTTGAAAAATGATATGCTAATTTATTATAGAATGCATGTATATTGTTTTCCATTTCTTAGTACAGGTGCTACCCAGAAATGATTTTTTTTTTGCTTGTTTGCATAATTAAGTCCCTTAATTTAGACTCTAAAGGACAATGGCCAGGTGCATTTGAATTTTGGAGGTGATCAATTTCTATGCATACCAGAGTTTAAGATCTGCAGATGAGATAAAGTGAATAATTTTTAAATGTTGTTCAAAATAATTGCTTTTTCTGGCTATTTCAGGTACAATTACTTGGATATTTAGGGTAAAAGCATCTCCTCCTAGTCCTCCACGAATTTTTTTTAAAATACATAACTCAATTTCACCTTTGATTTTGTAATGTAGAGGTTTTTTTTGTTTGTTTTGTTTTTTGAGACAGTTTTGCTTTTGTTGCCCAGGCTGGAGCACAATGTCACGATCTCGGCTCACTGCAACCTCAGCCTCCTGGGTTCAAGCAGTTCTCCTGCCTCAGCCTCCCAAGTAGCTGGGATTATAGGCATGTGCCACCATGCTTGGCTAATTTTTGTATTTTTCGTAGAGATGGGGTTTTGCCATGTTGCCCAGGCTGGTCTCGAACTCCTGACCTCAGGTGATCTAACTGCTTCGGCCTCCCAAAGTGCTGGAATTACAGGCATGAGCCATCGCACCTAGCCAATGTAGACATTTTTAATGCTTTTACATTTTAAGGACTTGTCCAAGGCCTTAGAATCTTGCTAAGTGGGAGGTGAGGTGGGCCACAAGCTGACAAGCTGCATAGTTAAAATCCAGCACCAATTGCTGTCTTAACATTGTAGATTGTTAGTCTACTTTAAGAATAATTTTTGTGATACCGTCAAGTCATGATTTTCATTTATTGAGTGTAAAACTAGAGGAAGGAACTTATACAATTTAAAACAGTTGCTTAACATGTAAAGTTGATATTAGAGCTTAAAATAATATAGTTATCTTGACAGCAAATTGAACCAACTAAATATCCCAGTTAGGTTACACATTGACATATTGTACATGGGAAGCTGTTTATTTTTTATTACTGAAAAGTACAGTATTTGGTTGCGATTGAAGTCAGCCATTCTGTAGCTGTAAACAGCCTGAAGCTAGGCAGCTGTATTCTTTACAGTGTTTGTTTTAAAGCAGAATAGGTAAATATGTGGGTTTTAGGGATGGGTAGATAAACAGTTTGACAGTAAAATCAAAATCTTGAGAGCTAGCCAACCACAATCATGTTTAAGCATCTCTTATCCCAAATGAAAACAGTCTAACAGACTGCACAGCACATTTTCTAGTTGTGTTGGATATGTGTTTCATTTTTGGAGGAATATTCTTTTATAAGTACCTGGTTTTCTCAGTTCATTGCTAAGGATGCTGAATCTTAGTCTCACCACAGTGAAGAGGGATAGCCTGACAAAATTAGTTGTATTTATTATCTTTGTGAGTTTTTATGAACATGGTAGGAAAAGCTTTAAATTTTTAGTTTATCTTATTGAAACTATAAGTAATATGTTCTCATTTCATACATTTTCTTTGATATATTTTACTTTGTTTTCTCATTATATGGAAAAAAACTTTCATAGTCCTGGTGATAAATTTCCCCATAGTGTTTCTTTACTCTCATTTTTTACTAAAATAGTGTCTAGAGCTGGGAGGTAACCTGATGAATTTTGTATTATAGATAACAAAACTGAGACCCAGTGAGGAAAGTGACTTTTGCAAGGCCATACAGTTGATTAGCATAGTTGAGACTGGAACTATTTAGTTCTTCTGACAGCCAGTCCAGAACTGTTTTTATTCGGATTGCATCAGATGTATTACATACATGCAGATGGCACTTTGCTTTCTCTGTTTTACTCCATTCCTACCTTCCTTTTTTCCTTTACTGACTTAAAGACCTAGATGCTCAGGTATCCAGAATTCTTTGTCCCTTGACTTCTCTTTCAGATCTCTGCTTTGGTGGGAGGACCATTACACTTTCCTGTGCTTTGATGGTCCCATAGCCTCCGCTGGTAGCTTCTCAGCCTAGCACACCTGGGCCTGAGGAGGGTCAGCAAGAACCAAGGATTTGCTCATAGTGCCCTGTGGTGTTGGTAGGAGCGGTGGGTGTGGAATGAGACTTGGGCTGAGCACCTAAGGTAGCACATTTTGTCATCAGAGTGAAAGGATACAGGTGGGACAATCCGCAGGTGGTGGTGACATTTGCAATTGGTTATATGGTCACTAACCAGTTACATTCAGTCAAAACCCACTGATTTTGGCAACTTAAGTTGCTGTTAATATGAATAAAAGATAAAATCTTTATATGCCATCTGTAACAGACTGACCTGCTTTTACTTAATCTTCTTAGCTTTATTATTTTTGAAATCTTTAAACTGTTCTCAAAGTGAATACCTGCAAGTACTTTCTCATCTTAGCCTGATGGGCATGGGTTATATGAGTCCCTATCTCTTTTTTTGGAAGAAGAGCTACTTTGACTCTTAACAACGGGAATACTTTGTGAGAAATGTGTCATTAGGTGATTTCATCATTGTATGAACATTGTAGTGTACTTACACAAACCTAGGCTAGATGGTATAGCCTACTACACACCTAGACTGTGTGGTATAGCCTGTTGCTCCTAGACTACAAAGCATGTTACTCTCCTGAATAGCTACCCAACTGTAACATAATAGAAAGTATTTGTGTATCTAAACAGTGTAACTAATGTATCTAAACTATGTAAACATAGAAAAGATAGAGTAAAAATGCAGTATAACCTTATGGAATCACTGTCATATATGGGGTCTGTCATTGACTGAAATGTCACTATGTGGCACACAAAATGACATTTGAAATCTCATTATCTGGCCGGGTGTGGTGGCTCACACCTGTAATCCCAGCACTTTGGGAGGCCGAGGCAGGGGAATCACTTGAGGTCAGGAGTTTGTGACCAGCCTGGCCAATATGGCAAAACCTTGTCTTTACTAAAAATACAAAAACTAGCTGGGTGTGGTGGCTCACTCCTGTAATTCCAGCTACTCAGGAGGCTGAGGCAGGAGAATCACTTGAACTGGGAAGGTGGAGGTTGCAGTGAGCCGAGATTGCACCATTGCACTCCAGCCTGGGTGACACAGTAAGACTGTGTCTCAAAACAAAACAAAAAACACCCCAAAACCAAAATAAAACAAAAACAAACAAAAAAGAATTCTTAATATCTGTGGTGAGTTTTAGGGTCTTGTTGAGAATTTTCAACTTGAGAGAATGGGGTGTGTCTATGGCCTTACCAGGAATTCCCAAAAGCCAGGAGGAAGAGCCAATGCTTTGGATGTTATTTAAGGAGGGCTACAGGATTGCTATGATCACATGGCCAGCTGTTAATCAGCATACTCATCATCAGATTTTTTTCAGTCTTGGTAGTAAGTAAAATTCCCTGTACCCTTTACCCTTTCCTCACCTTTTAAAGAGGAAGCCTATCTTTTTTAGACCTCACAGATAATACAATATATAAAATTCCTGTCATTTTCTTGGCTTACTACACATTTATTAGGCATACAGGAGCAGATTATAATAAAGCCAGACCTCATCATTTCAGCCAAATTTCCCCTCAAGAACATCACTAGTCTCAAGCTCTTCATCTCTTAATCATTGGAAATAGGGTTATGAAGAAAGGAAAGATTGAGACAGCTGAGACACTTTTCATTGTTCTGATTTCATTATGCTGTCGAGACCTGCCTAGTTGTATAGTCTTTGACAATCAATTATTACTCTGGAAAGTGATTATTAAACAGTTTACGGAATTATGGCTTTTTATGCATGACTGTTCTGTTGCTCTTTAGGGTTAAGTGAAAAGGCTTATTAAATATCCATTTACAATGGAATCTTTGAAAACGTTAAATGGAATGCATAATTCATATCAGCTGTCGCTAGGACAAAACCAAATCGGTTTAACTAAGTATCGAGTTACAATGAAAGAGGGAGTAAGAGGCAGCCTTAATAGAACTAGTTCAGAGTAGCTAATGGGTCCAGATAATCAGAAAACCCAAAGTAATATTAATAGTGGATTAGACAGGATGAAAGTTTATTTCTGTCTTGTAAAAAAAGGTCTTATAAAAAGGTAATGCAATACCAATGTGGTGTTCCATAGGGCCAGGGATCCAGAATCCTGCCATTTGAGTGCTCCACTGACTCATCTGCATTCCCAGGGCCATCGTAAGGTCCAACATAGCTGCATCAGTTATCACCTCTGTATTCTGGCCAGCAGGAAAGTTTTACACAAGAAATGCATGTGTCTGAGATTGCACACCACTTCTGCTTATATTTAATCTGGCAGAATTTAGCTGCATGATAACATCCAGCTACAAAAGAGGATGAAAAATGAAATCACTATCCTTGGCAGCCATATGCCAAGGTTCACATTCTATTACTATGGAAAAGGGTAGAAGAAATAACGAGGTAGTTTCTGACATGGTCTCTATGGCGATACACCTTGTGTAGAGACTCTTATGGCTCAAAGTGTTATTCACTCTTCCAGCAAAGTTTTTTGAGCACCTGCAATATTTAGCCCTGTGCTTGGCACTAAGTATGGAAAGATTTTGTTATGTGACACAGTTTTTAGCTTTAAGGAATTAGGTAACATAACAAGGGAGCTAGCAGACAATGGAAAAGGGTGGAGAAAGCCCTGGGTTTAGAGTTAGATGACCTAGGTTGGGATCCTTGATTTGTGATTTATTTGTTTCTTAAATTATTGGTGCCTCAGTTTTCTTATCTGTTCAATAGGGCTAATAATACTTACCTTAAAATACTGTGAGAATAAAATGTTCTTAAATATAAGACAATACATGTTAAATAGGCTGCATTTAAAAAGGTTCTTAGTACGTACTACTACATTACATTCCAGTAAGGTTGAACCAACTACTTTCCAACTAGTAGGGAGTACAAGTCTGTTTCCCCACATCCTCACCAGCTTTGTGCATTATGGTACTTTTCACTCTTTGCTAATTTGAAAGGCCAGTAGCTTTCCAAAACTTTTCAGCTGTGGAAAAATTTCTTCAAATGAAATATTCAGTGAAAGTTCAATATCTCAAACATTTAGTAGCATGTCAGCAGTGTCTCAATTAGAAACGGAGGACCTGGTCCTACCTGCTCAATCCAGACTCCCAACAACACACTTATTGGTCTCTAAAACAATTATTCATTCTTGCAATGTAATTGGGTGCCTGTTATATCTGGCGCTGTACCAGATGCTTGGAAATGTCAGTAAATAAATGAAATCCTTGCTTACAATCTAGAGGGAGGAGGCAGAGAGCAAACAAATCAGTAATGTCTTAGATGGCAATAAGTAACAAAAGGAAGAATAATTTAGGACAGAGTGATAGAATAATGGGGAAGCGAGAGACATTTAAGTAAGATGATCAGAAAAGGACCATAGGAGAACATCACATTGAGCAGAAGTCTGAAGGAAGTAAGGGAACAAGCCATCCAATTCATGTATGAAGGAGAACATTCCAGGCAGAGGGAGGAGATAGTGCAAGGCTCCAAGGTAGAAATGTTCTGTGATGTTTGAGAAACAACAAGGTGGGGATCTTTGAATGGGGAGTATGGTAGGAGATGATGCCACAGAGGTAGCCAAGAGCCAGATCAACTGGGGCAGTGGTTCTCAGTACTATCAGACCCAGCACACTTTTCTTGCTGGGTATATTTTGCCCTTTTTAATATCCTGAGCAAAATTCATAAATAATTATCGTTTACCTATTCATGCAATGTAAAAATTAATATAACACCCTTTTTGTAACATACAGGAACAATGACAGTAATATGTGGTTAAATCAATTATAAACGACTACACTGGAAGACATATGAAGTTGCTAGCTGCTTTTATCTACCCATAGTGAATCTCTTTGGGTGGGAATATCAGGAACCATAGTGTGTATGAAGGACTGGAAAATGAAATAACAGTGCAATTGGCACTATAATACATTAGGATTTATGGTAGCAGACCAGGCGTATGTGTACAGGATGAGAAAATGGTAAATAACATTACGTGAAGTTGGAATGTGTGCCAAGACCAGTTATAGACTTTTGAAATGGAGAAAATGAGCTAGGCCTCTTTATAAATGTAATGTCAAAATAAATCTCTGTTGTGACATTGGACAAAGTGACAAAGTATCAGAAAACCAAACCAAACCAAACCAAACCAAACATCTCTCCCATCCTGAAATCTCAACACATCAGAACATATTCAGTTTCTGGTGCTTAAAAAGACCTTGGAAGACATATCTTTCAAAAGATGATGAGACTATAGGATGGATAGGAAAAAAGAAAGTAATACAAGAAGACATGAAATAGACCTCTGTGGACAATTTCAGGGTAAAACAAAAACAACAGGCCATTCAAAATTAATAATTTCAATATGTAACCTTCCCAATATAGAGGTATTTTGCTAAAATATTAAAACATTATATAGATTGGCAATAACATTTATTTAAAAAACCTCACTAATGCAGTATTCCTTATTCCCAAATTTTACTTGTCTCTGCTAATTTAATTATGATTGGTTCTAAATTTACAAAATGAACTTCATATATTCTCTGTATATATTTATATATAACTGCTACCAATGCAGAATGAAATAGGTGTGTTGTTTTGGTGACTAAACTATTCGCATAGTTGCTACGATTTACACAGTAGTTGCATTTCTGGAAAATACAGAATGGGTTAAATGAGGGATATATTTTGTGTTTAAAGATTCTGGCCTCATCTATTTATGAAACTTTTTTTACCCACATGAAAGTCTTTCAGGACATGTATTTCTTTGTTTTGTGGGACTGCCCTGTGAACTGCAGGATGTCTACTATATCCTTGGCTCCTTCTTGCCTACTAAATGCCAATAGCACTTTCTCATTCTAGCAACTAAAAATGCTGTCTCTCTCACCCACTGGCCAGAAATTTCTAAATGTTCTCTAGGGACTAGTACTGTCCCTTCTGAGAATCACTGATGTGTAGAGTCTTGTAGCCCATGGTAAGAAATGTGGATTTCACTCTGAGTGATGTGGGAAGACACTGGAGGGTTTTGAGCAGGGACATGACATGATCTGATCTTGTTTTAAAGGGATTATCTGATACTGTGTGGACAATAGATTATAGGTGGAAAATGGTAAAGGAAGGAAGATAGGCACCTGTTAAAATAATCCAGGTGAGAGATGATGGTGGCTTGGGCCAATCATGGTGACAGTGGGAAGGATGTGAGAAATGGTCACATTCAGCATCTACTTTGAAGGTTGCTTATGGTTTGTATGTGTGTTGCAGGAGAGGAAAGAGAAGAAAAGTCAAGGATGACTTTATGGTTTATGGTGTGTGTAGCTAACTGGTAGAATAGTTTCCATTTTCTGAGATGGTGAAGATCAAGGGGGCAGCCCGATTGTGAGGTTGATTTTAGACATGTTAAGTTTGAGGTGCCTAATATACTTCCAAGTGGAGATATCAAATATGCAGTCAGTTATAATTCTAGGGTTCAGGTGGCAGGTTAGGGTTAGAGGGATGGGAAGTCATCAGTGATCAGATGGTATTTGAATTCATGAAACTGGAAGAGATGACCCGGGGGATAAGTGTAGCTAGAAAGCAAAAGAGACCTAAGGGCTCAAGGACATGCCACTGTTAGAGGCAGAGAGAAGTGGAATTAATGAAAGAAGCTGAGGGGAGCCTGGTAGAAGAGAAAAACCAGGAGAATGTGTTTGGTGGAAACCAAGTGAAAAAACATTTCAAGAAGGATGCAATAACTGTGTCAAATACTGTCAAGTCTAGTAAGATGAAGACTACAAGGTTTAACCATAGCGTTATAACTATAATATTACAAACACACACACACACACGTTCACACCCCTCCCCATCTTATAAATTTTATTGCTGTTGTACATGGGATGCATTTTCTATTTGCATTTTCAAATTGTTTATTACCATATTGGTTTAAATATGTTGAACTTGTGGAATTTCTTGTTTAATACAGTTGGTGTTTAATGAAAGTGGTGATAATAGGAGTTCTTGTTTTATCCTTGACTTTAAACCAAAGGCTGCTAGAGTTTTACCACTAAGCATGTTGTTCACTATAGCTTTATGATAGATATTCATTATTAGGTTCACTTCCTTTCTCAGCTTGCCAAAAATGTTTATCATGAATAAGTGTTGAAATTTGTTGAGTACTTTTTCTCTTTAATCTGTTACTGTGATCTACTAGTTAATCTGAACTATCCTTGGATTCTGGGAAAAATGTTCTAGGTTACAGTATGTTTCTATACACTGATGATTTCTATTAGAGTTTTTGCATTTGTCTTCATAGGTGAGATTGTGTATTCTTTTTTTTTCTTCTACTGCATTTATCCACATTTGGTATCAAGATTGTACTATCTATCCTCATATGTTGGATGTCTGATTTCTTTTTCTGTTCTCCAGAAACAGTTCGTATAAGAGAGGGATTATATTTTCCTTGAAAGTTTGGTAATTTTCATCTGTAATGTTGTCTGGGCTTGTGTCTTGGGTAAAGAGATTGTAAAAAATTATCTCAGTTTCTTTAATGATTACTAATTTATTCAGGATGTTAATTCCAACAATCCCCCAGCTCAGTTTTGTGACTCATGTATTTCTAGATAGTTATTCTTTTTATTCATGTTTCCCCACATTTATTATCATGAAGTCATTAATAGATTATTTCTTGTTATTCTGTGGCTTGGCCTTTTGATTTTATAGCTGTGGAGTCTGTCTCAGCATGTAGTGGGTTTGAATCTCAGTTTGTAAACAGAGATGTGCAAGAATCATGTTTATTTATCTACAATTTGGAGATCCACACCTCCCCACCCCCCAGGATATATAGAGTTTCTTAAGATCACATGCCATGCTGGACACCTCTGTTGAGACATCCATACTTCTATCTGATGGTCCACTTAGGTCTTCCCAACATTGTTAGTCCACACAGGTCCCTTCTAAATTGCCCCTGTTCCAATCTCCCCCTACTCTTGGGTGCACAGAAATCATTTTGCTGTTCTCAGGCTAGTCTGGGGCCTGCTAAACTTTTGTGAGATGATATAATGCTCCACCTGCCTTGACACTCCGTAGGGCTGTTTCTTCTCTGGGATCTTACTGCTTCCTGGATTCTCCATGAGAAGAAGTCCCAGGTCTTTTTTGTTCTTCCTTCCCACAAACACATCTTCTTTTTGTTTCCTTTGAGCTTAGCCCTGGGGAGCTGGGTATAAGCCCCTAGCCCAGGGACCCCACAACATTTATGTTTTCTTCACGTCCCTGCCAACTTCCTCTGGGCCAGGAATTCAATTCATTTCTAACTGCAGACAAAGGAAATGGCACTGAAACTCATTTTGTTTTCTCCCGAATCACTTGTCATTTATTCTTTGTATTCCACCTGGTTCCCAGGATTTTTGAAGCCCGAAAGCCGGAAAGAGGCTCTTGTCTGTAACTTTATGCTCTGCGGTAGTGCCTTTTACCTGAGGCCATGGGCCCTCAGTGGTCTATGTGGGTAGAATATTGGGTATGTGAGTTGGAGGGAAACATTGGTGGATACTTCACAACTATCTCTTTAGCCTCTTCATTTGACAGATGGGGAGATGGAGTCTCAGGGAAGTAACTCATTTGCCAAGGCAACGTATAGTTAGTGGTGAAGCAGAGACCAAACTGTAGATACCCTATTACTCCTGTATTCTTTGATGTTATATATTGTCAGTTATTTGAAACCCTTATGGAGTTTAGGTCCTACAACCCCATATATATTTCAAATAGATTTTTAATTACATCGTAACTGCTATCCTTAACAAATGAGTCATCTTTAGATACTGACTTTTCTTGATAATTAGCGATTCAGTATTTTAAGGACAAGTAAGCTTTCTTTCATGCTTAGTCTTTCAGAAGAAACACTTTCTAAAATCTGCTATACTCATTCCCCTTTGTGAAAGCAGGTGTTGCTTGTTCCTTCTTGCATTTCCATTACCTGGCACAGGTGTGCCCCGGCAGAGGCGCTAAGTTGATCTTTTTCTTGAGGACGAAGGGCACCATTTTGGATGTCGATCCTCTATGCTCTACTGTGATATAGTGATGCCCCAAGATCTCACTGGGTGAGTGAAGCATTTGCCCCCAAACCCTGCATTCAGCTGTGTTTTGAATTCTTTTGTTTCATTTTTTGTAATTTTTGTTTCCTCCTCCTCATTAGGCTGACAGTTGGCTCTGTTTTGCAGTCAGTATTTCAGTTTGCTGTAAGTACCCCTTCTCTCACAGCTCTCATCCTAATATCTTATTCTATTCTGCCCTAGGCTTAGAAACTAGATAAATAAGCTTGGCTACATTGTTTGTAAAGTGAAAGTAAATAGCCTCCAAGGGAGGGCCTCAAAGCTTTCCTATGGGAAAGTGTGTGAGCTTCCTCTGCACTGGCCTTTGCTAACATCTCTTTTGCCTCTAAAGCCTTTTTTGCTTACATCCTGCTTCTTGTCTCTGCTAGATCTGTGAGGTCAGGTCGTTGGATGACTGCACACTGGATAGGTGAATAATAACAGCTTGCTTTTTTTTCTTATAAATTGACTCAGAGATACTGTAAAAATATATTTTTGCATTTGAATAATCCGTATTCTTAGCATGGCGCTATTAACTGGATCCTTTGCAAATCAGAATAAAAAATAACAGCCGTAGAACCACAGAATACCTTTGGGCAATTTGGTTACTTACAATGCAAACTATAACGCTGACCTTGGGGGCTTTTGAACCACAGCTGTCAGTTTAAACAAAACTCCAAACCTAATTAAACATTTGTTGGATGGGATGCTAGTTTGAGAACTGGTTGGGCAGCTTTTAAAACTTAATGATGCAGTTCTTCACCAGAAAACATATAGAAGTATTAATACTTGGTACATATATGATTTAAGGCTAACTATAAGGACTTCATTTCATTACTTTTTAGAAAATGGAGAAGAATTTCGTGCACACAGATTAATTGTAGTGTTTATGAATTTTCTTTACTTAGTTGTTACATTGTAAAATTGAGGTGAAGCTGTTTTCCCATACCCCTCTCTGCCCCTCCCTTCCCTGCTCCTTTTCTTTTTCTAATTCTTCTCTGTCAACACAATTCATACATTGTTCTTAGATTCCTGTCATTATCCATTTGAATATTTAAATAACCATAGTCAGGCTTTTTAACTTTCACTTGGCTCTTAGAAATTGAATATATGCACTGTTTATGTTATATATATATATATATATATATATATATATATATATATTTTTTTTTTTTTTTTTTTTTTTTTTTTCCATCCATGATTCATTTTTGGGTCATTAATGAAAACAATGAATTTTCCTTTCATAAATATTGTCAAGTACCTTCAAGCTGCCACATATTAGAGATATTTAATCTCCCATATGTACATTTTAATGTATGAAAATAAAAGGAACATTTCTGCACCTAAGTTGTTTAATGTGTCTCAAGTACAGAGGGTGCCAGGCACTGTGGTGCACACCTGTAGTCCCAGCTACTTGGGAGGCTTGAGGCGGGCGGATGCTTGAGGCCAGGAGTTTGAGGCTGCAGTGTGCTGTGATTGCTCCTGTGAGTAGCCACTGCACTTCAGCCCTGGCAACATAGCAAGACCCTGACTCTAAATATAAAAAAAAGTATAGCGGGCACAAATGGGGCGAAGCCAGGGTGGGATGCAGAGTCTAGAGGGAGATGAAGCTGGAGAGGCAGGCAGTGGTCAACATGTGGCCATGGAAAATAGTTTAGGTTTGATTCTGATGGCACTGGGCTGCCATTAGAGGGTTTGAAGCAGGTCAGTGATGTGATACAACTAAAGTCTTCAACAGATCATTCTGGAGACAGTGCTAACATGGACTGGTGGGCAAAAGAGTGAGAAGCCGAAGCCTTAATCCAGAAGGAAATGAAATATGTCTGAATTCAGGCAGGGCAGTAAGGCTGGAGAGCAGGGCATGGTTAAACAGGACAGCAAGTACTCAGGTGATGGACTCAGCGTTAGGTGGTTGAAATGACAGTAAACTATTAGATTGAACCATATGAAATTGCTGTTTTTATAGGTAAAAAATGATCAGATCAGCAATTTTATATGGTTCACCTTAATCCATTGCACAGGTTGAGGAGCGATGGTGAACACCCGATCAGAGAATAATTTACAGTAAGACTGGCTGTGATAGAAAGAAATTGGACTACAGCTGAAAGAGGTTAAATAGGGATTTTCTTTTAAATGAATGTTTATATGAGGAGAGGAATGATCTAGCAGAGAGAGAGAGACGGAAGATGCAAGAAGAAATAGATTTAATTTTTGTTGTTGCTGTTATTATTTTAGTGCTTTATTTTTGTTATATTTTAACTTTTATTTTGATCAAAGTAATACATGAACATAGTTTTAAAAAATCATATAGTATGACTAGGCTTATTGAAGCAGTTCCTCGTCAAACCTTTTTACACCTCTCATTTGTACTCCCTAAAGACAACAACTTCCCAGCCTTTTAGTTACTTCATCTTATAAATGCCTTTATATTCTAAATCATATCTTAATGTTACTAGTTTCTGACTTCCCCGCCTCCATTAAGAGAAGATTTGTTGATTCCTATTATGGAATATAATGATTTATTGCTTTGACTAGCACCCACCCCTACCCATGGCACATGCACTTTCCTAGCTTCCCAACATAGCTAATTATAATTTTTGATGTCTGCAATATTATATTTAGGTAGATGCCACAGGTAACATTTCCTTTGTCAAGTAGCTGCTTTTTCCTATACAGTTCATGATTGCAAGGTTTATTTTTTTCACGAAATAACTTAATTTTTCTATGTGTACATCACTAAGTTATCCCTAAACTCTTTATACACATTTAAATGTCTTCTTAAAATATTCAGACACATCAGGTAATCTCTCCTATTCTTTTTTTTGAGACATTCCTCTTGGAGCCCTTTGATCTGGTATAATCAGGATTAATGGCCCTCTGGGCTTGCTACTTAGCAGTGGCTCCGGCCTTTGCCTTCATCTGTTGATTGGATCCCATATCTTCCCCTTTCTTAATTTACTAACTCTACCAACAAAGGATACATGGGAAATATATATGACATGAAATGATGTGGCTCCTCTTTCATTTATTTGCGATGGATCCTGAGTGGTCCTTTCATTCCAACATCCTTCATTTCTGGGAAATTTCCTTTTAAAATATTTTCCCCTTTGTTTTCTCAATTCTCACTTTCTGTAACTTCTATTATTTGGATGTTGGGGGTCTGGACTGATTGTCTTATTTTTATATGTCTCTCCTATTTTCTTTTTTGTTCCCTCCTTTTCTGAGAGGATGTTTTCAATTTTAGCTTCTTACTTTGCATCAAAGTATTAATTCCTGCTAGCATGTTTCATGTTTAACACTTGCTGTCTTCTGCTATGGTCGGGGAGAGATGTTACTGGACTGTGTGGAGGTGGATCTAGGGAGGCTGTTTTCAGTCCACTTGCACTATCATTTTTGGAGTTAGGTGCCTCCAATTCCTAAATCTTTCTGAGGTCTTATGATATGACTTGTTTTGCTTCTGGGCTTTCATTTTAGAAAATGTAGTTACATTTCTTAGAGAGTTGTTGATAAAATAATAAGAAAATATTTACAAGACATTCTCTTGTCAACTTATTCATATTTGTTGTTGTTTTTAAGGTACACCTTTTTTATTTATTTATACACTGGCAACATACTACATGCATTATAATAGTCGGTCACAAGAATAAATAACCATCTTGTTTAATACATTTTGAGGTTCTTACTGTCTATCGAGTCATGTCCAAAGTAAACTTCCTTTTATATATTTGTCCCCAATTAGAAGAGTGTTTATTTAAAGCAGTGTCTTCTTATAGTTAAAGCTTGTCTAAGAAAATTGTTTCTATAGATGCTTAATATAGTTTGTATGTTTGTTCATGCCCAAATCTCATACTGAAATGTAATCCCCAATACTGAAGGTGGGGCCTGTTGTGAGGGGACTGGATCATGGGGATGGTTTTCTCATGAATGATTTAGCACCACCCTGCTTGGTACTGTCTTTGAGATAGCGAGTGAGTTATTGTGAGATCTGGTCATTTAAAAGTGAGCAGTTTGTAACTCAAAGGATAAGTGCTTGAGGGGATGGATACCCCATTTTCCGTGATGTGGTTGTTTCACATTGCCCCATAAATATATACACTTATGTACCCACAAAAAATTTAAAAATAATGAAAAAAAATTAAAAGTATGTAGCACCCACCCCCTCACTCTCTTGCTCCTACTTTTGGAATATGGCATGGCTACTCCCCCTTTGCCTTCTGCCATGATTGGAAGCTTCCTGAAGCCTCCCCAGAAGCAGATGCCGCTATGCTTCCTGTACAGCCTGCAGAACCGTGAGCCAATTAAACTTCTTTTCTTATAAATGACCCAGTCTCAGGTATTTCTTTATAGCAATGTGAGAAAGGACTAATACAATGCTTTTTAGAAATCCTTTCTTTATAGAAAATATATTAAACGTAGCCTTAAGAAAATAGAAGAACTGACAGAATTATCACTCAGAGGGTAAGCAGCTCAGGGATAAATTTTTCTCCTTTTTAATTTAATCTCATGAATTTAAGAGAAAATATATAGTTGATATCCAGACAAAATTCAAATTATTTTACATAATAGCACGCCCAGAATATGGTCAAGTCAGGTATTTGAATCTTTGAAAACTGTGGTTTTCTAATGCACAAGGAATGATGTTAGGTTTCCTAATCTATTTATGTTTATCTGAAGATTATACTTTCCTGTTTATCAATTTGTTCCTTCCCTTATTTCTAAATTGATACTAAGTGCATGATTTTAGTACCCTGGGAATGGGTTTGGAAATACTGCGAGGGAGTTATTTTGGCTGCTCTTCGCATGTGCATTATAGTTACTGCCATTGACAGCTCTCATTACCCCAGCTGTCAAACTACTTGCTTGTCCAGTGTAGCAGGCCCAGACATTTTGACACAAAGACTGGAAAAGCAAGAATCATGGCCAAATACCACCCTTGAATTATCATACTCTAAAGATAAATATTTACGATAAAACATAAATTGATAAATATATTTATCTAAATAGAGAAGCTGATCTAGAAGAGCAAAAACAAAAAACCATAAAATTCTAGGAAAAAAATGGATAGTTTCTCATATTATTCTATTTTTAGTTTAACTTTCTGCATTTTATTTCCAGCAGTTTGAGAATAAAACTTCGTGTTTTAATTTCTGTATTGCTACTTTGCTACCATGCTATTAATGAGTCATGACATCTTGAATTTATGGGGTACAAGCAGCCAAGCAGTCTTAACCTTTTTCCCAGAACTTCCTTTGTGTTAGTTTGAAGTACCTTTCTTTCTCTTGAACTTTCTGCCATGTCTATGATAAAGGTATGTGACTTCCCTGTTCTAGATTTTTATTTTCCTAACAGCTCCTCCCAGGCTTACTCAGCATGACTCAGCAGCATGAAAGGACCCCAAATAATGTGCACAGGGACCAACAGAGGACAATGAAATAAGACTGTGAATTCCCAAGAAATACGATGACATTCAGGAACAATTATTTGATACCACTACCCAGTATTTCATTCATGGACATTAATAGGGGTCTTTGTTACAAAATCAGTCTTCTTTGTAGTCCACAATTGAAGGCTACACATCTTTAGACTTTTAACCATCTCTCTTGACTTCAGCTTTTTTTTTTTTTTAATTTGTAAAGTTGGAATAATAGCAACTACCACATGGGTTTGTTGTGAGGACTAAGTGAAATAATGATTGTAAGGTGTTCATCAATGCCTGGCACACTGTAAGTGTTCAATAATAGCTCTCATCTCCACAGTACCTTCTTTTGCTAATCTCTTGTTAGTTATCTAGCCTTTGGAGCTGGTTAGGATTTTTTTGGAAACAAACAAATGTCACTTAGAGCAATGTCTTGCAAATTAAATGTGTGAACACTTTGATTGGAGTGAAACCATCTTGAATCAAAAATCCAGGTGTAGCAGTGAAGAAGGAAGACAAATTTTCTTTTGTGAATGGCAAGTGGTCTCTGAAGTCAATTCCAAAAGGCATCCCAAAAACTACAGACATAAGTATAGAGCTTCCAAGATAGACTCCTTTAAAGTAGTTGGCAACCTTGAGGATGCAAAGAATTGTTGCTCTGTGTTAACTCACCCATAAAACATCTTTGAACAGCTACTATGTACCAGATATTGTTGTAAAGTCCCTGTTTTATCATCTGGTGAGAGAGACAGGCTTCAAACTCTAAACAATTTTGTAAGCTGCCTTGTGCTGTGAGAGTCTATGGGTAGTTAACCTAGTCAGGTGTGTGTGTGTGCGTGTGTGTGTGTGTGTGTGTGTGTGTGCGTGTGTGTGTGTATTGATGGGCATTTGACTTGAGAGGATTGCCTTTACTTCAGTGTGAAGAATGAATAGCTGTGGTGGAAGGAGGTTAGAAGTCTGGGTTATAATGGTTAAGAGGCTCCAGTGGGGATTCCAGAGACTTTCAGGCAGCAAATTTAAGGGTTTAGTTAAATTAGATTTAGAAGGTGAGAGAAAGGAGAGACATCAAGGATGGCTCCTCCTTTTTGGCATTTTCAGCTGGCTCCTTGGAATTCCAGGGATGGGGAACACCAGGCGAGAAGTACCTTCTTGAAATCTGCAAGGAACTAGGGGTGGTTGATCCTAAAAGCACATTCTAGTAGCCTAAATGTATAACAACCTAAATGCCAAATAGAAGTACAAGTAATGTGGCCAGGAGTGGTGGCTCACGCCTGTAATCCTGGCATTTTGGGAGGCCGAGGCGGGTGGATCACCTGAGGTCAGGCGTTCTAGACCAGCCTGGCCAACATGGCGAAACCCCGTCTCTATTAAAAATACTAAAAAATTAGCCAGGCGTAGTGGCGCATACCGGTAGCCCCAGCTACTCGGCAGGCTGAGGCAGGAGAACCGCTTGAATCCGGGAGGCGGAGGTTGCAGTGAGTCGCGATTGCGCAGTTGTACTCCAGCCTGGGCAACATGAGCGAAACTCTGTCTCAAAAAAAAAAAAAAAAAAAAAAAAAAATACAAGTAATGTGTTGTGGGATCAATAAATTCTGAGTGAGTGTTTAAGGAGTGGCATTTTAATAAAAAATAGTTTTCAAAAGGTGTGGAAGTTTTGGAAGCTTTCTATTTAAAAAAAAAAAAAAAAGACCATTTCCATCAAATAAAACAAAAAAATCTTTCTTATCTTCCTGTGCTGCGTGGGGAACTACCCAGGAGAGTGTTTGGGAAGTGAATTCCTGAGTGGGAGAAAAGCATAAACGAGGACGCCGAGCCAAGAAAGGGCCTGGTGTCTCTGGGGGACTGAATATCCTAATGTGAATGGTGTGAACAATCTACAAAGAAAAATGAAAAGCTTATTTGTTGGCTTTATGAATTGAAAATTATTTAATACACTATTATTAAGTAGATTTCTTTCAAAGATGATAATGTAGTAAAATAGTATTTTAATAAAAAATCAAGTTAAAGTAGAGAGGAAGAGCAGAGTGGTTGCTTAATTCTTAGGCCTAAATTCTAAATGAAATTAATTTTGGAGGAAGATGCCAATTTATCTTGTTTTTCAAACAACCTGGTATGAAACAGAGTGATAAAATCAGCATAGCCCATGTAACTCTATTACATAAAGGAGAGAGTTTGATTTTTTTTGTATGTACCAACCGTTAAAAACATTTTTGTCTGACCTTGCAGGATGAAAAATTCATTCCTTTGGTTCATTTTAGAGATGCATTTGTTCCAAAGAGAGGTACTTTTTTATTATTTGTCATTTACATCAAGGATGGCCAGACTTTTTCTGTAAAGAGCTAAATAGTAAATAGTTTAAGCTTTGTTGAACCAGGAGACAAAATCAAGGATAGTATTTAGGCACTTATATAACAAGAGAGAAAATAATTTCCACAAATTTTTAATTGATGAAATTCAAAACATTATTAATGGATATGGAAATTTAAATTTCATGTAATTATTCTCACTTATGAAATATTCTTCTTTTTAAAAAACACCATTAAAATATAAAAGAACTGTTCTTAGCTTATAGGCCAAACAAAAACAGGTGGTGAGCCAGATTTGGTCTGTGGGCCCTTCCTTTGCCAACACTTATTTACATTACACTGTGAAAGAAAGAGTCTGTTAGTCATTTTATGGGATCAGGGTTTTCTCTTTGGAACAAAGGAGAGACCATGAGGACATTGGCCATTGTTACTTGAAAGTGTGTGTGAGGTGGTGGGGGCCTGGTGTGGGCATTTTGGGTTTGTCTGATCTTTTGGTTTTCTACTTTTAGAAAAGCCCTGGGTAGCTGGGAGCTGAATAATGTACACACATGGATGTAGTGTATGGAATGACAGACAGTGGAGACTTGGCAGGGTGAGAGGGTTGGCAGGAAATGGAGGATAAGAAATTACTTAATGAGTACATTGGGTTATTTGGGTGAAAGATACCTTAAAAGCCTTGACTTCTACACAATCTATGCACATAGCAAAAACTACATTTACACACCATACATTTAAACAAGAAAGAAAAGAAAAGTCCTGGGTAAGTAAAATGTCTGAAAAAGCCTTTAAAAATTTTTTTATTTTAGGTTCAGGGGTGCGTATGCAGGTTCATTATACAGATAAACTCACGTCATGGGGATTTGTTGTACAGATTATTTCATCACCCAGGTACTAAGCCTAGTACTCAATAGTTATTTTTTTCTGCTCCTCTCCCTCCTCCCACCCTTCACCCTCAAGTAGGCCCCAGTATCTGTTGCTCCCTTGTGTCCATGAGTTCCTTCCTTTGTGTAATTTAGCTCCAACTTACAAGTGAGAATATGTGGTATTTGTTTTTCTGTTCCTGTATTCGTTTGCTAAGGATAATGGCCTCCAGCTCCATCCATGCTCCCACAAAAGACATGATCTTATTATTTTTTTTTATGGCTGCATAGTATTTCATGGTATATACGTACCACATTTTCTTTATTCACTCTACCATTGATGGACATTTAGGTTGATTCCATGTATTTGCTATTGTTAATAGTGCTGTAATGGACATTTGTGTGCATGTATCTTCATGGTAGAATGATTTATATTCCTCTGGGTATGTAACAACCTAAATGGGATTGCTGGGTTGAATGGTAGTTCTGTTTTTAGCTCTTTGAGGAATTGCCACACTGCTTTCCACAATAGTTGAACTAATTTACACTCCTGCCAACAGTGTATATGTGTTCCTTTTTCTCCACAACCTCTCCAGCATCTGTTATTTTTTCGACTTTTTTAATAATAGCCATTCTGACTGATATGAGATGGTATCTCGTTGTCGTTTTATTTTATTTTATTTTATTTTATTTTAATTTTGAGATGGAGTTTCACTCTTGTTGCCCAGGCTGGAGTGCAATGGCACAATCTTGGCTCACTGCAACCTCCCAGGTTCAAGCGATTCTCCTGCCCAGCCTCCCGAACAACTGGGATTACAGGCACATGCTACCATGTCCAGCTAATTTTTGTATTTTTAGTAGATACAGGGTTTCTCCATGTGGGTCAGGCTGGTCTCGAACTCCTGACCTCAGGTGATCCGCCCACCTTGGCCTCCCAAAGTGTTGGGATTACGGATGTGACCCACCGCGCTTGGCCTTCGTTGTGGTTTTGATTTGCGTTTCTCTAATGGTTAGTAAATTTTTTTTCATAAGCTCATTGGCTGCATCTGTGTCTTCTTTTGAGAAGTGTCTGTTCATGTCATTTGCCCACTTTTTAATAGAGCCGTTTGCTTTTTCTTGGAAATTTGTTTAAGTTCCTTATAGATGCTACATATTAGACCTTTGCCAGATGCATAGTTTGCAAAAATTTTCTCTCATTCGGTAGGTTGTCTGTTCACTCTGTTTATAATTTCCTTTGCTGTGTAGAAGCTCTTAGGTTTAATTAGATCTTATTTGTCAATTTTTGTTTTGGCTGCAATTACTTTTGGCATTGTCATCATGAAATCTTTGGCCGTTCCTATGTCTAGGATGGTATTGCCTAGGTTGTCTTCCAGGGTTTTTTTTTTAATTTTAATTTTTAGTTCTGGGATACGTGTGCAGGATGTGCAGGTTTGTTATGTAGGTAAACGTGTGCCACAGTGGTTTGCTGCACCTGTCAACCCATCACTTAGGTATTAAGCCCATCATGCATTAGTTATTTTTCCTAATGCTCTCCCCCACACCTCACCCCTGGACAGGCCCCAGTGTGTGTTGTTCCCCTCTCTGTGTCCATGTGTTCTTATTGTTCAGCTTCCACTTACAACTGAGAATATGTGGTATATTTGGTTTTCTATTACTGCGTTAGTTTGCTGAGGATAATGGCTTCCAGCCTGGCTGCGTAGTATTCCATGGTGTATATGTACCACATTTTCTTTATCCAGTCCATCACTGATGAGCATTTAGATTGATTCCATGTCTTTGCTATTGTGGACAGTGCTGCAGTGAACATTTGTGTGCATGTACCTTTGTAATAGAATGATTTATATTGCTTTGGGTATATACCTCATAGTGGGATTGCTGGGTCAAATGGTATTTCTGGTTCTAGATCTTTGAGGAATTGCCACACTGTTCAATGGTTGAACTAATTTACACTCCCACCAATGGTGTAAAACGTTCCCATTTCTCCACAGCTGTGCCAGAATCTGTTGTTTCTTGACTTTTTAATACTGGCCGTTCTGACTGGCATGAGATGGTATCTTATTGTGGTTTTGATTTGCATTTCTCTAATGATCAGTGATGTTGAGCCTTTTTCATATGTTTGCTGGCTACATGAATGTCTTCTTTTAAGAAATGTCTGTTCATGTCCTTTTCCCACTTTTTAATAGGGTTGTTTGTTTTTTTCTTGTAAATTTGTTTGAGTTCCTTTGTAGATTCTGGATATTAAACCTTTGTTGGATAGGTAGATTGCAGAAATTTTCTCCCACTCTGTAGGTTGCCTGTTCACTCTGATGACAGTTTCTTTTGCTGTGCATAAGCTCTTTAGTTTAATTAGATCCCGTTTGTCAATTTTTGCTTTTGTTGCAATTGCTTTTCATGTCTTTGCCATACAATCTTTGCCCATGCCTATGTCCTGAATGGTATTGCCTAGATTCTCTTCTAGGATCTTTATAGTTTGGGATTTTACATTTAAATCTTTAATCCATCCAAGGTTTGAGGAAGGGGTCCAGTTTCAATTTTCTGCAAATGGATAGCCAGTTCTCCTAGCACCATTTATTGAATAGGGAATCCTTTTCTCATTGCTTGTTTTTGTAAGGTTTGTTGAAGATTAGATGCTTGTAGCTGTACTATCTTAATTCTGAGTTCTCTATTCTGTTCCATTGGTCTATGTGTCTGTTTTTGTACCAGTACCATGCTGTTTTGGTTATTGCAGCCTTATAGTATAGTTTGAAGTCTGGTAGCAAGATGCCTCCAGCTTTGTTCTTTTCTCTTAGAATTGTCTTGGCTATATGGGCTCTTTTTTGGTTCCATATGAACTTTAAAATAGTTTTTTTCTAATTCTGTGAAGAATTTCAATGGTAGTTTAATGGGAATAGCATTAAATCTATAAATTACTTTGGGCAGTATGACCATTTTCACGATATTGATTCTTCTTATGAGCATGGAATATTTTTCCATTTGCTTGTGTCCTCTCTGGTTTCCTTAAGCAGTGGTTTGTAGTTCTCCTTGAAGAGGCCCTTCACTTCCCTTGTTAGCTGTATTCCTAGGTATTTTATTCTCTTTGTAGCAATTGTGAATGGGAGTTCATTCATGATTTGGCTCTCCACTTGTGTGTTGTTGGTGTACAGGAATGCTAGCAATTTTTGCGCACTGATTTTGCTGAAGTTGCTTATCGGCTTAAGAAGCTTTTGGGCTTAGAAGATGGGGTTTTCTAGATATAGGATCATGTCATCTGCAAACAAAGACAATTTGACATCCTCCCTTCCTATTTAAATATGCTTTATTTTGTTCTTTTGCCTGATTGCCCTGGCCAGAACTTCCAATACTATGTTAAATAGGAGTGGTGAGAGAGGGCATCCTTGTCTTGTGCCAGTTTTCAAAGGAAATGCTCCCAGCTTTGCCCA
Organism: Homo sapiens; assembly: GCF_000001405.40. Taxonomy (NCBI): domain Eukaryota; kingdom Metazoa; phylum Chordata; class Mammalia; order Primates; family Hominidae; genus Homo; species Homo sapiens. The sequence continues at coordinate 37,662,264 of NC_000014.9, forward strand.
TTCAGTATGATATTGGCTGTGGGTTTATCATAAATGGCTTTTATTATTTTGAGATATGTTCCTTCAATACTTTGTTTATTGAGAGTTTTAAACATGAAGATATGTTGACTTTTATTTAAGGCCTTTTCTGCGTCTATTGAGATAATCACATGGTTTTTGTCTTTAGATCTGTTTATATGATGAATTACGTTTATTGATTTGCGTATGTTGAACCAGCCTTGCATCCTGGGACTGAAGCCAACTTGATCGTGGTCTTCTAGGGTTTTTATAGTTTTGGATTTTACATTTAAGTCTTTACTCTGTCTTGAATTGATTTTTGTATATGGTGAAAGGAAGGGGTCCAGCTTCAGTCTTCTCCATATGGCTAGCCAGTTCTCCCAGCACCATTTATTGAATAGGGAGTCCTTTCCCCATCGCTTCTTGTTGTTAGCTTTGTTGAAGATCAGATGGTTGTAGGTGTGTGGCCATATTTCTGGGCTCTCTATTCTGTTTCATTAGTCTATGTGCCTGTTTTTGTATCAGTACTATGCAGTTTTGTTTACTGTAGCCCTGTAGTATAGTTTGAAGTTGGGTAGCAACTTGCTTAGGATTGCCTTGGCTATTTGGGCTCTTTTTTGGTTCCGTGTGGATTTTAAAATAGTTTTTCCCTAGTTCTGTGAAGAATGTCATTAATAGTTTGATAGTCATACCATTGAATCTGCAAATTGTTTTGGGCAGTATGGCCATTTTAATGATATTGATTTTTTTTTTATCCATGAGCATGGAATGTTTTTCCGTTTGTTTTTGTCATCTCTGATTTCTTTGAGCAATGTTTTGTAATTCTCATTGTAGAGCTCTTTCACCTCCCTGGTTAGCTGTATTCCTGTATTCCTAGGCATTTTATTTTTTTTGTGGTAACGGTGAATGGGATTGCATTCCTGGCTTATTTCTTGGCATGACTGTTGTTGGTGATTTTTGTACATTCCTGGTGAATTTTGTGCGTTGATTGTGTATCCTGAAACTTTGCTGAAGTTGTCAGCTGAAGGAGCTTTTGGATTGAGATTATGGGTTTTTCTAGATATACTGAAAAAGTCTTTATTTCACCTTCATTTTTGAAATGTATACAAAATTAAATGACTGTGGAAACTCAAATGATGTTTTTGAGAATATATCTGTGCTTTCACTCTAAAATTTGGGTCTTTTGCCTTACAAAAATGTAATCAATCATTGTATTGCACAGTTACATTTTTTTAAACATTATTTATTATGATAAGTTATCAAGATTTGTGAGTTAATTTGAAGTGTTCATCCCCAATTATCCTACTCATACTATCAAATTCAAACTTTTTTACCTTATTAGTTATGCCAGTTACAAAGATTTTGAGAAAATATTGGTGTTGTGTCACAGTTGGCTGTCTTTGAAAAATCAAACACTGCTATGATGAAAGTTAGTATGAGGTTCATGTGATGAGGAGGTCATGTTCCCAAATCAGCACTTACTTTAAAAAACCCTGTTGTCTCAGACCAAAAGCTTCTTACATTGATAAGCAACTTCAGCAAATTCTCAGGACACAAAATCAGTGTGCAAAAGTTGCTAGCATTCTTGTACACCAACAACAGGCAAGCAGAGAGCCAAATAATGAATGAACTCCCATTCACAATTGCTACAGAAAGAATAAATACCTAGGACTATAGCTAATAAGGGAAGTGAAGGACCTCTTCAAGGAGAACTATAAACCACTGCTCAAAGAAATCAGAGATGACCCAAACAAATGGAGAAACATTTCTTGCTCATGGATAGGAAGAATCAATATTGTGAAAATGGCCATACTGCCCAAAGTAATTTATAGATTTAATGCTATTCCCATTAAACTACCATTGACATTCTTCACAGAATTAGAAAAAGCTATTTTAAAGCTCATGTGGAACAAAAAAAGAGCCCATGTAGCCAAGGCAATCCTAAGTGAAAAGAATAAGGCTGGAGGCATCACACTGCCCAATTTCAAACTATACTAAAGGCTACAGTAACCACAACAGCATGGTACTGGTACAAGAACAGACACATAGATGAATAGAACAGAATAGAGAGCTCAGAAATGAGACGTCGCACCTACAACCATCAGATCTTTGACAAAGCTGACAACAAGAAGCAATGGAGAAAAGAATCCCTATTTAATAAATGGCACCAGGAGAAGTGGTTATCCATATGTAGAAAATTGAAACTGGACCCTTTCCTCACACCATATACAAAAATTAACTCAAGATGGATTAAAGACTTAAATGTAAAACCCCAAACTACAAAGACCCTAGAAGAAAATCTAGGCAGTATCATCAGGATAGAGGTATGGGCAAAGATTTCAAGATGAAAATGCCAAAAGCAATTGCAACAAAAGCAAACATTGACAAATGGGATCTAATTAAACTAAACAGCTATTCCACAGCAAAAGAAACTATAATCAGAGTGAACAGACAACCTACAAAATTGGGGAAAATTTTTGCAATCTATCCATCTGACAAAAGTCCAATATCCAGAGCTTATCAGGAACTTAAATCTACAAGAAAAAAACAAACAACCCCATTAAAAAGTGGGTAAAGGACATGAGCAGACATTTCTCAAAAGAAGACATACTTGTGGCCAGCAAACTTATGGAAAAGAGCTCAACCTTACTGATTATTAGAGAAATGAAAATCAGAACCACAATGAGATATCATCTCATGCCAGTTAGAATGGCTATTATTAAAAAGTCAAAAAACAACAGTTGCTGGAGAGGTTGTGGAGAAAAAGCAATACTTTTACACTGTTGGTGGGAGTATAAATTAGTTCAACCATTGTGGAAGACAGTGTGGCAATTCCTCAAATAGCTTGAGGCAGAAATACCATTTGACCCAGCAATCCCATTACGGGGTATATACCCAAAAGAATATAAATCATTCTACCATAAAGATACATGCATGCAAATGTTCATTGCAGCACTATTCACAATAGCAAAGACATGGAATCAACCTAAATGCCCACCAATGATAGAATGAATAAAGGAAATGTGGTATATATATACCATGGAATACTATGCAGCCATAAAAAGAATGAGATCATCTCCTTTGCAGGGACATGGATGGAGTTGAAAGCCTTTATCCTCAGCAAACTAATGCAGGAACAGAAAACCAAACACCACATGTTGTCACTTATAAGTGGGAGCTGAATGATGAGAACACATGGACACATTGAGGGAGAACAACACACACTGGAGCCAGTCAGTGGGTATGGCAGGAGGGAGAGCACCAGGAAGAACAGCTAATGGATGCTGGGCTTAATACCTAGGTGATGAGATGATCTGTGCAACGAACCACCGTGGCACGTTTACCTGTATAACAAACCTGCACGTCCTGCACATGTACCCATGAACTTAAAATAAAAGTTGAAGGAAAAAAATGATGAACTGGCAAAATTAACCTTGAGCATCTTGAAGAAAAAGGGCTATGTGAGAAGAACACAAGCAAGTTAAGCAGGGCCAAGCTGAGCTTGTGATGAACTGTCTGCTTAATATTTAGGGACTGTACCTCTCCTTAAGACCAGAATCACACTCTTTGTGATGAGATACTCAGACTCCAAGGCTGCACCAGGAACTGAGAGTGACCTGAAAGCAGCTAAATCAAGCTTGTCCTCTCATGCACACACCAGAGCCTTGATTTAGCATTACTTCTTTCCCCTCTTCTACCTCCAAAATACAGAGTTTACCCTATGGGAGCTAAATGAATATAGGATCACTAAACAACTTAACACATGAAATGATTCTAAGTGTAAATTTGATTTTAGATCATCCATCTATATTATACTGCAACTTGCAAAAGCAGTGATTTCTAGTGTTTCAGAGAGTCCTTGGGTCCTGTGGAGGGGTGAGGGCAGGAATGAGTGGGTGGGCTGTGGTCCTTCCAGCACCCTCCATTGGCCTTCATGGCTGTGGTCCTTCCAGCACCCTCCATCAGCCTTCACCTGACTGCAACATTCCCCATCGATCTGCTTTATACACTGGGCCTCCAAGTATGAGTTTGTTTGACAGATAGGTCCTACCATTTAAAAAAGTTGAAAGTGGCCAGGCTCAGTGGCTTACACTGTAATCCCGGCACTCTGGGTGGCTGAAGTGCGAGGATCACCTGAGCCCAGAAATTTGAGACCAGCCTGAGCAACATAGTGAGGCCCTGTCTCAAAAAAAAAAAAAAAAGATGAAAGCCATGGATGTAAAGTATAGTTTCAATATTCTTAATTTTCCAGTGTCATAGCAGTTTCCTGGAGCGATGCAGGTAGAGTGCCTGGTTAGGCCACCGAGGAGATTTCTTGCTTCTCTCAGAGGGTGGCTCTTTTGTCAAACTGCCCATTAACTCCCTTAGGAGAGAAAGGGATGGGAAGTAAGGAAAGATACCCTCAAAACTTGTTTGCTCAATCTGTGAAATTTACCCCCTTTTTGTAATTTATTACACATATCCTTTGAGGGGATAGGTGGGGGAAAGACAGTTACCCAACCCCTGTCCTGGTAAGGTCCACAGCAATTCAGGGCTCTCAGGGTTCCAAAGTTACACTGTGGGCTGGGACCAGGGATGCATTTTGACTTTGGTGGGCCTCAAGCACTTTTGCCTTTGGGGGCACTTCTTACCATAAAAATACTGAAAAAAAATTTTATGACTATGGTGGTATAAAAGTAAATATTATCCAGGCTGATTTTATTATTATATGTTCATTATTACTATATCTATTTTTCTTCTGATTTTTTATTTTTATTTCTTTAACTCATTCTCTATTATTGGACATTTATTGTATCTAATTTTTTACTTTTATAAACCATGCTGTTTTCTTTTGATTTTAAAATAATTTAAAAATAAAACATTTTTGTGGGTCCTTAAAATATCACGGGCCCTAGGCACTGTGCCTACCGAGTCTACTGGGTAAGTCAGCCCTGCTTGGGACAGGGAGATTAGATTGGGGGAGAAGGACTCCTCTTCATGTCTTAGTGGGACAGTTTTAAGTTAATCAATTATTTCTTATTTCACTTATACTACCCACGTTCTCATTTTCTGGTTCCCCACCCCCTGCCCAGCACATTAATACTATGAATCGGATGTGAATGTCATTGGGGTGGAAATGGAGACAGATCAGAGAGATGGAATCGCACCCTTTCCCAGAAGACCAAGGTTTTCGTATGGGGCTCTGCTCATCAAGCTTAACTTCTTCATTCATTGGGATGTTTTCCCAAGTAACTCTCCATTACTCATGCAAATGAGATTTTGAAAAGTCTGTCCTGTCAGACATTGTCAGACATGCACCAAACATGTTTGAATCCCATTTAGACTCAAGACAGGGCTCCCTATATTTAAAAAACGTTAGGGTTATTTTTATTAATCTTTTCTTTTGATCTGTAAGAATACCTTAAAAGATGAAGAATGAGAATAAGGGGTGTTTATAAGTAGATATTGTTATTTCCACTGTCTGTGCCTTAAGTTAGGCTCTTACCAGCTTTCACTTGGATCCTTACAGTGTCTTCACGACCAACTTTCAGTTTTTACCTCCACTAAAGTTTATTCACCAGACACTAGTATTAATTTATTTTAAAATTTGGCTGGGGCCGGGCATGGTGGTTCACACCTGTAATCCCAGCACTTTGGGAGGCTGAGCGGGTGGATCATGAGGTCAGGAGTTCAAGACCAGCCTGGCCAACATAGTGAAACCCCATCTCTACTAAAAATACAAAAATTAGCCGGGCATGATGGTACACACCTGTAGTCCCAGCTACTTGGGAGGCTGAGGCAGGAGAATCGCTTGAATCTGGGAGGTAGAGGTTGCAGTGAGCTGAGATCATGCCACTGCACACCAGCCTGGGCGACAGTGTGAGACTTCATCTAAAAAAAAAAAAATTTGGCTGGATACCTCCTGACTGCAGGATATAGTCGAATTCCAAACCGTAGATAGCATAGAGGGTTCTTCATAATTTGACCTTACTAGCATTATTTTTTTCTTTTTCCTTCTAATCTATTCACCAGTTGTATCAGTCAGTTAATGCTATGTAACAAACTCTCAAAACTAAGGGCTTAGTACCAAACAATATTACTATAGCTCTCACCTTTGTGGATTGGCTGGAGTCAGCTAATCTAGGCTGGGTTCTATTCTGGCTGGAGACTTTAGCTTGGTCAGCTCTGTTCCATGTGGCACATTTAGACCAGAGACCTCCATGCAATTTTATCCCCCTGGAACTAGTGGATTGACTAGGCATGCACTTCTCATAGTAACAGAAGAAGTTCAAAAGAGCAACCTGCAAGCTCTTGAGTCCTAGGGTAGGAATTGGCGCATCGTTACTTTTGGCCCATTTTACTGGCTAAAGCAATAAAATGGATAAATCCAGAGACTCATGGATACATCCAGAGTCAGGAGGCAGAAAAATAAACTTTGCCTCTTGATGGAAAAAATCTGCAAAGTCACATGGCAAAAGGTGTGGACAGAGTGAGAGGTGAAAAATTGAGGCTGTTAATACAAAATTTACCACACCAGCAATCCACTGAATTTTAAAATTTCCTGAACATACCATGTCTGTTTATGAAAGGGATGATAAGGATTCATTCCAGGTCATTGAGTCATGAGGAAGCTTGGAAAGTTTATTATTGCTTAAAGACTGTCGTGATGTCTCTTGCTTCTTGGTTCTGTGACTTCTTTGGTCCTTCCCTCACTGATTCTGTTAATCCAGACAGCCTTTCCATACCACCTACATGATAAGAGTCTGTTTCTGATGCTTCCAACTGAAAACCTTGACTGAATAGCTTGATAACTTGAATAATCTCATTGCTTCTGCCCAAAGATTGTCTTTCTTGCAAAGTGAGAGAAGAGAAATGAAAGAAGTGAATAATGTGGTAAAAGTTTCCACACCTTCATATAAATGAAATTAATGGAGTGATTTCCTTTTTGAATTAGAATCTGGCTGTGAGCAAAACCATGTTAGAGAACCAAATAAGCACACAACCATGGGGCTCATCACTACCCCTTGGAAGTGCATCTGGGGATGGGGAGTGAGGGAGCCAATGTGAAGATGCTTTCCATCCTAACCCTGTTTGAGTACAGTAAGTGGCACGTGTGCACCTGCCCCAGGGGAAGAGAAAGGATCTCAAAATCAATCTAAGGAGTGTTTCTCCACTTGCAGTTCTCTTTGTATCCACTGGACACATTTAGTTTCTACTTCTTTCTTAAGAACTATTTTAAGGAAGTGCTGCCTTCTATTCTAAATATAATATTCCCCTTCCTTGCCCGAACTCCTTGGTACAAGTTTACTTTGTGCCTCTCTTACGACATGTATTATTGTTATTTATCTACACATCAATATATATGTTCATCTAGGCTGTGACTACCTTAGTGATCATAATAGACTTTTGTCTTTCTATTTTTAGTAGGATGGATCAAATGAATGCTGAATTTGTTTTATAAGACCATAATCTGGAGGCAAGATTATTTATCTTTTGCTTTTTCATCCTTCACATCACCTCATATAATTCCTTGGACTTAGAAGTCACTCTATAAATAAATATTTGTTGAATGATGTAAACAAAAATATGCTTACTCTTGAGGCTCTGAATTTTATTATTGAAGTATTTATTTATGTTATTAAATCCTCTGTGAGATTAGGAGGCTTAAGAGAATATTCTTATGGATTCTTCTTAAAATTTATCATTTCCTCTCCCAGATCCATACGAGAAAAATTTGGAGGAGATGGAATTTAGTATGGAGAAGAGATGACTGATGGCTGATTATTAATGCTCTTTCACAGGTGATATGAATCAATCACTCTTCATCTTAATTAGGGAAGGTATATGTATTCCCTAAAATATAAACATAGGTTAGATGTTATTAAATACAGATTTCTGTTTGTTAGGGGACTTACAGAGTTTCTCTCATTGGCTTTGTTTAATAATAGGACAAAGAACTATGTTCTTGTTGTGGGCTTATGACAAGTCTTGCCTACAGAAAGCTCTTTAATTTTCTGTAATTCCATAGTTTTCACAAATACTGTAGCAATGACACATGGAATGTGTCTTTCAAAGTTACTGACAATATAGTGAAATGTTACGTGATTAAATACATTTCGTGATATTTGGGATAATTATGTGGGACAAAGGAGGGCATATTAACTATTACACAGTATGTTTTGTTAACACATGTACTTTGCATTTTTCCTAAGGATCTAGCACAAACTACCTCACTTTTTTTTTTTTTTTTTTTTTAGTCTCCCTCTGTTGTCGAGGCTGGAGTGCAGTGGCGTAATCTTGGCTCACTGCAACCTCCACCTCCCAGGTTCAAGCAATTCTGGTGCCTCAGCCTTCCGAGTAGCTGGGATTACAGGCATCCACCATCATGCCCGGCTAATTTTTGTATTTTTAGTAGAGATGGGGTTTCACCATGTTGGCCAGGCTGGTCTGGAACCCCTGACCTAGAGTGATCTGCCTGCCTCAGCCTCCCAAAGTGCTGGGATTACAGGTGTGAGCCACTGTGCTGAGCCAAACTACCTCACTTTTTAATGGGTTTGTAAAGCAATATGTATCTTTTAAAAAGGCTAAGAAAAATTATGCAATAATAGGTAATAATGAAGAAACACATACCTAAATAATAAAAATTATGAGATTTTGAGATTTTAGGTTCTTTAGGAAATGCCATGAAATATCTGAAGAGCTAGAGTTTTAGAGCCTTTTTAAAGTTATTTATTTCTGTGCAACAAATCACCCCAAAATTTAGCAGCTTAAAACAATGAACATTTAGTTCACACAGTTTTTATGGGTAGTGAATCTAGGAGCAACTTATCTATGTAATTCTAGCCTGTGGGCTTGTGTCAAGATCTTGTCTGGGGCTGCTGTCGTTTGAAGACTTGATTGAGACTGAGGGATCTGCTCCCAGGATGCCTCAGTCATAAGACTGGCAATTTGGTGCTGGTTGTTGGCAGGAGACCTCCCCATGGGACTGCTTAAGTGTTGTTATCACATGGCAGATGGCTTCCCCTAGAATGAGTGATCCAGAGAGGGCAATGCGGAACTTGCCATATTTTTTTTGAAATAGCCACACACTGTAATTTCTGCTATATCTTATTGATTACACAGGTCTGCCCTATTCATTGAGGAGGTGACCATTCAGGAGGTGGGAATCATTGGGGATCATCTTGGACAATAGCTACTAGAGCCTTTTTGAAATAAGATCTGCAAGTGGTACTACAGATGTTTTTGTTGAACATCAGGATAGGTGAACACATATTAATTTGTTGAATTTTATATTAGTTAATATTAGTTAACATTTTGAACGGTTTTACAATAGAAAACATGTAAGAAAATTAATGGAATTTATTGTTTGATTCAGGAACAGCAAAAACAGTGTTTTTGAGATGTAGTGTCATTTGAGAAGACATAGCAAATATGTTTCCATCCTTCCTCAGTGATATGATTTGGCTCTGTATCTCCACCCAAGTCTCATCTTTAACCGTAATCTCACATGTCGAGGGAGTGTCCAGTAATCCCTATGTGGTGAGGAAGGGAAATGATTGGATTATGGGGGCGGTTCCTCATTCTGTTCATGATAGTGAGTGAATTCTTATGAGATCTGATGGTTTTATCAATGGTATTTTTTCCTGTGTGCTCACACTGCCCTGCTGCCTTGTGAAGAAGGTGCCTGCTTCACCTTCCACCATGATTGTAAGTTTCCTGAGGGCTCCCCAGCCATGCAGAACTGTGTCAGTTAAATCTCTTTACTTTACAAATTACCCAGTCTTGGGCAGTTCTTTATAGGAGTGTGAAAACAGACTAATACACTCAGTTTGTGTCTTGGGAATTTTAGTTTTATGGAATACTGTTGACTAAATAAACAAAAGAGGCATATTAACTTTCAAAATTCATTGATATAGATGCATAATTATTTTCATGTCATCTTATATTAAAACATGAGATAAGAACTGCATTTCCCCTCCCTCCATCCCTTGACCCAGAACCCAGCTCTTCTTCACATTTATTTTTCACTAGTGTAACTAAAACTGGTACATCCTCTGATATTTATACTCTTATCCTCATCTCTCTAAATAAATTAGATTCCTATTGAACTTGGAGCCTGTACATAATAATTATGCTTGATTAAATTTACTGCTTTGCATTTTGAAAAACATTATTCTTCGTCTGTTGTTTTCATCTCTCTAACTAACTGAAACTTCTTCAGGGAAAGAATCTTGACTTATATTTCTCTTGGATTCCTAGCCCTGGAGTGCTGTGGCAACAGTGCTGCTTGCATAGCTTGTCATAACTCACTCAACAGTTGGTACATAATTCAAAGGGATGTCATACTTGAAATATCAGATGCTATAACCTAGAATCAGGCATATTAACTTAGATTTCTCCATAGCCTTCTGAAACGAAAAGTCTGGATTTTTTGTTGTCTTTTCTAGTATGAATGTCAAGGAATAAAGAATAGTGCATTGCCCAACCATAGGCATTATCATATTCTGGAAACATTTTTTTCTGATTGCATTGCATCTATTTTTGATGACTTGATTTAAGCAAGCTTTTCATGAATTCCTCATTTTTTTTTTTTTTTTTTTACTAAAAGCACTGTAGTTTTCTTCTATAGGGTAGCTATCAGAGAAGTGATATTATAAAAAGTAGAATTTACTTGAAACCCAATAATGTTATGTTTCTGGAACTACTATAGTTTTTGAACAGGTTTAAGTAATGGACTATGTTCTGTTAGGACTTTGCATAAAAGATGCTATACACATTTAGTTATAGATAGTGCCTGTAGCAATTTTGATGTTTAAATTTATATGGCAGCTGTTCAAATTCCATTTTTTTTCTTTATCAAATCACATTTTTAGAGCCAACAGGTCTATGGAATACAGGGTCCAGTCACCCAGAACAATCATATAAATGTTTAATTTAAAGAGTCACAGGGGTAAGAACGGATGTCAAGCAGCCCTGATACATTCTTCTGCCTGTAAGGAGGATTCCACAGGCCAGTGCCATCAGGGTTTTGCCTGCAGGAAGCAAGAGAAAGTTAATGCAGATCAGGACAGTTTCTCAAGAAAGTTACCTGTGTGGACAAATATTGTTTAGGGCCATACAATGCCTTTTCTTTCCTTCTTTCTAAACCTTGAACTTTACAGTAAGTTATCTAAAGGCAGTGCAGCTTGACTAAGTGCTGATGAAATCATAAAAGGGTATATTTTAGAAACACTCTTTTGGCCTATGCTATTTGGGCCAGTGTCATTTGGGGAGAACCTGGATTGCATGATGAAGAGTAGAGGGCAGCTGCTCTCTCTACTCCTCCTTTTAATGATGATTGAGAAAATACTGGGCCTGCCTAACAGGCCACAGGAACACTGCGGCTTCTGTTGCTGTCCATCTGCTTCAAGCAGTGTAGGGGAAAGACCATGTGGTCTGTTTGTTTTGAATACTAAACAGCACCCTTTAAGCCTCAAAGCTTTGGTTTCAGTGTCTGTGAAATTTGGGTGTCCTTTGGGTTTTACTGATCCTTCAAGGTCCTTCCAGCTTGGACATTTTGGATTCTGTTACATGCCATAGGTGGAAACTGCTCTATGAAACACATTAAAAAAGTGTATCCAGGATTGCGAAGTTGGATTGCTTACAGATTTATAAATTTTCAATTGTGTACAGAGTTAAAAAAATTTGTTTAACACTTTGGCAGACTCTGTGGAGAATGTAGAAATTAACTACTAGTTACAGTTTATAACTCAGGGAAACAAGGTAGAATTAATACATGTTAAGCAAAATACTAATTGTGCTACTTAAAATTTTTCTTTTTGATTTTTTTTAGTCCAAAATCCAAATTTTCTGATTCAAGTCAATTTTTATGTCTCAGTCATTTTTTTTTTGTTTGTTTTCCTGACATTTCCTAAGGCACTGTTTTGGTAGTTTATAATTTTTGTTACCTTCATGATTTTGTTCCTTTTCTCATTTTCTAAATTTCTGAATTTGGTTTTGGTGAATTGATTTTCTGTCTGAATAACTCTACAGATTATTTTGGGAATTTTAGGTATATTATAGTAGCCTCTTCAAGTAACAGTTATGTGGTTAGTTCATTTCTTATAATTATGTTCTTTTCTGTTTCATATCTAGAATTTCCAGAATAATGTCAAATTATGATGGTACCAATAGGCATCCTTATTTTGCTTTTTATTTCAATGTGAACAATAACTATTATTATGTATAAGACACTTTGTTTGCATGTATTATATCATTTAATCCTCATAATAAGCATATGAGGTATGTGCTATTATTATTCCCATTTTACAAACTTGAGAGGTTGAATAATTTGCTTGAGAATGTCCTAAAGTGACTGAGTCAAGATTTGAAGCCAAAAGCAGAGCACGTGTGCTCAACCGCTTTATCATTCCACCTTCCATGTGATTTTCACTTGAGAGTACCATGAAGATCATTGTATGTTTTTACATTTGACTTATAAATTAATGGATTTCCTAATGTTGAATAAAGCGCATTATTTTTACTCTCACCTGTTACCTCTACATCGATTTGTGTTTCTTTGCTATTAAACTTTAGATCGAACACTAACAAAATTATTGTTGTCAGTAAAATATTTTTTTACATTACATGTCTTTTTTTTATTTCTCTGGCTTTACTAGACTATAGACAAACAGAAATAAATCCTTGTGTCACTGGGCAATGTAGTAACTATCATGTATAAATTTTACTACTATGTTAGTTAAAAATGTCTAAGGAGCAGGGAAATGACATTTGTTGTGTACCTGCTATTTTCAAGTGCTCATCACATCCAATTACTTTTTTTTTTACACTGAGGTGAATTCATATAATGTAAAATTAACCATCTTACAGTACACAATTCAGTGGCATCAACATTTGCAATGTTGAGCAGCCATCACCTTCATTTAGTTTCAAAACCATCTCATCCTTCCAAAAGGATACACTATACATGTTAAACAGTCATTCGCCATTCCCTATACCCCACAGGCCCTGGCAACAACAAGTTGGCTTTGTTTTCTATAGATTTACCTATTCTGGATGTTTCATATAAATGGAATCATACAATTTGTGACCTGTGGTGTCTAGCTTCTTTCAATTAGTGTAATGTTTTCAAGATTCATCCAACATCGTGGCATACATCAGTACTTCATTAATTTTGTTGGTTGAATGGTATTCCATTGTATGGATATACCAAATTTTGTTTATTCATTCATCCATGAATGGACATTTGGCTTGTTTCTACTTTTTGTCTATTGTGAATAGTGCTGCTATAGCATCAATGTACAAATATCTATTGAAATACCTACCATCAGTTTTTTTGGGGGCATATTCCTAAAAGGGGAATTGCTGTGTCAGTTGGTAATAGTATGCAAGTTTTTGAGGAACCACCAAACCTTTCCACAGTGGCTGCACCATTTTACATTCCCGGTAGCAGCATACGAGGATTCTAGTTTCTCTGCATCCTAGTCAAGTCTTGTTATTTTCTTTCTTTCTTTTTTTTTTTTTTATAGCCATCCTAGTGAGTATAAAGTGGTATCTCACTGTGATTTTGATTTGTGTTTCCCTGATTATTTGTGTTGGTCATCTTTTCATGTGCTTGTTGGCTTTTGTATATCTTCTTTGGAGAAATGTCAAAAATACTTTGCCCATTTTTTGACTGTATAGAAATGAAAATTTGTTGTCTATCTCCTGTGATTATATTCTCACTTTCACCAAATAATTCACAGAGTTTTATGATTCACAGCAGAGAGTTAGTGCTGTGACTTCCAGAATATTCTTGTTGTATGTTAGTGTCAAAACTCTTTCAAAGGAAAGAGTACTAGACAATTTTCTGTTGCGTGGTGATATTAATGACGGTGATTCTGAGAGGAAAAAACTTGCTTTTCTTGTATGGGAAATGCTTAATTGAGAAATGCCAAAGTTGTTGACACTAAAGAATGATTAGTTAGAGGATCATGGTCAGAGATAGTGGGGTGGCCAGGACACTTACAACTGGTAGGAAGAGGAAGGGAGTGAAATTCTTAAGCTGAATAATCAGGGTATTTCCTTTGAAGCTTCTTTCTGTTGTTTTTTTCTACCTTAAAAACTACTTGTGTTATTGCCAAAGAGTATTATTAACTTCAAAGCCAGGAGTCCATTGCCCATTTTTAATTTTTTTTGGTCTTTTTGTTAACTTCTAAGACTTCCTTATATATTCCTAATACTAGACCCTTGTCAGGCAAATGATTTACAAATATTTTCTCCCATTCAGTGGGTTGCATTTTTACTTTCTTCATCGTGTCCTCAATGCACAGAAATTTTAAATTTGGTAAAATCCAATTTGTCTATTTTTTCTTTGGTTGCTTATGCTTTTGTTGTTATATCTAAGAAGCTATTGCCAAATCCAAGGTCATGAAGATGTATTCATATGTTTTCTTCTAAGAATCTTACAGTTTATAGGTCTTACATTCAGGTATTTGACCCATTTTTAGTTAAATTTTGTACATCATTTGAGATAGGGATCCAACTTTATTTTTTTGCATGTAGATATTCAGTTGCCCCAGCACCATTTGAAGAGTGTATTTGTTTCCCATTGAATGTTTTTGGCACCTTTGTCGAAAGTCGATTGAGCATGGGTTGGATGAGTTTATTTTTGGGCTTACATTTATTCCATTGATCTAGATGTCTATCCTTATGCTAGTATCACACTGTTTTGATTATTGTAGTTTGATAGTAAATTTTGAAATAGGGAAGTGTGAGTCCTCCAGCTTTGTTTTTCTTTTTCAAGATTGTTTTGCCTATTCAGGGGAACTTTCAATTCCATATGAATTTTAGGATCAGTTTTTCTATTTCTGAAAAAAAGGCCCTTGTTTTTTTGATAGGGGTTGCAAAGAATCTGTAGATAGCTTTGGGGAGTCTTGCCATCTTAACAATATTAAGTCTTTTAATCCATGGACATAAGATGCCTTTCCTTTCATTTAGGACTTCTTTAATTTCTTTCAGCAATATTTTATACAAGTCTTGTGGTTTTTTGGTTAAATTTATTTCTAAGTATTTTATTCTCATTTATGGCATTTTAAATGGAATTGTTTTCTTAATTTTGTTTATAGATTGTTCATTGTTTGAAAATAAAACTTATTTTTACATATTTACCCTGTACCCTACAACTTTAGTGAATTAGTTTATTAGCTCTAGTAGGTTTTTTTTGTATTCTTTCTGATTTTCTGTATATGTGTAATCATATTCATTTGCAAATAAAGAGATTTTTTATAATTAGTGGTTTTTATTATTCTGACAGTGAACTTGGGGCAGTGTTCTTTGTGTGTTTCTGCTCAGAGGTCATTGAACTTAGGGGGTTTGTAGCTGTCATGATATTTGGAAAATTTTTGGCCATTTGTGTGTGAATATTTTCAGTCACTCCCCATATCCCTTTCTGGAACCCCAATTAAATATATGTTAGACTGAGTATTTGTTCATTTTATTTCAGTTTTATTTCTCTCTGTGGTTCATTTGTCATGGTTCCTGTTGATATGCCTTTAAGTTAACTGACATTTTCTTCTGCAATGTCTTTCTCTTCTGTTAATGCCACTCAGTGAGAATTTTATTTTAGATGATGTATGTTCTATCTATAGATGTCACATTTCATTCTGTTTCTTACATTTGCTCCTCTTTATGCTTACATTTTTATTTAATGTTGAACACTTATAATATTTATATTAGAAGTTTAAGATCCTTATTTGCTAATTCTGAAATGTATATCATTTCTGGGTCTTTTTGTATGATTTTCTTCCTGGTTATGTATCATATATTTGTGCTTCTTCATGTGACCAGCAACTTCTGATTGGATTTTGGACATTATGAATTTTACATTGGGTTTTACTGACTTCCTTTAAAGAGTGTTGGAGTTTGTTCTGATAGGCAGTTAAGTTACTTGAAGAGCAGTTTGATTTTTTCAAGAATTATTTTAAAGCATTGTTAATGTCCACAGAAACCTTTACTCAAGGGTTAATTTAGCATGACTACTAACAGATGATCCTTCTGGCCTTTATAATGAATGTACCACGTATCTTGCATGTCTGGTGGGAGACCTAATGAATCCCAACCTTGTGTGAGCTCTGGGAATTGTGACTTACAGCTCTTTAGTAATTGTTTTCTTCCCTGGCAGGGTTTCTTTGTCTAGCCTCATGGGTTTCTCCATTGCATGGGCAGACTTTCAGCCAAAGCCTCAAGGACCCTATGCCGATTTCTGGAGCTCTTTCTCTATGCAGTGCCCTCATCTCCACACTGTTCCTTACAAATTCTAGCCCCTTTGTCCTCCTCTCATCTGATTTCTGTCTCTTCAATTTAGTAAGATACTTGGGCTCTGTTTGGCTTTTGCCTTTTTGTGCCATGTTCTGGAAATTGTGTCAGGCAGAAATCAGGTAATTGTAGCTCTTACCTTATTTGTTTCCATTCTCTGTCATCACAGTTCTGCACTGTCTGCTGTCAAATCCTAAAAGAGTTGCTGTAATATTTTGTCCAGTTTTATAGTTATTTATAACAAGAGGACAGAAGTAGAAGCCAATGGCCTGAATTAGATCCTTTTAATAAAACAAATAAAAAGTAGAAAAATAAGAGTTTTAAGGTACAATGGGAGTTTGAATCTTGCTGTTGACATTACTAAAAGGCTAGAAGAAAAAGGGACCTTAAAATTTCATGTAGGCCAGGCACAGTGTCTCATGCCTGTGTAATCCCAGCACTTTGGGAGGCCAAGGAGGGAGGATTCCTTAAGGCCACAAGCTCAAGATCAGCCTGGGCAATGTAGAGATACCCCATCTCTACAAAAAACAAAAACATTAGTTGAGCGTTGTGGTATGCACTTTGTAGTCCATGCCACTCAGGAGGCTGAGGTGAAAGGAACGCTTGAGCCCAGGAGTTTGAGGTTACGGGGAGCTATGATTGCACCACTGCATTCCAGCATGGGTGACAGAGCAAGTCTCTGTTTCAAAAAAAAAAGTCATGTAGTTGAATGCCTATTTAAAAAGTAGTAAGACTGAGGTGAAGGAAAGCAAAATAATGTGCCTGTTGATGCCTGATTTGTGGCTTCACAGTTTGGATGGACAGAACCTGGGTCTCTTTATTCCTACATCATTGTTAGTAGTTGGAGTGTACTATCTTCTTGCCATCTCAACTGAGTAGAGAGTATATCATTGCAATTGTCATTAGCTATGGTAAAAATGATACTAACAGTCCATCCAGTGAGGTTTTAAGCATATTCCCTCTTGCCCTTGGTTGCATTAAATTTTAGTTTTGATTTTATCTTTCCTGTGCAGTGTTTTATACAATCTGACTTAATAGCATTGTTTTATAGCATCTGACTTAATATTACCTAATTATCTTGTTAAATCTAAAAATATATTTATAGAGATCAGCGAAAAGCCATGAAATTGAAAACATAGGCAAAAAAAATTTATATTTATTTATTTATTTATTAAACAGAGTTTCCCTCTTGTTGTCCAGGCTGTAGTGCAATGGCATGATCTCAGCTCACTGCAACCTCTTCCTCCTGGGTTCAAGCAATTCTCCTGCCTCAGCCTCCCAAGTAGCTGGGATTACAGACATGTGCCATCATGCCTTGCTACTTTTGTATTTTTACTAGAGTTGGGGTTTCACTATGTTGGTCAGGCTCATCTCAAATTCTTGACCTCAGGTGATCCACCCATCTCGGCCTCCCAAAGTGCCGGGATTACAGGCATGAGCCACCACACCCTGACTTTATTGTTTTTTCTTTATTCATTTACCATGTGTTATTGACTAGTTTATATGTCTCTATTTTTCATTTACTACACAAATTGACTAGCATTTTAGTATAATGAATAATGTGCTTCAATGATTTTAAAAATTGGCATCACTTTGTTTCCTTTTCTCATTCAAGGATATTTCTTTAATGGGAAAAATGTACCTCAAAACATCACCTATGCAAGCAGAAACACCTGAGATACAAGCAGAGTATAAATTCCAGATGGGTGCTGAGGAATCGCAAATGGTAAAGTCTTTAATAAAAATCCTCCTTGCCTCTGTTAAAGTAACAGCATGCTTCCTGTTGCTTGAATGTTTATATAGAGAGTTAAAAAAATTTCTCTGATGTATTTTAGAAGTGTGTTTACCTGTGAGAGCATCTAACTCGATACCACACTGGGAGTCTTGGCCATTTTGGCTCACTGTTGCTGGCTACCATGGACCTTCTGAGCTAAGGCCCCAGACTCTTTTTAGAAGGGGAGGACTTTAACAATTCTGATTTAGAGACATTTAGATCTAGAAGGTAGGTGGATAATTAATTAAAAATTGTTAGCTTCTAAGAAAGCATTACTTTTGTCTGTATTCAGCTAGAAGAATTGTTAAAAGCATTGCAAGGGGAGAATTTGGTTGAGAAATATGGACAGTTGGTGACAGAAATTTGTTTTGGAAATAAATCTTTCTTTTTATCCATCATTGGTAAAATAACCATTGGATTCAAAGCAATCTGGAACATATTCCTTGTGAATGGAAAGTATCTCCTTGTGTATAGAAACTCACATTTACATAGAAAAGTGATAGCCTGATGGTCAGTTCCTCTACAAAGAGTTCATAAAATGTTACCATTAAATAACAAGCTCCTGTGGTTCCTGGAAATATGACCCCCACATACATAAAATCGTGATCATATTTCATTTTTAGGTTAGCATATCATGTTCAGAAAGTGCATGGAATTTTTTCTTTTCACAAAAGCTATGGGTCCTATAATGTTAGAGTTACCACAAATGGTAGAACTACTGGAGTTTGAGATGCTTTGGGCCCATATATTTTTCTCCTTTCTATTCTTATCACTGGCCTTATGATCCAGCATGAGATGGTACTAGTAGCCCTTTGTAATAGTATGTGGATATATCAATTAGGAAGGCTTACCACATATGCTATGGACTTAAGACTGACATCTAGGGTAGCTGCCTCTAGTTGACACCGTTTACAAATATATATCAAAACTTCTGACCTCGACGCCTCTAACAGGTATAGTAAACTGAAAGTACAATATCAGTTAGGTTTAGCCAAATAGAAATCTTCATTAATAGAATAAACTTAATACCATTCACTACATTCATATAAAGTATAAGGAAAGATACCATTTTGAAGGAAACTGTGAAAAAGGCCAACAATCAGATATTTAGCTTAGATATCGTCTTGATTATTTAAAATAAAGAGTTAAACAAAAATATTAATTTATTTGTAATTCTGCTGGAACCATTCCCTAAGCATTGACATTTACAGGCAATCACTGGACCTCTTCTGGCCTCTGGCTTTTTATAAGGAAGCTGACCCACTTCTTTAGAGGTAAAATACCTTTCGACTTGGTACCGGGTCATGGATGCTTCCATCCATCCCCCCTGCCCTCAGACATCAGACTGCAGCTTCTTTGACCTTTGGACTCTTGGACTTATACTAGTGGTTTGCTGGGGGCTTTTGGGCCTTTGGCCACAGATTGAAGGCTGCATTGTCAGATTCCCTACCTTTGAAAATTTTGGACTTGGACCGAGTCACTATTGGCTTCTTTCTTCCTCAGCTTGCAGAGGACACACACACAAACTAAGTACAAAAAAAGATATATCCCTTGTAAAGATGTGAGTCAAGCCAATGGAGCAGCTGAATGGCTCCCTGCTAAATATTCAAATGTCCCCCACCCTTTTGCAGTTAGATGGGGTCATGTAGCTGTTTGTGGCCAATGGGGTGTGAAGGAAAGTGATATGGTCACTGTTCTGTGGTGACCATAGAAGCTGTGTTCTGGTGTGAAGGAACTACAACCTGGAAGCAGCCTAGATGGCTGAGCTACCATGAGAAGTATACCTGCCCTAAAGAGCCACTTTGATTTGTAGTGAACACACTGCTCCAGTGTGTCGAACCACTAATTTTTTTTTTTTTGGTTGGGCATAGCCTATCCTGATGACCAGTGACAAAAATGAGGCTAAAAAAGTTTAAGTAACTTGGCTAAGGTCAAACATCTATTAATTAACAGATCCAGGATTTGAATTCAGTCCCATCTGGTTAAAAACATTTTCTGAATCTTTCCATAACACCATCCAGTAGCTTTATAAAAACATGAGCTCCTGCTTGATGACTTGTGATATGGAAAAAAAAAAGAACCAACATGAGTTCAAGATTAAAGTTCTATTTTACAAAATTAAATTTCTTGGTCTAGCTATACCTTCTTGCATAATAAAGAAAATTTCATAGTATTTGGTATTGTATGCCATCTTTTACCCTTAACAACTGTGGGGTGGCTGTAGTTTCTGAGACAAGGGCTGAGGAAAATAATTTGCCAGCCTTGACATTTTTCTTAAGTCAATTTGAGCTTCTCTTTCTAAATCTTCAGAGGAAACTCATCACCTATGCTTAGTTTCAAGCATGCGTTTTCATATTCATCTTGTCAGATAGAAACTGTTGCATCACTGAAAAGCCTAGAAGGACCAATAAAAAAAAAGCATTCTTGCACATTTACTTTTTCCAACAGAGCGTGCATAAGGAACTTTCTGAAACCATGTCAAGTATTCTCCAGATTGAACAAGAGGATATAGAATGGGGACCCTCAGAAGCAGAAAGCATAGTATTTAAACCTCAGGAAATTTCGCAAGTTCAGCCAGCAGAGGAATTAAGTAAACCTTTGGAAGATGGACAGCCCACAAGTGATTCAAAAGAAGCCAAGTGGGTGTCTTTAACGGTAAGAAACTATTTATGTTGGAAACACCTAAGAGTTATGAGAATTGAGGATGTGCAGGTGTGAAGAATTGGCCCAGGCAAGGACCAACGTATGGGGCTGGGGGCGGGGGTGATGGTGTGTTCACTCTGAAAAGGGGGCCTCAGAAGTGCAAGTTGCCCACTTAGGAAAAGGAAACATGTTTTTTGAGGGTTTCTAGTGTCAACCCTAATTGCAACTCTGGGGAGAGGAAACATTTTCAAGGAGGGAAGGAATTTTTAGGTCTTTTAGAAATTGGCCAAGAATCTTCTAGTTACCATCTCGAGGAAGTCAGGAATTGTAGTCTAGGAAATAGAACTTGGTGAATTTTATAGCTTTTATAACTTTACCTCATTTAGGTTCATACTAACCCCTGAGTCTTTTTCTACTGTGAGGATGTTTACAAGATTCATTTTATCCATTGTTTACATAATTTTTATCATATTTGCATATCACCCTGCCTTTACTGTAGGGTTTAAGTTTCCTCTTATCCTTGGCTTTACTTTCCGAGGCTTTGGTTAGTTGTGGTCAACTGCAGTGTGGAAATAGGTGAATACACATAGGACAATAAGATATTTAGAGAGAGAGAGAGAGATAACATATTCACATAAATTTTATTACAGTATGTTATAATTGTTCTATTGTATTATTAGTTATGGTTGTTAATCTTATACTGTGCTTAACTTATAAATTAAACTTTATCATCAATATGTATGTATGGGAAAGAGCATAATGTATATAAGGTTCAGTACTATCCAAGGTTTCAAGCATCCACTGGGGTTTGGAACATATGCCTCACAGATAAGGGAGGATTGTTGTATTAATTCTTTTCATTAATTTGAGTCACTTTTTTTACTTAAATAAATTTATTTAAAAATAGATATATTATTAGCATTAAAAAAACAGACCCTTTTCCTTGAACCACAGCATATCATCTTGATTATCACCAGAAATCCTCTCCCACACTGATTCAGATGGATGCCTCTCTGGGTAATTCCTCTACTTCTGGGTCTCCCCTCCCCACCAATGATTATGTTCCCAATACGCTTCACTGAGGTCAACTGGCCATTCCTCATTCTTCAATTTTTGCCCGAGACTCCCAACTCTGAAACCTGGGATTTGTCTGTGGCCTTCCTCTTCACTTGCTGTTTACATATAAATCAATCTCCAAGGCTTGGAGTTTCCCAAATGTTATTCCCAAATGTTATTTTTCTTCTCTTTTCTAGTTACCCCATCCTAGTCTGGGTCCTGGTGACCTTATGTCTGAATTAATGCAGTGGTTATTCTTCATTTCTCAAGCCCTGTTTTCTCAGGTTTATCCTACATGACACTAGCCTATTGATCTTCCATGAATAACAGGTAATAAGGAAGATCCACAAGTAATAGTTGACCAGAGGAAATCCACCACTGCTTCCAGGGACAAGGGTCTTATCCTGTGGTTGGTGACTGACCCCATCAGTCATGCTCTTTACAAAGCATGCATTTGGATGTTTCTAAGAAGCATTCTAGGAAGAAGGTTTTGATCAGAGTGACTTGGTGAATGGATTAAAAAGACTCTAAATTGAAATGAGAAATGTTTCAAGGGGAGAGAAGAGAATGTCTAATAAAATATTATGCCTTATTGTTGTGGGATATTGTGGGACCCTTCAGAAATGCCCTAAAATAGCACTGAACTATTCCCACCAAGTCTTCTCCAAGAATCATATATTTATTTATTTGTGTTAACATCTCAAGATCAGTTGTTATCCATGAACTTTACACTGTATGTGGACATTTGAGTCCATAAAGTTAGTTTCTAGCATTTCTGCTCAAAATGTTAGCAGAATGACGAACAATATACTCCAGCAAGCCTGGCCAGGTTGAGGATTAAGGGGACAAGAAGACCTTTTCTGACATGATTAAACAGAAGTAGCACAGAGGTGTAATAAAGGAACAATGCAGGACTTTAATTGCTCAGATATATGTTGGAAGGTCTTGTTCAGCAGAAAAAGTAGAGAATTTGATCAATCCTTACCTAATTGGCCATTTCTACTCTTAGAAGCTCGTTAGTATAATGAAGGTGATTGGTATTTTTGTCTAAATCATGACGAACAAAAGAAAGTTAGATAGAAATAATAGTGATTCTGTGAAGAAATAACTGACACAAAGCCAATAATAGGATGGTTGAACATTTTAGAAGATGTCAGTGAAAGTCTATAAAAATATAGATATGATCACATGACCTGATATTATAAATGGAAGAAAGTTTAACAGGTATGGGGATGTCCTGAATCTCCCAAATTCTCACAAAACATGTATGAGTAATCTATTGCATTTAGAGTTTTAAAAATATCCATAGAAATGCATATCCATAGAAAAATATAAAGGTGGCATGTTGCTATGAAATTGTACCAAGAAAGCCGAGATCCAGAATGGGTTTAGTCCTATGAATAATGTTAAGAACAAAAACAAGTATTTTTGATGTTAGTTTTGGAGCAAAGAGAGGGGGAATAAAAAGAAAGATAACTCTGTCATATGGATGAATAGTGTGATGACAAGAGATGACAGCTGCCTTAATTTATTTTTGGAAAAAGGTTGAGGTTTTAAATAAACAGAAGTATAACAAAGAGAAAAGGAAGCTGATAAACTTATGCTTTGTGTCTTTTAAATCTGACAGGGAGAATGATCTTTAGAAAGAAGAATTCATAATAGAAACTTAAAGTCCAAGATTTGTAAAAGATTTTAAGAGTTAACTTGAATATCTGAGCCTGCTGGATGGCTCAGATAGATGGGTTTAAGCTTGTTGCACCTTTCAGCAGCAGCTTTGGGGAGCTGCTGCAGTGGGAGAGGTGCCAATGCCTGGAGAGTGGCAACTGCAAATATGACTTTTATATTTTTTTAAGTGTAAGGGTTGAGATTTCTGCAATCTATGCATTGATCTTGGACAAAACTCTAGAATTATTAAATGACTCATTAAAAGAATTGTGTTTGAACCCTTCTAAAAGGAAGTGGTAATCACTTGGAGTATGGGTCCCTTAAGGATAAGCCATGGAAGACTAACCTCATTTATTTTCCTAGAATTCCTAGACTGAATATCATAAAAATGTTAGACCTGGTGTTCAACATGAGTCTCGTGGGAAGAGCACAGGCTCTGCAACTAGATGTCCAAGGACCGAATCCTCTCTTTACCCTTTACTAGTAGTATGACCTTAGGCAAAGTACTGAACTCTACTATATGTCTGTATTGTAAAATGAGGATAATGACAGTGCCCACCTCATATTGTTTTTGTGAGGATTATATGTAAATGCTACAATATAAAGCACTTAGAACAATGCCTGACATACAGAAAACTCAATAAACATTAGTTATTGCTATTATCATTGGAATATCAGCAACCTGCTTATGAAAGCCTCCCAATGTTGGTTTTGTAGAGGAGATTGTCGTCAGGTGGACTACTAAATGGATTTGTAACTACTTATGCAAAGGATGCACAACTAGTACATGGAAGTCTCGTGGACTGCTACAGGGCTGTGTCCAATTCAATAAATTTCCTAATGGTTTAGATGATATATTAGTCTGTTTTCATGCTGCTGATAAAGACATATCCAAAACTGGGAAATTTACAAAAGAAAGAGGTTTAATGGGCTCACAGTTCCACATGGCTGGGGAGACCTCACAATCATGGTGGAAGGTGAGACGTGTGTCTCACACGGTGGCAGACAAGAGAAGAGAATGAGAGCCAAGAGAAAGGAGTTTCCCCTTATGAAACCATCAGATGTTGTGAGACTTATTAACTACCATGAGAACAGTATGGAGGAAACTGCCCCCATGATTCACTTATCTCCCACTGGGTCTCTCACACAACATGAGGGAATTATGGGAGCTACAATTCAAGATGAGATTTGGGTGGGGACAAAGTCAAACCATATCAGATGAGAAAATGGAAAACTTGCTGATTGAATTTGTAGATAGCATCAAAAATTCTACTGGTAAGATTTGTCTGGAGAAGGTGGAGCAAGATGGTGGAATAGAAGGCTCCATTGATTGTCCCCTCCACTCCACAGTAAACCAGGACACAGAACCTGACTGTAACTTCATATCATTGAAAGAGACATTGAAGACACAGGAAAAATAGTCTTGCATTGCTGACACCACCCCTCCCTGACCCGTTGGCAGCAGAGGGGTGGTGCAGAGAGTGTTTTTGTGCCCTGGGGAGAGGGAGAGCCAGCAAGTGTGAAGTATTGAACTCAGTGCTGTCTTGTTATAGCAGAAACCAAAACTTAACCAAACTCAGCTGGTGCCTGCCCACAGAGGGTGCATTTAAATGAGCCCTAGCCAGAGAGGAATAGCTGATCTCAGTGTTCGGAGCTTGATTTCTTAAAAGCCTTGCCACCACAGGCTAACATGCTTGGAGGCTCCAAATAAATTTGAAGGGCAATATAGGCCACAAGTACTGCAACATGTAGGTAAGTCCTAGGGTTGAACTGGGCTCAGAGATAGTGGACTAGGGAGGCATGCAACCTACTGAGACACCAGCCAGGGCAGCTAAGGAGTGCTGGCATAACTCCTCCCCTAACCCCAGGCTGCATAGCTCATGGCTCCAAAAGCGACTCCTTCCTTTTGCTTTAGAAGAGGAGATGGAAGAGTGGGGAAGACTTTGTTTTGCGTCTTACATACCGAGCTCAGCCACAGCAGGATAGGGCACTGGTCAGTGTCATGAGGCCCTAGCTCCCAGACATTTCTAGACATGCCCTGGGCTGCCTTGAAGAGAAGGACCCAGTTGTGGTAAGATTCATCACCTCCTAACTGAAAAGTGCTTGGGCTCTGAATAACTAGAAAGGATACCAGTTGAGGGCCTTGGGTGAGACCCTGAGACTTGCTGGTCTCAGGCGAGACTCGGCACATTCCCAGCTGTGGTGGCTACAGGGTGAGACCCCTGCTTGAGAAAAGTGGAGGCAAAAGTAAAGAGGACTTTGTATTGCACCATAGGAACCAGCTTGGCTATAGGGGAGTAGAGCACCAAGTGGGCTCTTGGGGTCCTTGAGTCCAGGACTTGGCTCTTGTACACCATTTCTGGACCTGCCCTAGGTCAGAGGGAAGCCCACTCCCCTGAAGGATGAGTCCCAGGACAAGCAGCATTTACCACAAGCTGACTGAAGAGCCCTTAGGCCTTGAGGAAACATTGGCAGGAGTCTGGCAATACTCCTCGTGGGCCTGAGATGGCGGTGGCCACAGGGAGAGGCTTCTCTGCTTTTGAAAAGTGGGGAGAAGAGTGGGAAGGATTTCATTTTGTGGTTTGAGTGCCAGTTTAGCTGTAGTGCAATAGAATGCCAGATGGACGTCTAAGGTTTTTGACTCTAGTCCCTGGCTCCTGGATGGCACCTCTGGTTGCACCCGGGGTCTGAGCGAATTTGCTGCAAATGACATAGGTCTGGCTGGTTTTGCCACCTGCTGATCGTAGAGCTCTAGGTCTTTGAGCAAACATAAGTAGTGGCCAGGGAGTGGTTATAGCAGGCCTTGAGCGAGACCCAGAGCTGTGCTGGCTTCAGATCTGACCCAGTGCAGTCCTAGGAATAGGGGCCACAGGGGTGCTTGTGTCACTCCATCCCCAGCTCCAGTTGGCTCAGGGGAGAGAGAGAGAGAGAGAAAGAGAGAGAGACTTTGTTTGTTTAGGACAAAGTAAAGAAGAGAACAAGAGTTTCTGCCTAGTAATTCAGATAATTCTTCCAGATCTTGTTCAAGACCATCAGGGTGGTACCTCTATGAGTCTGCAAGTACCACAGCATTACTGGGCTTGGGGTCCCCCGCCCTAAAGCAGATACAGCTGAGATCACAACACCCAACTCCTTTTGAATATCTGGAAAGCCTTCCCCAAAGGGATGGGTACAAACAAGCCCAGACTGCAAAGTCTGCAATAAATACTTAGCTCTTCAATGCCAAGACACAGACAGATATCTACAAGTATCACAATGATCCAGGAAAACATGACTTCACCAAATGAACTAAATAAGGCACCAAGGGCCAACCCTGAGAGAAATAGAGATATATTCAAAATATATAGAGACATCAAAATACCTGTTTTGAAGAAACTCAAAGAAATTCAAGATAACACAGAGAATCAATTCAGAATTCTATCTTAGAAATTTAACAAAGAAATTGAAATAATTAGAAAGAATCAAGCAGAAATTCTGGAGTTGAAAAATGCAGTTGGCATACTGAAGAATGCATCAGAGTCTTTTAGTGGCAGAACTGATCAAGCAGAAGGAATAATGAATTAGCTTAAAGACAGGCTATTTGAAAATACACAGAGGAGACAAAAGAAAAAAGAATAAAACACAATGAAGCATACCTACAAAATCTATAAAATAATCTCAAAAGGGCAAATCTAAGTGTTATTGGCCTTAAAGAGGATGTAGAGAAAGACATAGAGGTAGAAAGTTTACTCAAAGGGATAATAGCAGAGAACTTCCCCAACCTGAAGAAAGATATCACTATCCAAGTACAAGAAGGCTATAGAACACCAAGAAAATTTAACCCAAAGACGGCTACTTCAAGACATTTAATAATTAAATTCCCAAAGGTCAAGGATAAAGAAAGGATTTCAAAAACAGCAAGAGAAAAGAAACAACATACAATAGAGCTCCAATATGTCCAGCAGCAGACTTTTCAGTGGAAACCTTACAGGCCACAAGAGAGTAGCATGACATACTTAAAGTGCTGAATAAAAACAACTTTAAACCTAGAATAATGTATCTGGTGAAATTATCCTTCAGACATGAAGGAGAAATAAAGACTTTCCCAGACAAACAAAAGCTGAGGCATTTTATCAACACCAGACCTGTCTTACAAGAAATACTAAAAGGAGTACTTCAACCAGAGAGAAAAGCATGATAATGAGGAATAAATAATAATATGAAGGTACAAATCTCACTGGTAATAGTAAGTACACAGAAAAACAGAATATTATACCACCATAAATGTGGTGTGTAAACTTAAATAGAGAGACTAAATGATTAACCAACAAAAAATAATAACTATAACAAGTTTTCAAGATATAAACAGTACCATAGATATAAATAGAAACAAGAAGATAAAAAGCAGAAGAATAAAGTTAAAGTGTAGAGAATTTATTAGTTTTTTTTCTTTTCTGCTTGCTTGTTTGTGTGTTTATGCAAACAGTGTTAGGTTGTTCTCAGTTTAAAATAATGGACTATAAGACAGTATTTGGAAGCCTCATGATAACCTCAAAACAAAAATCATTCAACAGATACACAAAAAATAAAAAGCAAGAAACTAGATCATATCACCAAAGAAAGCCACCTTTACTAAAAGGAAGACAGGAAAGGAAGAAGGAAGAGAAGACCACAAAATAACCAGAAAACAAATAACAAAATGGCAAGAGAAAGTCCTTACTCATCAGTCATAACATTGAATGTGAATGGACTAAACTCTCCAATCAATAGACACAGAGTGGCTGGAATGGATTAAAAAAATAAGACTGATTGATCTGTTGCCTACAAGTAATGCACTTCATCTATAAAGACACACATAGACTGAAAATACAGGGATGGAAAAAGATATTCCATGCCAATGGAAACCAGAAAAGAGCAGGAATCTCTATACTTATATCAGACAAAATAGATTTCAGGAAAAAAACTATAAGAAGAGAAAAAGAAGGTCACTAAACAATCATAAACAGGTCAATTCAGCAAGAGGATGTAACAGTTTTCATTATATATGCACCCAACACTGGAGTGCCCAGATTTATGAAGCAAATATTAGGGAGTCAAAGAGGGAGACTCCAATACAATAGCTGAAAACTTCAACATCCCACCTACAGCATTGGACAGGTCTTATAGACAGAAATTCAACAAAGAAACATCAGACTTAATCTGCACTATAGAGCAATGGATCTAATGGATGTTTATAGAACATTTCATCCAATGGTTGCAGAATACACATTCTTTTCCTTAGCATGTGGATCATTCTCCAGGATAGACCATATGTTAGGTCACAAAACAAGTCTTAAAACATTAAAAAAACCCCACCAATATTAAACATTTTCTCTGACCACAATAGAGTAAAACCGGTCAGGTGTGGTGGCTCACATCTGCCATCCTAGCACTTTGGGAGGCCAAGGTGGGTGGATCACTTGAGGTCAGGATTTCAAGACCAGCCTTGCCAACATGCTGAAACCCCACCTGCACTAAAAATACAAAAATTAGCCAGGTGTGCTGATGCATGCCTGTAATTCCAGCTACTCGGGAGGCTGAGGCATGAGAATTGTTTGAAACCGGCAGTTGGAGGTTGCGGTGAGCCGAGATTGTGCCACTGCACTACAGCCTGTGTGACAGAGCAATACTCTGTCAAACAAACAAACAAACAACAAACAAAAAAACACAATAGA
Organism: Homo sapiens; assembly: GCF_000001405.40. Lineage (NCBI taxonomy): Eukaryota > Metazoa > Chordata > Mammalia > Primates > Hominidae > Homo > Homo sapiens. The sequence goes on from NC_000014.9 coordinate 37,691,367, forward strand.
ATAAAACTAGAAATCAGTAACAAGAATAATTCTGGAAACTATACACATTGAAATTAAACAATGTGCTTCTGAATGACCAGCAAGTCAATGAAGAAATTAAGAAGGAAATTGAAAAATTTTTTTGAAACAAATGATAATGGAAACATAACATACCAAAACCTGTGGATGCAACAAAAGTAGTACTAAGAGGGAAGTTCATAGCTGTAAGTGCTTACATCAAAAAAGAGGAAAAACTTCAAATGAACAATCTAATGATGGATCTTAAAGAACTAGAAAAGAAAGAGCAAACCAAACCAAAAATTAGTGGAAGCAAAGAATAAAGGTCAGAGCAGAAATAAACTGAACTGAAATGAAGAAAACAATACAAAAGGTCAATGAGATAAGAAAGTTGGTTTTTTGAAAAGCTAAACAAAATTAATAAACCTTTAGCCAGACTAAGAAAAGAAGACAGAAGATCCAAACAAATAAACTCAGAGATGAAAAAGAAGACATAACTACAGAAATTCAGAGGATCATTAGTAGCTACTATGAGCAACTATATGCCAATAAATTGGAAAATTTAGAAGAAATGGACAGATCCCTAGACACATACAATCTACCAAGATTGAACCGGAAGAAATACAAAACCTGAACAGACCCATAACAGGTAACAAGATCAAATCCATAATAAAAAGTCTCCCAGTAAAGAAAAGCCTGGGACCCAATGGCTTCACTGCTGAATTGAAAGCACTAACACCAATTCTACTCAAGCTATTCTGAAAAATAAACTAGAAGGGAATGCTTCCAAACTCATTCTATGAGGCAGGTATTATCCTGATATCAAAAGCAGACAAAGACACACCAAAAAAAAAAAAAAAAAAAAAAAAGAAAAAAAGAAAAAGAAAACTACAGGCCAATATCCCTGATGAATATTGTTGGAAAAATTCTCAACAAAGTATTAGCAAACTGAATTCAACAATGCATTAAAAAGATCATTCATGACAAAGTGGGATAAATCCCACTTTGGGATGCAAGGATGGTTCAACATATGCAAATCAATTAATGTGACACATCCTAGCAACAGAATAAAAGACAAAAACCTTATGATCATTTCAATTGATGCTTAAAAACCATTTGATAAAATTCAACATCCCGTCATGAACAACAAAAAATGTCAAAAACTGGGTATAGAAGGAACATAGCTCAACATAATAAAAACCACATACGGTTTTTACCGGTGTGGTGGCTCACACCTGTAATCTCAGCACTTTGGGAGGCTGAGGCAGGTGGATCACCTGAGGCCAGGAGTTTGAGACAAGCCTGGCCAACACAGAGAAACCCCATCTCCACTAAAAATACAAAAATTAGCCAGATATGGTGGTGCCTTTCTGTAAGCCCAGCTACTTGGGAGGCTGAGGCTGGAGAATTGCTTGAACCTGGGAGGCAGAGGTTGCAGTGAGCTGAGATCACACCACTGCACTCCAGCCTCAGCAACAGAGCAAGACTCCATCTCAAAAATAAATAAATAAATAAATAAATAAATAAATAAATAAATAAATCCCAAAACCACATATGACAGACTCACAGCTAGTATCATACTGAATGGGGAAAACTGAAAGCCTTTCCTCTAAGATCTGAAGCACCTGAAAGATGCCCACTCTCACCACTGTTATTCAACATCATACTGGAAGTTCTAGCTACAGCCATCAGACAACAGGAAGAAATAAAAGGCATCCAAATTGGAAAGGAAGAAGTCAAATTATTCTTGTTTGCAGATGGTATGATCTTATATCTGGAAAAACCAAAAGACTCCACAAAAAACTATGAGAACTGATAAACAAATTTAGTAAAGTTGCAGGACAAAAAGTTGACATGCAAAAATCAGTAGCATTTCTATGCCAACAGTGAACAAACTGAAAAAGAAGTAAAAAGTAGTCCCATTTACAAAATACCTAGGAATTAACCAAAGAAGTGAAGGATCTCTATAATAAAAACTATAAAACACTGATGAAAGCAATTGAAGAGGACCAAAAAATGGAAAGATATTCCATGTTCATGGATTGGAAGAACCAATATTGTTAAAATGTGTATACTATCCAAAGCATTCTACAGATTCAATGCAATCTGTATCAAAATACCAATGACATTCTTCACAGAAATAGAAAAAACAATCCTAAAATTTATATGGAACCAAAAAAGGCCCAGAATAACCAAAACTATCCTAAGCAAACAAAAACAAAAACCATACAAAACAAAACAAACAAACAACGACAACAAAAAACAAACCCCAAACAAATAAAAACAAAAACAAAAAATCTGGAGGAAAATCACATTACCTGACTTCAAATTATACTGCAAAGCTATAGAAACCAAAACAGCATGGTACTGGCATAAAAACAGACACATATACCAATGGAACAGAATACAGTACACACCTACAGTAAACTCATTTTCAACAAAGGTGTCAAGAACATATGCTGGGGAAAAGGGAGCCTCTTCAATAAGTGATGCTGGGAAAATGATATCCATATGCAGAAGAATGAATCTAGACCCCTATGTCTCACCATAGACAAAATCAAATCAAAATTGATTAAATAATTAAATCTAAGACCTCAAACTATAAAACTACCACAAAAACAAACAAACAAACAAACAAACAAACAAACAAACACTGGGGAAACTCTCCAGTACATTGGTTTCAGCAAATATTTCTTGAGCCATACCCCATAAGCACAGGCAACCAAAGCAAAAATGAACAAATGGGTTCATGTCAAGTTAAAAAGCTTTTGCACACCAAAGGATACAATCAGTAAAGTGAAGAGACAACCCACAGAATGGGAAAAATATTAGCAAACTACCCATCTTGCAAGGAATTAATAACCAGGATATATGAGGAGCTCAAACAACTCTGTAGGAAAAAATCTAACAATTTATTTAAAAATATGCAAAAGATTTGAATATACATTTCTCAAAAGAAGACATACAAATGGCAAACAGACATATGAAAAGTGCTCAAAACTACAATGAGATATTATCCCAGCCCAGTTAAAATGGCTTATATCCAAAAGACAGGCAATAACAAATGCTGGCAGGGATGTGGAGAAAAGGGAAGCCTCATACATTGTTGATGGGAATGTAAATTAGTACAACCACTATGGCGAACAGGTTGGAGGTTCCTCAAAAAACTAAAAATAGAACTACCATATGATACAGCAATCCCGCTGCTGGGTACATACCCCAAAGAAAGGAAATCAGTATGTCAAAGGGATATCTGCACTTCCATGTTTGTTGCAGCACTGGTCACACAACAGCCAAGATTTGAAAGCAACCTAAGTGTCCGTCAACAGAAGAATGGATAAAGAAAATGTGGTACATACACACGATGGAATACTATTCAGCCATGAAAAAGAATGAGGCTGGGCACAGTGGTTCATTCCTGTAATCCCAATACTTTGGGAGGCCTAGCCGTGTAGATTGCTTGAGCTCAGGAGTTTGAGACCAGACTGGAAAACATGGCAAAACTCCATCACTACAAAAATACAAAAATTAGCCAGGCTTGATGGTGCATGCCTGTAGCCCCAGTTACTTGGGATGCTGAGGTAAGAGGATCAGTGGAGCCCAAGAGGTTGAGGCTGCAGTGCATTGTGATCATTCCGCTGCACTCCAGCCTGGGCTACAGATTGAGGCCCTGTCTCAAAAAAAAAAAAAAAAAAAAAAAAGACAGATTCAGTCATTTGCAACAACATGGAAGGAACTGGAGATCATTATGTTAAGTGAAATAATCCAGGCACAGAAAGACAAACATCACAGATTCTCACTTATTTGTGGGATCTAAAAATCAAAACAATTGAACCCATGGAGATAGAGAGTATAAGGATGGTTACCAGAGGCTGGGAAGAGAGGCTTGATGGGTGTGAAGTGGGGGTGGTTAATGGGTACAAAAGATAGAATTAATGAATAAGGCAAAATACTTGATAGCACAACAGGGTGACTATAGTCAGTAATTATTTATTTATTTATTTATTTGAGATGGAATTTCACTCTTGTTGCCCAGGCTAGAATGCAATGGCACAATCTTGGCTCACCGCAACCTATGCCTCCCAGGTTTGAATGATTCTCCTGCCTCAGTCTCCTGAGTAGCTGGGATTACAGGCATGCACCACCACGCCTAGCTAATTTTGTAGTTTTAGTAGAGATGGGTTTCTCCATGTTGGTCAGACTGGTCTTGAACTCCCGACCTCAGGTGATCTGCCCGCCTTGGCCTCCCAAAGTGCTGGGATTATAGGTGTGAGCCACTGCACCCGGCCAGTCAGTAATAATTTAACTGTATATTTAAAAATAACTGAAAGAGTATAATTGGATTGTTTGTAACACAAAGGAAAAATGCTCAAGGGAATGGATACTCCATTTTCCATGATGTAATTATTATGCATTACATGCCTGTATGAAAACACTTCATGTACCCCATGAATATATATACCTTCTATGTACCCACAAAAATTAAGAATTAAAAAAAGATTTGATTAGTCAGATCTCAGATGAAATTTAATTAGGATAGCCTTAGGATCCACAAAGTAAGTGCATAGATATGGGATGACGAGATTTAGTAGCAAATGTGAAAAACTTCAGTGTTTTTCCTGGAAATACCATACAGGAAATTCAGATTACCAAGATGGTTAGGTGGAATGCTCTGTATTCATTGAACTTTCTTTATTCTTCATTACTTCATCACCCAAGAAGTTGCAATAGCTCCTTCTTTACTACTGTATCAAACCTAAACCCTACCTAACATAAAAAAATTAACTTCCTTTTATCTGGCTACCTTCTACTTATTCAACCATAGCTTTTCCCAAGGAGGGCCTCCCTGATTTCTTCCTTAAATCTAATCTCAAAAAAATATAGAGAAACCCACAGAGAAAATATCTTTACATGAGTGATTACCATGAATTCTGCATAAGTTTATTCTGATAAACTGATCAAAACAAAAATATAAAGCACTAAAGTTTTTTTTAGCTTGTGGTTGTAACCAGCAGTCATGCCAAACTTTAAGGAAATAAGGGCAAGTTTTATTACAAATACCAATAAAGAAGAGTGCACTTATGGAGGGAAAATATATTTATTCTTCAATAATTTTAAGGTAATAAAAATGTTGTAAATAAACATGATACTAATATTTTTATTGTTATATAGGTATATATGTAAAATTTAGGAATGGATTTAGAGGAAACTATCAATTTACTTTTAGCATTCTGTTATAACATATACATAGAAATCTGGAGTTTAAATATTAGGTGACTCGCTAAATATGAGAGAAAGATCTAACTCTCATGTTACATCTTCTCTTAACAGCACACTTTATATTTTCTTAAAGGCAAAATCACCAGAATTCTTGCAAATCGAAGGAAAAGAAATTAAGCGAATGCGGAAACGTAAATCACTGAGACCAAGAAAGTCTTCAAAACCTCTTTGTGATAAAAAACTACATAAAAAGTAATTTTCTTAAATTTATAATTTTTCTATTGGGAGAGGAGTTATTCAGTAGCATAGAGACATGAAAATACATTTTTAAAAAAGAAAACTAAATGTTTTAGAAATTCATATATGAGACCTAAGTTAAACCTTCTCACAGGAAAAGTTGGTGGCAGATTTTACAGTTAGTGCTATACTTTATGCTTTTTTCTTTTTCTGTTTTTGACAAATGTACTTACTTTCATGATGTAACAATAGCTGGAAAAAATAACTGTTTGTGAGACTGAAGAAAATTAAATGTTAGCATGTTAGATTTGATATTTTTGGTCATTGTAATGCCTGATTTGGATCAATTGCTTATTATATTGGTTAATTTTTTTATGATAAAATAAAAAACAAGCCAACACAAAATGTGCATAAGCCATCTGCTTGGTAATTTAGATGGCATTATTTTTCTCTACCATTAATATCATGCTTCATCCTCACATCCATAATTTTAATGGAGTTTCTCGTTACACAGGAATACAACCACAATTTTAAATAATAGTGTGGAAATGCAATTTAGATTATGATTTACATTTTGCTAGTCACCTTGTTGAAACTCTGATTTTCTCCTTATTTCACCACTAAGTTTTTATGGGTTAGTTTCTTCTAGATTCTTCTTCATTTAACTCTTAATGGGGGTTTGAAGAAGCTTTAATTATTAGCTTTTGTTGTTGCTTAGGGAACTAACTGAAAGGTATGCTGGACATGGAAGACAGCCTTTTTATGGCCAGCTCAAACTTTGTAAATGGATATTACTCACAATTTAGTAGCTGAGAATAGACTCATGGGAAAAGAATTCCAAAGTTTATGAAACAGTCAAATTGGCATTTAAGTGACCCTGTACATACCATTGCTTATCTGCATTGCTTTAAGCTCATTTAGTTAGCAAGATTATGTATTAAAACAAATAGTCACAGCAGACAACAAGTATTTTACCTTCAATAAATAGTTACTGTCAGATTATCAATGAAGCAGAAACTTCTTGATTTTTTTTTCTAAAAAACCTTGCATTTAGTGCATTAAGCAGAGTAGTATGGCCACACACAGAGTCAGAGTCTTTTCTTTTTTATGTCTTAGTGTTTCAAAGAATGACAAATAGTCCTGTTTAAGAAGAGTGTGCTATAAAAACACACAGCCTTTCCTGAGCATGCCAAAAATATTTGTAGATCTTGTTGATATATATATATTACTGCTTTAATTCATTAAAACAAAAATTAGAAATTTTCATTAGTGAGAAATAGAATGAGATGCAGAGGAATAAAAGTCTGATTTTTTAAAAATTATATAATAAAAGAGAATCTTAGGAAAATGTTTCTGAAAGTCTTTTATTTACTGTTCCTTTTTCTTTAATCAATTTTCAACCTAAATTTTCTCACTAGCCCTCAAATTAAATTGTATTCTTGGGAATTCAAACATCTATTGCAGCATATTGTTATTTAGGTAAATAACCAAGGGAAATTTATTTGCTTAATGTTAGTAGACTATAATGGGTGCATGGGAATTCAGATTGGTTGTGATGCTTTTTAAAGAAAATATAAAAATCAGTAATGTAATCTCAAACACATTCCACTAGCCAGGACCTGTCTCAGGTAGAATGATGGTGTAGGTGAGCTTGACATCAGAGCACACCTTTTTTTTCCCCTCTATTTTAAAAGCCCTTTGTTAGGAGCCCAGAGTACCTGGGAGTCCTGGCTTTCTGGACACCCCCTTTCACTCCTCCAGTTAGGCCTGTTTGTCTCAGGCATTTCTAAATGTTTAGACTTACCTCTCTTTTCCTCTTTCACATGAACACATTTCATATCCTATTTTTGTTAGGCCCTATGCTCTTTTGGAAATGCCATAGACCACTCTCTATTAATGATTCAATAGTGTCCATATGGGGCCTGGCAATGGGTCAGGTGCTGTGTAGTACAAAATAATAGTAACAACCTTAAAAATAAACCATTTCTTGAGATATTTCTGCAGGCTGGGAATTACACATCTTCTATTTTTATCAGTTCTTATAAAGGCAAGGGTTAGGGATTTTTATCCTCATTTATCAGAAGACTTTTAAAGAAGTCAGTAATACAGTTGGCAAGTGTTAGAACCAAGATCCTGATCCAGGCCCAGCCAACTCCAAAGTCTATATTCTTTACACCATGCTAATCTCTGAATCAGTGCCAGCCATATTGAGTGGTCAGTGGACAGACCAGCATTAACCCTCTAGATAAAGGTTAAAATGGGTGACACAAGAGTAGAGCAACTTACAAAAAGAGACAGTTTGTAAAAAAGAAAAAAAGATAAACTTGGCAGAGAAGTCTGTCCTTGAGGTCTTGTTTGAAGAATATTTAGACATGGACAAAAGAGTAGACAGCACTGTATCCATAACTGAAGGGACTGACAGATGTAGCCCTATGATTTGTCCTGGAAACTGATGAGAATAGCTAACTTCTGCCATGTGAGAGACACTGTTCTAAATGCATTCACTCTTCTTTCTTAAAGCAACTGTATCCAGGACAAAGTATAAAGAAATTAATTGACTTGCTTATGACCAAGTGAGAATTGTAAACAGTGTTTGAACCCAGGCAGTCTGACTCCAGAGTCTGTACTCTTAATCACTATGCTAGAAGTAAGTCCAAAGTCTAGGAGCCTTGAAACATAGAGAAAGGAAGTTAGCCAAATGCAGTAAGCAACAACCAATCAATTTGCTGGGTAAGGGAGCACTTAAAGGAGATCAATCTGGTAGAATTTTGCAGAGGGGAATAGACAGAGGCTGCCGTGCTCAACCCAACTGGTGAACGACTGCCTGCGCAGGCTGAGGTGATGAAGGGTATGCTGGCAGTGAGGATGGAGAAGGAACACACCTGAGCAACCCTGTGCGGGGGAGAAACTCAGTTTTGCATTGGATGTGCAGGTGAAAGAGAGAGGGGTCAAAGATGTTTTCTATCTTCAAAAGGAGGAATCTAGTTGAGGTAGTGATATTAGAGGTAAGATTTGGGAGCTCTCAGCACAGAGGTAATAGCTGAAACACTAAAGATGATTTTTCCAATGTACAAAGAGAAGTTCAAACCTCAGAAGCCACACCCAGTTTGGAAACTGGAGAAGGAAAACCAATGGCTAAGTCATATTATGATGAATTTGAGAGGTAGATGGAAATCTGGGATATTGCAGCTTTAAAGGCCCATGAAGGAAGAGCAATTTCAACAAGTTATTCATATTCTCAGCTGTGTTTTGGGGGTCAGAAGAGAACATGACCTAAAGATCTAAAGCTGATTGGATTGGATTTGATTTGATGAAAAGAAGGTCATTTGGTTGTATAAGCTTTAGTAGGAAGGTAGGGATGGAGTACTTCTGGAGAAGGGCCACTTCCACCCAGAAGTCACTAATAGGCAAGAAATGTGGCCAATAGCCAGTAATGTTGTGTTTGGATGCCAGGGCTTACCCACTAATTTTGTGACCTACCCAAAATAAGGATAATTATACCTCCAATACAGCTTCGTTGTGGGAATTAGAGAAAATGTGTGTAGAGGACCTAGCACAGAATCTGGCATATAGTAGGTGCTCAATAATTATTTGTTGATTGGATTACAGGTGGCACTGGGGATTAAGAAAGGAGATTTTTGGCTAGGCGCAGTGGCTCACGCCTGTAATCCCAGCACTTTGGGAGGCCAAGGCAGGCAGATTACTTGAGGTCAGGAGTCTGAGACCAGCCTTGCCAACATTGGGAAACCCCATCTCTACTAAAACCACAAACATTAGCTGGGCGTGGTGGTACGGGCCTGTAGTCCCAGCTACTCAGGAGGCTGAGGCAGGAGAATCACTTGAACCTGGGAGGCGGCGGTTGCAGTGAGCCAAGATTGTGCTACTGCATCCCAGCCTGAGACTGGGTGACAGAGTGAGACTCCATCTCACAAAAAAAAAAAAAAAAAAAAAAAAGCAGATTTTCATGTCATCCTCTCTACTTAGGAAAGACAGAAGAGAGATACAAGTCCAAGCAGAGTGGGAAAGGAGATGCCACACTGACTCAGAGAAACCCAGAGTTCTATCAATGCTAGTTAATGGATAATGCCCTACCTATATTGTTCCACTTCTTTAGGGACATTAGCATTTGACCAGAGTAGCAAAGGAGTAATACATGATGGCTGGATATGGTGTCCACAGACTGAGTTTCAGAATTCAGGAGAGAAGAGGTTGGGGTGGGATGATAAAGAGTTTGTTTTTAGACTTGTTGATCCTGAGATGCCTGTAGACTGTTGTCTGTAGAGGTGTAGGTTGAGCTATTCAGCAGGCAGTTGGATACAAGTTTAAAGCTCTGGACAATGGCCTGAGATTGTGATATTAAATTTGTTATATACCATTATTATAGTTTTAAATCAGATCTCCTCCATTTATGTATGTCTTTAGAACCTGAACTAAATTGTCAGTATAAATGTACTTTATATCTAAAGTCCACAAAATGATGAAAGGAGCTCACTTTCTTTTCTCTGTTGCAGAATTCCACAAGACTACTCCATGCCGCACCTTCATGATCTGTGCACCACCATCCCAGCCCAGGAGCTGCCTGTTGACTTGCGCCTGGCTTCTCGAGTGTATCACACTGCTAACAGGAAAGGCCACGATACCCTGCTTGGAAAATTTGGAACCTCTTTCTTAGATGATCGCTTTACAGATGAAGAACAAACAGATAGGTAAGAGTTCCACTGGTAATTTGATTTTAAGCTAAATGTAAACTGTCATATAAATCCTGCCTTTTGAGTTCTAGATTTTAAAGACTTGATTCTGTTCTTGGACACTAAAGAGGAGGGAGCAGTTTTTGTTTTTTTCTGCTGCTTCCTCAGGTATACAGTCTAGGTCTGTGTCTCCATTTCCTGACAATATTAACATGAACCCATTCCCAATTGTAAGGTAACTTTAGTATTCCCAGAGTGTTACATACATGATCTCATTTGTTTGTCATCACAGCTCTGGAGTACAGATGTGGAAATTGAGAGTAATAAAATTTAAGCAATTAGCTACACATAGACAATTTAAAAAATCACAGATTTGACACTTGGACCCAGTCTTTTGAACTAGATTTCACCATCATTGGGTATACTTGGGTCCAGGGATCACATACAAAAGTCATTGCTCTTGGAGTTTGTTCTCCTTCTCCTTGGGTCTCACCTTCCTTTGGAATCTGCATATTCTTTTGTGGAGAGTATATAATTTATAGCATCCTCAAAAGAAAGGAGAAAAGGGAAGGAACCTAATGTTTATGCAGCAGTAACTATATTCCGAGCAACTGTGCTGTGTGCTTTGCATATGTTTCCTATTTAAATCTTCAACTGTAAGGGAGAAGTTGTAATTTCCATTTTATTCATGAAGAAATTTAGGGTTCGTGATACCAGGTTACTTGCTGAAGTTCTTATCTCTTGATAGTGATAGAATCCAGGTTTGTCTAACTCAGTTTTTCTCAGCCTTTTCATTATCACCCACTTAAAGAGAATTTTAAGGCTTTTTTTCTTCTAATCGCCCCTCCTGATTAAATTTTAATATGCCAGATATACTGTATATCTGTTTATATACTATATGAATGTATGTGCTTTATAAATAAAAAGAGCAAACTTTAATCACACTGTGCTCCCCCGACCCAAAGCACCAATTTTTACCTCCTGGGAGGGATATCACCTGCCCATTGAGAATGCTTGCTCTACAGTCTCTCGCCTTTCAGAAGCCATGGTAAAAATACTGAAAAATGTACTGCATGTTTTAAGACAATTACAAATGTTAAATATTAAGTTAAATGGAAACTTTTTTAGTATTATAATTTAACTATCCTAGGTATATGAGAATACTATTCTAAAAGATCACTTTTAATGACACTATCACAAGATTATTAGTACCCATACTTTTCATGGTATATTTTGAATGCATTTTCTCAAACTTGACTTCTAGTAAAAATTGCAATGCTAGTGCATCCTTTCATGAATTAAAAATTACCTGGTTTCCCAGTGATTAGCAATCACAATTGGTTTCTATTTGAATCCCTAAAAGAAGGTCATTTTTATGTTTGTTTTCTATGTAGGCAAAAAAAAATTTTTAGGATTTGTCAGTCATAATTTTATACATCTGAAGTCTTTTAGTTTTGCTTTATCAAATTAAATTTTTGAAAAAAATTGTATATGAAGAATTTTTGAAATTTCAGAACTGCTCCAGTGTCTCCAATAGAAAATAGCAGTTCAGCATGACATTCTTTGGAATATATGTTAAAGCCTAAAGCTAGGAGTAGAAAATAAATACATAAACATAATCTAGTAGGCATGAAACTCTGCTATTTTGAGTCATTCCCATTAGCACTACACAAGCCAAGCATCATTTGGAGGACTTACAGCTATAATTATTCACGCAAAGTGTTAGAAATGCTAGTTTCTTTTGAATTCTGAAAATATTTTTCTTCAAGTAGACCTCACTTTCTTTTTCCAAGAGTCAATAAATGTTCTATTTGATGAGGATAATTCTTGGCAATTTGTTCCTAAGTACCAAATAAGAAGTTAATTTAAGTACTGAATATTTAATTCTCCAGCATCTATCTCTTGAGGATTACCTTGCTAAACATAGCTTAACCTTTTCAAAATATATCTGTCTGCTGAGCCTACAAGTTCGGAGAAATGTATAATTTTTTTCTGCACTACCAAGCGTTCTCAAGAAAGGTAACTGTAAACAAAATGAATACCTTTTCATTTGATGGCTTTTTGCATTTTTTTGTGCAATGATCAGTTAACTTCAAAGGTAGTAATAGTTGTGGTTGTGTAGTTTTAATGTTTCCCAATTTTGTTAATCATTATTTATGGCAAACACCAAGAATATTTTAATGGAATTGGAAGGGTATATACTTAAGTTTATTTGAACAGCGGTGTAGTGTTCAAACTTACGCTTATTTTGCTAAACAGTAATTATGATGAGAACTATACAAATATCTTGTATTGGCCTTATTTTTGCTTTAAAAATGATTTGTATATTATAGAGAGAAGTTTGTAGACATTTAGTTCAAATTTTTGGTATGAAATTTTATATTTCAGGCTTTAAAGTAGGCAAAATGATTAAAGGTATTTAAAGACTTAGATTAATGTTAACAACTTGGTGAATAGCCTTTCGGACATCTCTTGTATATGTATGTGTTTAAACCACCCATGACATTCTATAGCCTGAGTTTCTTCATTCAAGATTGTTTGTGAACATTTAAATTATTTCATGATATTTACTACTTTATACAAAAATTTTTTAATAGAGACAGGGTCTTGCTCTGTTTCCTAGGCTGGTGCGCAATGGCATAATAATAGCTTACTGTAACCTTGAACTCCTGGGCTCCTCCCACTTCAGCCTCCTGAGTAGCACTAGGCTAATTATTATATTTTTTTGTAGACATAGAGTCTCACTATGTTGACCAGGCTGGTCTCGAACTCCTAGCCTTAAGTGATCCTCCTGCACCAGCCTCCTAAAATAATAGGATTACAGATGTGATCCACTGTGCCTGGCCAGATAGTTACTATTATAACCAAGCTATGGTGACACTATTTATGCCAATTTATGACACTGTTCTTTTCCTTACACCCTTGTCAAACTATGATTGTTACTCTTTTTGAATTTTTTCTAATCTTTTATTATTTTTATCCATTTCTTGTAAGGTTGCACATATTTTTAGATGTCTCTTGGTTATGTGCTTTTTTCCTTTTGAGAATTACCAGATCTGGAGTTGTCATTTATCTCTTTTGTATTGTTTTGTAAATGATCTTTTTATATTAAAATTTTAGTTATTTGCCGTATATATTATAGATATATTTTCAATTTGTTGTCTGCTTTTCAGTTTTGTTTATGGTGTTTTATGCTATCAGAAATTTTTTAATGTAGCAATTTTTTTTGTGTGTTCTAGTCTTGATGCTAATCTTAGAAAGGGTGTTTATACGTTTACATTTTAATGTATTCTCTCATATTTTCTTCTAGTAACTTTGTGGTTTCCTTTGGAAAAAATTAAATATTTAATCCATTTGTAATTTATTTTGATAAGAAGAACATATTTTAAAATATAATTTATTCAATGAATCTTCTTTTCCTTACTGATTTGAAATGCTAACTTTCAAATACCTTAAATTCCAACATGTTATTGAGTCTATTTATGGATTTCTGTTCCATTTCACTGATTTGTCTATCTAAAACTGCTTGTGTATTTCCTTGATTCACAATCAATACAGAGTTGGTGGCAAAAATGCTGTCCTACAAACATTGGCTGACCTTCTCAAATCAGGCACCCCTTATAGACAGCTCCTGCGCAGTGAGCAATGCCAGGCTATGAATCCCAGACTTAACCCTCTAGTTGGCTTCAAATTAAAAAGGAAATTCCTAGTCAATTTTTGGAAAATATGTGGACAGATCATTAGCTTTATACATTAGAACAGCAGCAACAATGGAAAAACCAAAGGTTAAGTGTCAAAATTCAATGTTTAATTTCATTTTTGATTATTTTTTTACAAAAAACAATAAAAATATTTTAACAAATATGCAAAAACATGCAAGAAAATGCGAAAATGAAAAACAATTACTCAAAATCTTGCCATTTATAGATAACACTGTTAACATTCTTAAATATGGGATTCCAGACTTTTCCTTTTGCAAATAAATCATATAGAACAAAACTAGAATAATACTATATGTATAATGTTTTGTAACCTAACTTTTAAAAACTTATGTGTAAACATCTTTCCATGTCAATAAATATTGATCCGAGTAATCAAATGATATGCTTAACTCTGTGGTAGGCATAGAGGTAGGCACTAGAGAGGCATCTGCAAACAGGAGAGACATAATCACTGCCCTCAGGGAACCTGGAGACCAGTGAAAAGAAGGGTGAATTAATTACTGTGAATGCGACAATTAATATAGAGTTGTGCAGAGTGCTATGTGGAAACATGTAAGAGGAGTCCCTGATTATTTGGGGAGGTTTGAGGATTGATACCTAAATTGAAACCTGAAAGATGGATAGAAGATAGGAAGGAGGAGGGGAAAGAATGTTTTAGATCTTTGGTACTCAAAGTATAGTCCGCAGACTAGCGGCATCACCATCACCTGGGAACTTGTTAGAAATGCAGGAAATTTGTATACAGTTTGAAGTTTGAGTTCATGCTGTGGGCAATTGGAATCCATCTGATAACTGGAAGTAAGTCCAGTATTAGAGAACAGGAAGAGCAGTGATACATTTGAAGCTAGAGCTGAGGCAGGATTTTATGGTTACCCCGTATGTATGTGTGAGGGCACGTGTGAGTGCTTGGGGGAGGGATTCTTAGTCACAGTGAATTGGGAAAGCATTGATAGGTTTTCTGAGGAAGAATGACATGATCAGGTTTGCTTTAAGATATCACAGTCCTTGTCTTCTCAGTTGTGTTTGACACAGTTGATCACTTACTTTTCCAGAAGTCACCTTTATCCCTGGCCTTAGGGACCACTCCTTTCTTGGCTATCTTCCTGCTTCCCTGGGGATGGCTTCTCAGTCCCTCCTCCTGGTGTCTCCTCATCTCTTGACTTCTCAACATTGGAGTGCCCAGGCTTACCAAGGTGATCTTATCCAGGACCATGGCTTTAAATGCCATTTATATGCTGATGACTATCAATTGGTAAGAGAAATGCACAAGGATGTTCATCATATCACTTTTTATAATAACTAAAAACTGGAAACAACCTAAGTGTCTATCATGGAAGAATTTTAATTATGCATTCAATAATGAGATGCATTGCAACCATAATAAAGAATGAGGTAGAATTTTGTATTCTGAAAGGGTTAGAACTAAATTCAGAAACAACATGTGTATTATATAAAACAATTTTTTCTGCGTGTGTGGGAGAAAATTCAAGAAACTGTTAATTGTGATCCTTTTGTTTTCATTGTACACTTAACCCATAAAAGTGAAAACCACTTTGTTTTATTTTTTGCTTTATTTATATGGCATATATTTCCATTTTCATTTTAGTCTGTCTTAGTTGTGTCCCTTGTAGATTGCATAGACTTAAATATTTTTTGAGCTTATCAGAATTTTTTTTCTGATAGGTTTTTTTCTAATAGGTTGGGTCACCCCATATTCATTTATTGTCCTATCAGATGTACTTGGTATTATTTTTGTCATTTTATATTCTCTTTTTCCTTTTTTGCTTCTTTGCTATTTCCTATAATCTGTTTTGTCTGTCAGCATTTGCCTATGTGTTTTTTGTTTGTATCATTATCTGATATCTAATCTTGTGATACAGAAATCTGAAACCAACCTGTTTTTCATTTATTTGCATGTAATATTTTTCTCCTACTCATCTTGATGCTTACAGAATTTTATGTTTTGCTTTAAAATGAACAATTTCCCTAGCGTATGTTTGAGAGTGGATTGCTTTCTAATTAATTTTTGGGGGTACATGGAAAGCTCTTCTTATATGCAAATATAGTACACTATATTTCAGTATAAGACTTTTTTGTTTTATGTTGAGTAATGTTTCTATTCTACTTATTTTGTGCATTTCTTCAGGAATATCAATTAGCTGTATGTTGGATTTTCACTATCTTTCCTCTATATTTATCATTGTTTTGCTTAGATTTATCTCTTAAACCTCTGTACTTCAGTGGTTTCATTTTCTGTGGTATAAATTTTAAAAAGTCCTTCTAATTTTCATTGTGAGACTGCTATGGCATTTACAGATTTTTTTCTAAATTCTATCAGTCTCTTAAGACAATCGCTTTTGTTTATCTGAATTTTATTACCTCAAGAACACAAAGCAGAATCTTTCTAAAATATTTTTGTTTCCTATAATAAATCTTTCTCAAAAGGATGTTCTTCCTGTCACTTTTTGAATGCTATATTTCATTTTTGTAGTTTGGAGACTGTCTTCACAGAAATCATTTTGGGTTTTTCTGTGTACTCAACTTTGAATGAAGACAAGTTATTTCTGGCTACCCAAAGTTAATATTGGATAGATTTACCAAACATTTTTGACTGTTTATCTTGGAGGTATTAGAATAGTACTTTTAGATCTTAAGTAGGAGAACCAGAGATGCAGGTTTATGTTAGCAGTTGAGTCACTCAGAATCCTGAAAGGCATTGGGGGTGGGATGGGACAAGATCTGAAAAATTTGCCTCTATAGTTTCTCTCTGTGATCGTTAAAAATATTGTAATAAGGGTGACCTTTTCCTATCGGGTTTTCTATATGGTAGATTACTATAAGCTTTTCTTCTGTGCATACACATATATTATGTATACATACATTTTATGAAAATGACATTATAGATGTTATTTTGATAACATATTTCTTTGAGGATATATATCTATATATATAAATACAAATGTAGAGACACATATATGAGTAATTATTTTGACTTACTGTCTCTACTAATGATAGCTTACAAATCAAATGTATAAGGAGTGCTTTTATTTGAAAGATTTTATCCAAATCCTTCAAATAAGGTAGTAATATTGTTAAGAAAATGGAAAATTATCTAACAGAAAAATGCATTGAAGTACACTACATTTATTATATAATTTTGTATTAATAACAACTCTATGTAGTAGATAAAATCATTTTATTTCCCAAATAAAAAATACAGCGTAATGATTGACTAATCCATGTTTATGTAGCTAGTAACGGCTGGGATTCAAGCCCAGGTCTTTATAATTTTAAATGTGGCTTTTATTATATTCTACTGCTTTGTGTATTTGTGAAAGGCCATTTTATTTTTTCTCTTTATGCTTAATTCTGTATACTCGCTCTCATTCTGTTTTTAGGACCAATTTGACCTAATCTAGGAAGAATGTGAAGAGGCTTAGTTGGATAATCTGTGTGAAGCATATTTTACTTGCCCTTGGTGGTTTGTATTTGACCAATTGTGAACCAATTTTGGAAGCAGGGCTTCTGCTTATTCAGGATGAGGATTTTTATCTTACTATTGCTTGTTCCCTCCTAGGAACTGAAAATCCTGTTTTGATTCTAGGCCAAGGATGTGGCCTTGGTCATTGTGGGAGACTTCTCTGTTGTTAATTACTGAAAGCTTTGCAGTCTCTGAATATTGCCTGGTTTTATACTTCCTATCACTGGTTGCCCCCCACCCAAATGTGCCATCATCTCATGCTAGACCTTTCTAATTACAGTACACCCAGGACCTGTGGTCTGTTACACTTCATTTGTAATACTCTGTTCTGTCTCATATGCTTTTTATTTCCTACCAGTGTAGGTATCTGCGACTGACCTTCCCCTACCATCTGCCATTTCTCAATGATCAGGTCTAATCCTGGCCCCACCCCTACCCCTTACATGGCCTTGTTCTTGCTGCATAATCCAAGCAGTGACCTAAGAACGTAAGAATCACTGTGTGAGTTGGTGATACATGTCACAGAAGTACATTGAACAGAGTTGTAAGAGATCTTAGTAGTTCCCTAGCCTAAGCCTCTCATATTATGTATGAGGAGACTGAGGCAAAGCTTTGCACTCTGTATCACAGTGGGTGGCAGAGATAGAACTGGAATTAATAGTAACCTCATTTTAAATTTCTGTTATATCCACTTTGAACAAATAGCCCCATCAGTATGACAGTTTGGTATGACAAAAAATCATTTCAGTATGCACTATCAATGTCTGTTAAGAGTTTACCCTTGTGTATTTCTGTTTTTACTTGGAAATACCCAAAAAGGAATTATTTGAAAATTTGTCTGTTACCATAACTGCCAATATGTGAAAGCTGGATTTTTAAAAAAGTAAAGCAGTATCATTCCACCAGATGTCACTGTTTGCATGTAGCAATGAAGTTACGATGATTACAAATACAATTTTCCCCTTCCCAATCATGTTTTGTAAAAAAAAAAAAAAAAAAAAAAATTATATAGTTATACACTTACTCTTCTATAGACTGATTTTATCAAGACTGTATTTTCTGATCTTTTTAAAACATACATAATATTCATATGCCTCTGCTGCAGATTTCAAAGAAAAAAATTATAAAGGACTAAAGAAAGCTATTTGTAGATTAATATTTTCAAGAAGATGAAAACCTAAAGCTTTTTCCAGACCTTGGCATCTGCTTTTTAAACAACATTCTCTGTAAGTTAATGTTTTTCAAATTGTGGATTGCGACCCAGTGAGTGGGTTGTGAAATCAGTTTAGCGATTTGCTATGAGCACTTTAAAAAATGGTATCTAGAATAGAACCATTGCATGTGAGATTGACTTTGATGAAACTTTTGTATGTGAGCACTCTTCAAATTTCCCTGTATACATCTTCTATGGGTTACCTAAGAGTGACTGTGAGCAACATCCTGTGAAGCCTCTCTCAGGCTTTTGTATACCAAAGAGCAAGATAAATTTGTTAAGGAAGAGATAGTGAAGCTGTGATGGAGAACCTCTCTGTTGGGGTCATACCAAGGTAGGGGAAGATTGTTGGAGGGAGATCCCTTCTCCATGCTTCACAAGATGTAGCTCACAGTCACCTTTATGTAACTCATAGAAGATGTGTGCAGAGATTTTTTCAGAGTACTCACAGCTTAGAACAAATGTTTTCCAAACTTCTTTAACAGCATCATACAATCACAAATATATTTCTCTCTCTGGCCTCATGGGAGACCAATATTGACCCAAAAGGAGGTTCAACTTTCACTCTGAGAGAGGTGGGCTTGTTTCCTTCATTCAACTCCCTCAATGATCATAAACAATAATGGTTGTAATATCAATCACTTTCTTAGCATATTCTGTGTACAAGCCTCTTCACATACATGATTTCTAAGACATTTGACTCTGAAAAACTCAATCACTGTTGCCATTTGTAAATGAGGAAACAGACTGAAGAGGAAACATAGCACAGTGAGGGGCCCAAATTCTGTTTTTTAACCTCATTCCAAAGGCTCACTCTTTCCACTATATCAGTGATTTTTAGTCTTCCTTGAGGATAAGAGTCATCTGGGTTGTTTCATAAGTGTATCAATTCCCAGGATCTATCGCAAACCTACTGAATTAGAATCTTCAGAGAAGGGGTCTGGGAAGGTGTAGATTTGATTTCATCCCAGGATATTCTTATGATTAGGCTGTTTTAGGAAAGATTGAGTACCTTAGTGGTTTTCCATCTTCAGAGTGCACAGAATCACCTTCAGGGCTGGCTATAACACAGATAGCTAGGCCTCAGCTCCTGAGTTTCTGACTCATTAGGTCTGTGTTGGGGCTCAATAACTTACATTCCTAACAAGTTGTTATATGATACTAATGATGCTCGATAGGGAATACACTTTGAGAACTACCCAGCATCTCCTGCCTTACCAATGATTCTGCTTCCCAGGGCAGAGTCTGGGGCTGGCTTTGGCTGTGAGACTTTTCTTACTCAGCCAAAATTCAACAATATTTATTTAGTACCTACTCCATTCAAATTTTTGGGAGACAGAAAATGAGTAAGTCTCACTTTTTCTCCCAAACAAGCCTATGCTCTACTGTGAAAAAGGCATACGGAATAGAATGCAGTATATTGTGTAATGAAAGAGCAGATCAAATGCAACAGGGAAACCAGGGAGTCAGACATGAATCTGGGCTGGGTAGAGGAGGATTTGTAAAGGTCTCGTGGAGGAATTGAGATCTGAAGGTCTTGCTCTCATCATTCTCCATTTCCATAGCCACTCATTACTATAATGGCCTGTTGATTTTGCCTGTTTCCCCTATTGCTCCTGGAGTAATCCCAGCACATAAGGCATTTTTTTTGCATTGCAAATGTAGCTTGGGTGGAAGGTTGGGGGAAGGAAGCAGAGTTGGCAAAGCAGATGGTGCCCAGACTGTGAAAGACCCTTACTGCCAGGGTCAGGAGCTTGGGTTGTATATACTGTGTGTGTAGTCAGTGAGATGTTTGCAGAGGGGGTGACTGATAACAACAGTTGCAGGGATATGTGGCTTGGATTGAAGGAGGGAGGGTCTGGAGGTAAGGGACCAGCAAAGATGATATCACAGGACTCAGTTGAGAGAAGATACAGTGAACAGGAGAGACATCATGGAGGGAGAATGAACAGAAATAGTCATTACTGTTGGGAGTGAGGAAGAGATTGGTGATGAAGAGATTTTCAGTCTGAACCACTGAGATAGTGGTGTTTTTCAAAGAGAACTCTAGAAAGGGTTCGTTCTTTTCTCTGGACAAAAAGAAGGAAGCAGGGAAAATCCGGATAAAAATTTCCAGGTAAGTGCTTCATCTTTGTCATACAGGAGCATAAAGGCTAACCTTAGGTATGCCTTTCCACCAAGGCCCCCATTCATGTCTACCAGAGCTATGCACTTTAGAATGTCCGATGACCTTCACTTTCTTCCAACCAATCCATATTTCTGTTTATTTAGCGTGTTTTTGGAATGTGAAAGAGCAAAAGACAATAAGTTGTAAATGACTTTTACTATCCTGTTTCTGGCATAGAGCCAGAGAAAAGTAGAGCAGTGCTTCTAGATAACTTCTTAGTCACTGCTCTCCTCATCACCATCTCCCTCTCCTCCCAACCTATCTTAGAAATACTTATTGATCCTGATGTCTGTATTCACTTGGCTCATTTTCTTAGTCCCTAGACCTTCCCCTGTTCTTTTGTTTTCCTGGATACACTGGAATTCAGCTTCGGAAAACAGAAACATCTTGTATTTGTCTGTTCATATGCTGCTAATCAAGACAGACCCAAGACTGGGTAATTTATAAAAGAAGGAGGCTTAATTGACTCACAGTTCTGCAGGGCTGATGAGGCCTCAGGAAACTTACAATCATGGTGGAAGGAGAAGCAAACATGTCCTTCTTCACATGGTGGCAGCAAGGAGAAATGATGGACAAAAGGGGGAAAAGCCCCTTATGAAACCATCAGCTCTTGTGATAAATCACTCACATCACGAGAACAGCACTATGGGGTAACCACTCCCGTAATTCAATTACCTCCCACCGGGTCCCTCCCACAACACATGGGCATTATGGGAACTACAATTCAAGATGAGATTTGGGTGGGGACACAGCCAAACTGTATCACAGCTTTAGCTATTTTAAGCAAAAAGGGACTTAGTAATGGGAATTTGGTGTTTTAAAATCAATGAGAGGGTTAGAAAAATGGGGCATTAGGTAGGGAGATCTCCCAGGGATGATTCACAGAGCATGTTTAACTGGCTGCCTAGGGTGCTGCTGTTCCTGACACAGGAAGGCGGCAAATCTGGAAGCCAGCACTGGCAACATACCACCTTAACTGAGATTCAGGGATTAAGTAGCTTTTACTGTCACAGCTTTGGACTCTGGAGCCACACTGTGTCTGTTTGACATGCTCACTGGCAAAAAACAAACCAGTAAAAAACACAACTCACAAAGTCATAACTGGAACACTGCTACAGAAGAACTCAACATTGTCATGACTGTACTTGCCAACAGAAACATTAGAACCTTCTGCCTTCTAATTGCATTTGGTTGGTGGATTCCAA
The DNA here is from genome assembly GCF_000001405.40 of Homo sapiens. Taxonomy (NCBI): domain Eukaryota; kingdom Metazoa; phylum Chordata; class Mammalia; order Primates; family Hominidae; genus Homo; species Homo sapiens. The sequence goes on from NC_000014.9 coordinate 37,713,297, forward strand.
ATAATATCTAGAACATTGGCTTCTGGAACCTCCACCCCGAGTTAAAACAACTGTGCCTCAGCCTCCTGAGTAGCTGGGACTACAGGTGTGTGCCACTACACCCAGCTAACTTTTGTATTTTAGTAGAGACGAGGTTTTGCTATGTTGGCTAGGCTGGTCTTGAACTCCTGGCCTCAAGTGATCTGCCTGCCTCAGCCTCCCAAAGTGCTGGGATTACAGGCATGAACCACCATGCCTGGCCAAGAGAGTTTTACCTCTCCATCCTTGGCAGTTCAGGAAAGCACATTAGAAGGAGGATGGAATGGGTGTTAAGTGGCAGTGGTATTCACCTTGCTGGGAGTAGAGTTTTAACCTCTCTTTGAATTCAGGTATTTTAGTAGGTAAGATAGGAAGCTTTTATTCATGACTCTACTCTGACAAAGCCATATCTTCTTCAGCCTGCCTCTGAGTGGGTCTACTTCTTAACAGCAGGTATCATGGGATTTGAGGATTTCAGTATATTATTAAACAACTGAAATCAGTTGGGTTTTTGTATGCTTAGTTTTCACATTTGGTAACTCGTAATGTGTTTCTTCCTATAATAGTATATCAATAAGTTAGAGGGAACAGTAGCTTTAAATGCTTCAATGTGAAATTGATATATCTATATTATGTATGTGGCACATGACTGTGTATATATTCTTAGATATTTTGTCTTTATGTTCATTTTATATTTATTTTACAGTTAAGTGTTATAATACAAAAGTTAATGTATTTTTAAGCCAGTCTGTAGGTCAGTAATTAATGACACATTTACTTTCAAATTTTGATTTATCTCATCTGTTTAGCTTAATCTTTTATTGATAAGTTTTGTTCCATATATATTCTCATGTATATGTAGCTTGTAGCCTAGAAGAAAGACTTGATGCCTACACAGTTTTCTGTTCATCTCAGCAAGAAGGGAGAACCATAATGTGAGAAGGTACTTCTGCTTAGGCTGATGCTTTGCCCCACCCAAGAAATGAAACTTTGTGTGTATGTGTGAGCTTGGAATGGGGAGTAGGTGAGAGATCAGAAGGTAAAGAAGTTTTTTTTTTTTTAACCTCTTTTGCAACTAGACTTTCATAGGGTGAATTTATTATTCCAGTATAATGAAACAAAACCATCATAAATATTACTACTAAAATGTATTAAGAACCAGATATTAGCATTTTTGGATTATTTCTCATTTTGGATTATCTGACTTCTACACAATCTCTGTTTAGTGCAGATGTCAAATGTCCATGTGTTTATTTCAGTGGAGTTATGAAATGAGGGCAAACACCTTATACTTTGTCAATTACTTAAAAAGCAAACTTATTGTTCTTATCACATTGTAGAATATTGTATGGAATTCCTGTTATGGATGACAACCAAGAATATGTCCATATTCCTCCGACACCGCAAGGGATACCACCTGAATTGGCACAAGGAACTAGAGAGCGTGCTCACAAACCACACTTGGAAGTCTTGGGAGAGGAAGTAAGAACTTTCTTTAATATTAGTTTTTTTGTACCTCACAGGTCCTCAAACTTTTTGGCTTCAGGAGACTTTTTTCACTCTTAAAAATTATTGAGGGCTGGCCAGGTGTGGTAGCTCACGCCTGTAATCCCAGAACTTTGGGAGGACATGGCGAGAGGATTGCTTGAGCCCAGGAATTTGAGACCAGTCTGGCCAACATAACGAGACCTCGTATCTAAAAATAATAACCCAGCCTGGTGGCACACGTCTGTGGTCCCAGCTACTTGGGAGGCTAAGATGAGGGAATCACTTGAGCCCAGGCAATTGAGGCCTCCAGTGAGCCGTGATTGTGCCACTGCACTCCAGCCTGGGCAACAGAGAGAGTCCCTGTCTCAAAAAAAAAATTATTGAAGACCTCAATAATTTTTTATGTGAGTTATATCTATTAACATGCTAGGAGGCCAATACAGCCTTGGGGAATTGAGGGACTATAACAAAAGATCTAGTATTTGTGTTATCACAAAAGATGGGGAGAGACTGAAAAGTATTGAAATAAATAATGTCTGAAAAGTTACCAGTTTGGCAAAAGGCAGAAAGCTATAGATTCAGGAGCCTGAGCAAATCCCAAACTGGAAAAATCCAAAGGAATATAGACCAAACCACATAATATTCAAGCTTCTGAAAATGAAAGATAAAGAAAAACCAAACATCAATCTAAGAAAAGTGGGAATGGCTATATTAATATCAGATAAGATAGACTTCCAAGCAAAGAAAGTTCTCAGAGACACAGAGGGGCATTATATTAAGATAAAGAAAGCAACAAAAAAGAAACGACATGCTACCTGTAGGGGAAAAACAAGTTGAATGGAAATGGGTTTCTCATGAGAAGTGATGGAGGCCAGAAGTAAGTGACAGAACATTTTTCAAGTGCTGGAAGAAAACAACTGTGTTTCCAGAATCCTACATCCAGAAAAATATCCTTTAGGAATAAAGGAATCAAGACATTCTCAGATAGAAGGAAACGAAGAGAATTTGTTGCCAGCATACCTAACCTAAAAGAATGGCTAGGAAAAGTTCTCTAAATAGAGAGAAATGATAAGAGAAAAAATCCAGGAATATGTAGAAGGAACAAAGCACATGTAAAGCAAAAATATGGGTAAGTACAATAAAATTTCCTTCTCCTTTTGAGTTTTCTAAGTTATGTTTGTCCATTGAAACAAAATTTATCATGCTGATGTGGTTGTAACAGAATATAGAGGAAGTATTTAAGACATACTATAAATGGGAAAGGGTAAAGAGACATAAAGGGAGGTGAGATTTCTACGTATCACTTGAACTAGTAAAATAATACCCTCAGTCAATTGTGGTAAGCTATATTTATAAAATGTAATACCTAGAGTAACAATTAAAAAGCTATACAAAGAGATATACTAAAAACACTATAAATAAATAAAAGTAGAATTCTAAAATATGTTCAAGTAATGTACAGGAAGACAGGAAAAAGAAAACAGAAACAAAAGAAACCAGACAGAGCAGACAGGAAACAAAATCTAAAATGACAGACTTAAACCCTAACTTAAATGTAAATGGTTTGAATTTAGCAATTAAATGACGGAGTGGTAAAATGGATTAAAACACATGACCCAGATATATAATATTTACAAGAAACAAATTTAAAACATAATGATATAGCCAGTTTGAAAATAAAAGGGTTAAAAATACACAAACACCATTCAAAGAAAAGTGGGAATGGCTATATTAATATCAGATAAGATAGACTTCCAAGCAAAGAAAGTTCTCAGAGACACAAAGGGGCATTATATTATAATAAAAGTGTCAGCACATCAAGAAGACATGCCAGTCTTAAAAAATATATGCATCAGACAATAGAACTGCAAAACATGCAAAGCAAAATCTAAGAACTGAGAGGAGAAATAGACAATTCCACAATTATAGTTGGAGAGTTCAGCATTTCTCTCTCAAAAATTCATAGAACACTTAGAAAATCAGCAACAACCTCATCAACCAGTAGGTTCCAGTTGAAATTTATAGAACACTGTACCCAACAAAAGCAGAATGCATATTGTTTTCAGATGCCATGAAACATATACCAGGATAGAGCAAATCCATAATGGACTAAAACTAGAAATCAGTAAGAGGAAGATAACAAAAATCTCCAAACACTTGGAATCTAAACAGTACAGCTATAAATAATCTATAGGTTAAAGAAGAAGTTTCAAGGGATTTAAAAATACATTGAACTGAATGAAAATGAAAATACAACATATCAAAATTTGTGGGACATAGCTAAGCAGAATTTCTAGCACTAAATGTTTTCAATAGAAAAGAGAAAGTCTCAAATTAATTATTTAAGCTCCCACCTAAGAACCCCCCAAAAAAAGAGCAAAATGAACCCAAAACAAGCAGAAGGAATAAAAGCAGAAATCAATGAAATTGAAAACAGAAAAACAGTAAGGAAACTTAATGAAAGAAAGAGCTGGTCATTTGAAAAGATCATTGAAATTAATCTCTGGCAAGACAAGAAAAAAAGAAAAGCCATAAATTACCAATATTATAAATGAAATGAGATGTTACTACAGACCCTGCAGATATAAAAATATTAATATAGGAATACTATGAACAACTCTACACATGCATACATTTGATTGTTTAGATGACGTGAAGAAATTCTCGAAAAACACAAACTACCACAACTCACCCAGTATGAAATAGATTATTTGAATAGCCCTATAAATATTAAGGAAATTGAATTATTGATTTATAGAACATTCCCCTTCTCCCAAATATGTAAGCCCAGATGATTTTACTAGAGAGAATTCTACCACACATTTAAGGAACAATTAACAGCGATTCTATACAATCTCTTTCAGAAAATAAGAGGAGGGAAGACTTCTCAATTCATTTTTTGAAGCTAGTAATACCCTAGTATCTAAACTAGACAAAGACAGTAAAAAAAACAAAAAAGAAAGAAAGAAAGAAAGAAAGAAAAATGCAGACCAGTATCCTTGCTATGGTTCAAATGTTTGTCTCCTCCAAAACTCATGTTGAAATTTAATTGTCGTTGTAACAGTATTGAGAGGTGGGACCTTTAAGAGGTGATTAGGCCCTTATGGGTGGGAAGAATGCTATTAGAAATGGGCAAGTTCAGCTCTCTTTTTCCGTTTTGGCCTTTCTGCCTTCCACCATGTGAGGACACAGTAAGAAGGCCTACATCAGATGCTAGTGCCTCGATCTTGGACTTCTTTCCAGCCTCCAGAACTGTGAGAGAATAAATTTTTATTCTTTATAAATTACCCAGTCTCAGGTGTTCTGTTATAGCAGTGCAAAACAGATTAAGACAACTCCTTATAAATATTGGTTATAAAAATCCTTGACAAATGTTAGGTCATAGAATTAAAAATACGTAAAAAGAATTATCCACCAGGACTTTAGGGAATTATTCCAGAGATTTGAGGCTTTCTCAGTATTGGAAAGTCAATCTACTGTAATTCATCATTTTAACAGAATAAAGAAGAAAAATTGCATGATCATATTAATCAATGAAGAGAAAGCATTTGACAGATTTCATCACCCATTTTCATAATAAAAATTTTCAGAAAAGTAGGAATAGAGGGAAACTTCTACAGCTTGATAAAGAGCAGCTGCAAAAACCTACAGCTAACATAGTATTTAATGGTGAAAGCCTGATTGTTTCCCCACACCACTCTTATTCAACATAGTGCTGGAAATTCTAGGCAGTGCATTAAGGCAAGAAGTGGGAAAAAAAAGCTTGCAGACCAGAAAAGAAGCAATACAGCTGCCCGTATGTGCAGATGACATGACTGTCTACATAGAAAATTCTGAGGAATCAGCCGGGTGCAGTGGCTCATGCCTGTAAGCCCAGCGCTTTGGGAGGCCAAGGTGGGCAGCTTGCTTGAGCCCAAGAGTTTGAGACCAGCTGGGGCAACATGACAAAATCCCATCTCTACAAAAAATACAAAAATTAGCTGGGCATGGTGGTGTGTGTCTGTAGTCCCATGGCCTTAGGGCTTTCTGGGAGGGTGAGGTGGGAAGATAACCTGAGCCTGGGAGGTTGAGGCTGCAGTGAGCCGTGATCATGCACTCCAGCCTAGACAACAGTGGGATCCCCATGTCAATAAATAAATAAATAAGTTCTGAGGAATCTGTACAAGAAAAATCTCACAGAACTAATAACTGAGCTCAGTAAAGTGACAAGATACAAAAAAAACCATGAATAATTCATTATATTTCTGTGTGTCTACAGATGAACATGTACTGAAATATATACTGATATTAAAACTGTATCATTTATAATTGTTAAAAACTGAAATAATCAAGTGTAAATCTAACAAAACATGTTTAAGAGTTAGATGCTGAGGACTACAAAATGCTGATAAAAGAAATAAAAGTGATCTAAGTAAATAGAGAGATTCCCTGTTTATAGATTGGAAGAATCAGGATAGTAAACATGTCATTTCTCTTCAAATTGATATACAGATTTAAGCAATTCCTGTCAAAATTCCAGCAAGGCTTTTTTTTTTGTACATGTAAACAAGAGTATTCTAAAGTTTGTATGGAAATGCAAAGAAAGTAGAGCTAAAATAATTTTGGATAAGAAGAATAAAATGGGAGAAATCAGTTTAGCTGACTTCCTGACTTACTATATTACAGTCATTAAGATGGTGTGGTCTTGGTGGATGGACAGGCCTGTAGATCAATGGGACAGAGTAGAAAACCCACAAATGGACTCCTACAGATATGCACAACTGATTTTTTATAAAAATGCAAAAATTATTCAATGGTGTAGGATAGTCTTTTCAAACAATTGTTGCTCAATCAGTTGTACATCCCTTAGCCAGAAAAAGAACCCTGACCTAAGTCTTGCATCCTATAAAAAATGTACTTAAAATAATAATTCATAGACACATGTAAAATATAAAACTATTAAACTTGTAGAAAAAACATAGGAGATCTTTGGGATTTAGGGCTAGGGAAAGCATTCTTACACTTGACCCCAAAAGCACTATTTGTAAAAGGAAAAATAGATAAATTGGACTTCATCAGAATTAATTTTTTTTTTCTCTACAAAAGACCCTGTTAAGAGGATTAAATACAAGCCACCGACTCGGAGAAAATATTTTGCAAAACACGTATCCGGCAAAGAATTAATATCAGAATACATAATGAATTTTCAAAACTCAATATAAAAATATCTAACTGGAAAGTGGGCAAAACCATTAATAAACATTTCACCACATAGGATATATAGATGGCAAAGAAGCATATGAAAAGATGCGCAACATCATTAGCTATTAGGGAAATGCAAATTAAAACCACCATAAGATATTAGTACAGAATGGTTAAAATAAAATAATAGTGATAACACCAAATGCCAATAAGGAAGTGGAGGAGAAATAGGATCATTGATATATTGTTTTTGGGAAGGTAAAATGGTACAGCCCTCTAGAAAGCAGTTTGGTAATTAGAAAAAAACCCAAAGTATGCATGCAGTTCTGTAAGATAAAGTGTCTGTCCAGGCATGCATACAACCCAGCAATTGCATGCCTGGGCGCTTACCTTACAGAAATGAAAATTTATAATTACATTATAATTTGTACACAAAATTCATCACAGCTTTATTAATAGAAGCCAAACTCTCTGTGGGCTTCTCACAGTGTACCCATTGCCAGAGTAAACTGCAGCCTTGAACCATTGCTCAGCCTCCTTACCCATGAGCTATGAACACTGAAGCAGGTTGCACAGTGAAAAAAAAAAAAAAAAAACTCAAACAGGAAACACTCTGGATAACCTTCAGTGGGTTAAGAAAACTGTGGTACATCCACAGATGGAATACTAATCACCAATAAAAAGGAATTAACTATTCATACATGCGATAACAATGAATCTTAAGAGAATTGGGCTGAAAAATCCAATTCTAAAAGATTACATACTGTGTAATTTCATTATATAACTTCCTCGAAATGACAAAATTATACAAATAAAGAATAGAATAGTGGTTTCCAGGTTTTCAGGATGGGGGTTAGGATGAGTATGACTTTAAAGGACAAGATGGATCACTTGTGATGATGGAAATGTTTTGTAGCTTGACTGTTTCATGTCAACATGTTGTTTATGATATGGTACTATGGTTTTGCCTGATGTTGTCTTTGGGCTAAACTGGATAAAGGGAAGATGGGATATCTTTGTATTATTTCTTAAAACTGCCTGTGAATCTACAATTATCTCAAAATAAAAATCCTAATAAAGAAATTATGGTCAGTGGAACAGAAAAAAAAAAAAGAAAAATAAGAAAAAAAATGTAGCCTCAGTTAAAAAGATAATTGTTACATGATGATTTGTACAATAAAAAAGCTTGTTGCAATTGAAATCTGAAACTGTATTGATGACTTTCATACTTTATTATGTTAAAATCTATTGTTTTATCTTGTACTTTGAATGGCTCTTTTACTCATGGATTATTTCAAATAACATCACACATTGGTTATTTGGAAAATACTCTTCAGTTATTTAACTCTTCAAATGTTGACACATTTCAGTATAATACACAATATCAAAATAGCTTATTTTTAAAATTGTCAGAAAAGTTCTTTAGCATTGGGAACCTTGCAAAATCATGGTAAGGGACACATGTTTTCCAAAATTCTAATTTTTGTTCAAAAGCTCAGTTTTTTTCAGTGTCACAAATACACTCGGGTGTTTTATTTGAAGTGACCAGTTTGCTTCATCCCTTTTCAAGAAAAATCTTGCCATATACCCAACTCTCAATAAACATGGTTTGATGTTTGTTTTCTTAAATGAAAATGGAGGCTAGTTCAGTTCACAACTCAAACAATAGCACACATGCATTTCCTCCAAACCGCCATCATACTTCACCATGGCCACGGATATATTTTGTTTGTATTTCTCATTTAATCACATTAAATATTAAGATGTGTGGAGATTGAATAAAATTAAAATTTTTCCTTCTTTCTGGTGGGCATTTTTAAGGTGCTGCTGTCTTGATTCATGCTTTGGCACTGTGAGTTTCACCATATATATATATATATATATATATATATATGTATATATACACACACACATATATACACATGTATATATGTATATATATATACATATATATATATTTTTTCCCCCTCAGTGCAAATGTTAACATAGTGAAAAAGGCAAATAATCTCCCCCAGGGTCTCAGACTACATTTTGAAAACTGATATTCTGCCTTAGGTTTCATTTAAATGAAATTTACCTTGACCCTGAAACTAATTTGCATGTCTCTTTCCCTTAGTGAACAGAATACTCTGACCTTGGGTCATCAGTATGAACAAGAGTTATTGCATCAGCTCGTAGTATGCATCATGGCCTTAGGAGGTATGCAGGAACTGTTAAACACAAATTAACCCAGGATGCAGAGTTAATCATTCAGTTTGCTATGCAACAGCCATTGTCCTTTCAAGTTCTGGCAGCTACTACCCCTGTTGCTTCTAATATTTTCCTAGGACTCTTCTCAGAAAGTTCTGAGCATTGCTGTGGGAACCAATTTACCATGGTTAGTCTTATTTACTAGTTTAATTTAATAAATTCTCTCCTGAAGGTGCATCTGTACTTTCCCTTGAGAGCAGACCTTCAGGGCTCGAGTGATCCTCCCACTTCAGCCTCCTGAGTAGCTAGGACTACAGGCACATGCCATTACACCTGGCTAATTTTTAAATTTTTTTGTAGGGTCTTACTATGTTGCTCAAGCTGGTCTTGAACTCCTGGCCTCAAATGGTCCTCCAGCCTTGGCCTCCCAAAGTTCTGGGACAGGTGTGAGCCACCACACCCAGCCATGATGTTTCTCTGATTTGATTCGATTATGTGATTTTTGGAGGAAGACCACTGAGTTAAAAAGTGCCATTTTCATCAGGTATCGGGTATATACTATCGACATGATTTATTAATGTTGATGTTAACCTCGATCACCTGGCTAGGTAGTGTTTACCAGGTTTCTTCATTTAAAGTCTGTCTTTTTTTCCCCTTTCCATATTATTCAGAAGAAAGTCACCATACACAGCCACACCTAAGAAGTGGGGGGTTATGCTCCACCTCTTTGAGGGTAGAGTGTCTACAAAAATTTATTAGAACTCTTCTATATAGGAAGTGTGTCTATTCTTCTCATTCATTTATTTACTCAGTCATTTATTTATATCAGTATGATTTGTGAATATTTACGTTATACTTTGAGTTGTAATACAGTACTACATTATTATTATTAGTTTTGATAAAATTATTTGATCTTTGGCCATTGGGAACTCCTTCAGATGGCTTCTATGTCTCTTTTGACACCCTATCATTGTGGGATTTTTTTTAGAACACTTTCTTAATTTTTGGCAGTATTAGATATTCTAGGTTCATCTTGCATATTTCCTGCCCCAGTCCTAGAATCAGCCATTTCAACAAGGAGCCCTGGGTCTCTTTATTGGGGAATATAATTAAAAACTAAGATCCAGGCAGTAGGTGTGTTTGTTTCTACTGGGCATTGTTGCTTCTAGGTCTTGTCAGCTGTCAAAGCAAGGAAATATATGTGTGTACACAAACTTGTATAAATAAATACATGTATCTATACATATTTCTATATGTAAACATCTGTATCTATAGTAAGCTAAATATGAGTTCTTACTGATGCATCCAACTCTAATCTACCTCATGGGTCATTCTAGTTTCCTTCCTTTTTTTCTACTGCACTTCTACTCCAGCAGTGACAAACCAGGCTTCCATAATTCTCCCTCAATTTATTAAATTTTTCAGTGCCAGTGCACGTGCATAGAAGTATCAGAATTGTTAATTCATAATCCTGTGGGATACAACTTTATTACCTACTGTATAATGCTATGTGCACAGTTCCTTTTGCCTTTGGTTTTATGTACACATTTCCAAAGTAACTTTTCCTCCCACCCCCTTGGGTGAGATTGTTTCATACGTTTGTAATACAGTTAGATTGTTTTATGACATTCTGCATTCCATCGTGGGATTCCTCCTGACCTCCTAAATGATTTTAAAAAATTCATATTAAAGGAGAGATCACGCATATTTAGGGTGGTATGGCTGTAGGCATAAATTTACATTACATTAAAATTCACCCCTTGTGCTTCAAAGTTCAATGGGTTTTTAAAAATGTATAATGTCATGTAGCCACAATTCCAGATCATACAGAAGAGTTTCACATCCCTAAAAAAAAATCTCCTAGGCCTGATTAATTTTTATTTGGAAAAGAAATACAGAAACCACACTAGCAAACACCTGAGAATATGTTAGTAAGATTTTGGAAATGTTAACATTTTGTCATACTTGTTTCATGTTTTTTAAAATAAAAATTTAAAAATTATTAAATTAAGGCCTTTTGTACTTCTTAATTCCATTTCTCTTCCTCCCTACCCAGCAGTTACTGGTACAATTATAGTAGTTTTTCCAGTCCATGAGTTTATACTTTACTAGATGTATTCGTGAGCCTAACCAATAAATAATACATTTTTTGTGTTTTCTGGATACATTTATATAAATGACATAGTTTTATATGATTCTTTCTAAAACTTGCTTATTTTCTTCTCAATACCATGCTTCTAAGATCCATCTCTAGATCATAATTTTTGTGTTTTAGTGTGTTTTATAGTGTTTATGAGTATACCACATTTTATTTATGTTACTCTATTAATGGACATTTAGATTTGGTTTAATTTTTTATTTCATATGCTCTGTGAATATCCCATACTCATCTCCCCATGCATGTGTGCAAGAATTTGCCTACACTATATAGCTGGAAGTTAAATTCCAGGAAGATGTGGCACGTACACTTTCTACTCTACTAGATATGGCCAATTGGCCTCCAGCGTGTTCTACAAATTTCCCCAAGTCCTTAGCATCAGTTGGTAATGCAGACTTTTACATTTTTGCTAACCTGATGGCTGTAAAAAAATTCTTATCCATATTTTCAGAAGCTGTGGAACCAAAAATTCTCAGCAACTAAAAATAATTTTGACAGGAGATTGAGTTTTTACTCTCAAGGCCATTTCTTACCATTTCTAATAACCTTTTATGTTATTTTCAAAGATGTATGCTTATCCAGAATTCACGAAGTTGTTTTGGAATACAGCTGCACCTAAATTCTCTGTTCCAGAATCTGTCATGAAGGAAACTCTATATCCAAAATATGAGGTAACATACCGAATGGGTTTTCTCTATTATTGTTGTTGTTATTATTTAATAAATAAATTGTATAATTGGCTATGACATTCAATTTTACTGGCCATTTATGTAAATTACCAGTTATTGCCATAATTAGGATTAATTGGATGTCACTACAGAAGTTATTTATATATGTAAATAATTGTATGTATGTATACAAATATATACCTACATACTTATAAATTTATAATTTTATATGTTCATATGTGTGTGTGTATATATATACATGTATATATGTATATATATAAAATTTATATATGTATGTATGTGTGTGTGTGTGTATATATATATATATATATATATATATATATATATATATATATATAATTTTTTTTGAGATGGAGTTTTGCTCTTGTTGCCCAGGCTGGAGGGCAATGGTGCGATCTTGGCTCACCGCAACCTCCGCCCCCTGGGTTCAAGCAATTCTCCTGCCTCAGCCTCCTGAGTAGCTAGGATTACAGGCATGTGCCACCACACCTGGCTAATTTTGTATTTTTAGTGGAGATGGGGTTTCTCCATGTTGGTGAGGCTGGTCTAGAACTCCTGACCTCAGGTGATCCACCCAGCTTGGTCTCCCAAAGTGCTGGGATTACAGGGATGAGCCACCATGCCTGGCCATAGTTTTATATATTATGTATGTATATTTAAAAAATGTTATACTTATCCATGTGACTTTAGCTAGTTAAGAAGAATATTCTGTTTTCTTTTTGAAAGAATGTTTTATTTGATTGAGAGTTCAAGATATAAAGCTACTTCAGTTGTTTAGAGATCTTCATGGTATTTTCATTTGTTTTTAAAATCACATTTTAAATTAATTTAATGTTAAAAACATTTAATAATACCCAAATGTGGTAATCTTTTTCCTTCCCTTAAAGAAGAATGATTACTCTCATTTTATGTTATACTGATCATTTTAAAAATTAGAAAAATGAGGAGAAATAAAACAAAATAACCTATTATTCTTCTCCCACAGAGAATTGCTGCCCACTTTTTGGTTCATTTTCTTTGGTTTGTAAAAATTCTTCTCCTTCTTCCTCCTCCTCTTTTCTGCTTTTTCCTTTTTTTTTCTTGGTTACAATATTTCAGTGATGAGCATCATTGTACATAAATTTTTAGTGGCATTCAGGATTATTTTATTTGCACAGCGTTGTAGGCAGCTTATGAAAACACATATATCAGAAAAGGATAAAACAAAAAAGTTAAAGAAATTGTGGGGAAAACATAACATGAGTAATAGCATAATAAAGCCAGAGGTAAGATTAATATGAAGAAATTCAGTTCATGTATGCTGTTGCTTGAAATGGGGTCATCAATTTATCTCCTAGCTTTCCTGCAACCAAGGCATGGATGGAGTCTTGTTCATATTTAACCTGTTGATACTACGTGTTTAGAATGTTAATATTGAAATATCTTTGCATTTCTTGGATTACTTGTTCATAGTGTATTATTGTTAAATATTATGTTGAATTCTGTTAGGCCATATTTTATTTTTAATTTTAAATATATACTCATGGGTGAAATATCTGTGTAGTGTATTTTTTTTTCCCTTTGTTGGACTTTGCTATCAGAGCTCTTCTTTATAAGGTTAACTGGATAGCATTTCATCATTTTTAATATTCTGAAATTGATATGGCTTAGGAATAATGGAAAAGTTGGAAGAGCTCACTGTTTGGACTCATCTGAGCCATTTGGTAAGGTAATTGTTTGATAATTAAAATTTTTTCTTTTCTAATTCTTAGCTTATTCATATTTACTATTTTTCTTGTCAATTGGCAACATATTCCTACAGTAAGCTATGTATTTAGTTGAGATTTATAAGTTATGTACATAGAGTTGCATATATTTTGTCAGTTTTAATATTCCTTTCTAATATTGCATCATTTTCTTTTTCCTTTCTGATGGTGTTTCTGATATTTTTTTCTTAGAGTAGAACTTTTAGAAAGTAGTTTTTTCTTTTTTCATTTGTTTTTAAATTGAATACTTTCCCTATGTTTGTCAGACTAGTATACTCATACCAGTATAACACCATCCCTTTTATTTTATTTTTTTAGAAAGATATATAATACATAATTCCCTGGCTATTAGATATCGTGGCCAGTCAACCAGAAAAACACATGAGTTTAACCCACCATCTTTGACCAAAAACCTTTTGTATTAATTATTAATTCAATGTTGTTACTTCTCCCTTTTAACATATTTTTGATTATTGGCTTTCTGCTTTCCATAGCATGTTGACATTCTATGTTGGTATTTTTCTAATTTTTTTTTTTTTTTTTTTTTTTGAGACAGTCTTACTTTATCACCAGGCTGGAGTGCAGTGGTGCGATCTTGGCTCACTGCAACCTCTGCCTCTCAGGTTCAAGCAATTCCCCTGCCTCAGCCTCCCGAGTAGCCGGGACTACAGGCGCACACCACCATGCCTGGCTAATTTTTTGTATTTTTAGTAGAGATGGGGTTTCACTGTTTTAGCTAGGATGGTCTTGATCTCCTGACCTTGTGATCCGCCCGCCTTGGCCTCCCAAAGTTCTGGGATTACAGGTGTGAGCCACCACGCCCAGACTCTAATTTCTTTTGCTGAAAACTTAATTAATTTCTTCATGTTTCTTCTTTTTTTAAAAATAATATAAGTAATTTATGAGTTTTCTTCTGTGTACTTGACCTTATTTCAAACCTTTTCATTTGCAGTGTCTTTATTTATTTTCAAAGTAATTTCTATTGCAATTTTCCTTTTCTTTTTGATACACCATAGTGTTTAAACATTTTTTAAAAACTCGTTGGAATTATTTTGTTTAAATTTTATTCTTAATCCTTATTAGCGTAAAAATATATTCTTCAAAATACCAGTTTCTTGGAATTTATGGATATTTGCTTTGGGTTGTGCTAGATATCCCAATATCTCTCAGTTAATTCAGTGGTATTATTTGTTATCACTTTGATATTGTGGCCAGACTAAGCAGAGCACACCTTAGGAATCAGATGGTCTTGAATCTGAATTCCACTTACTTCCTGGGTAACCTCGTACTATTATTTTAACCTCATGAAGTCTCAGTTTTTTTTGTTTGCCAAGTGGGTCTTTTGAGGATTTAATGAGAGACTATATGGTGCATTGCTCGATAAGTAGTAGGTGCTCAAATAATAATAGACTTTATTATACTGTAATATTGTTACATTTTATGTGGCATATTTATTTCATTTGATCTCATAAAGACTTTAATTAAATATGGATTTTCAATGAAGTTATGCTTTGTCAGTTTTTCCATGTGTTAGCCGGGCATGGTGGCTCACGCCTGTAATCCCAGCACTTTGGGAGGCTGAGGTGGGTGGATCACTTGAGGCCAGGAGTTGGAGACCAACCTGGCCAACATGATGAAACCCTATCACTACCAAAAAAAAAAAAAAAAAAAAAATTCTCCACTTGTTACTAACAGTTTTACTTTCTGTGATTAGAAGATGTTTTGTCTTTATTATGAGTTTTGTCTCTTACTGATTTGAAATGGTCCAGTTTGGCCTATTCAGTGCTTGAATTCTACTCTAGTATGTCTAGCCCTGTGTTCTTTTCTCTGTGTTCAGAAATATTTTTAGGTTAATACTTCTTATTGTTTTTGTTTTGTTTTGTTTTAGAGGTGCTATATAAGTAACATATGGTGTTTTGGTCCTACTATTATTATTTTATTTTGTGGTTTCTGTTTATTTAAAATTTCTGTTCTCTTTTGTTAACTCCCTACTGTCTGTGCTGTTTTCAGAGTGGCAAGGGCTATTACAATTACTTCAGAAATCACACTAGTGGTATGTGAATGCTTACTTGTAGTAAAAATTCAAACAATAAAGATGAATATGACATAAAGAGCATTCCCCCTCCTTAATGCTGTCCTTCTCCAGTTCTCTTCTCCCTGAAGTTGGCCATTGTTAAATGCATTTCGTATATCCATTCAGACATTTTCATTGTCATTTATGTCATGCAGGTGTGTGCAAATTCATACTTTTACATTTGTGGAGTTGTAATTTATATTATTCTACATCTTGGTTTTTTTCACTTAAAATACTTGAATATATATATCTTTGCACACATATGTGTATTTTTCTGTTTGGAATTCCTAGTCAAAGTGTATGTATATTTCAAATCTTAGAAGATTATAATATATATTTGCATTTTTTAATAATGCAGTCTAACCTTTTCATTTACTTAAGAAAATACTTACATATTGTTTTTGAAAAATATGTCATGAGCTAGAAAGAGAAAGTTAATGATATAAAGTGTATTAAAAGATTGCCTTCATGCAGAAGATTGGTGAATATTAATTTGCATAAGTCAATATGGCATCCGTGAAAATATGATGCTCACATCTGCTTCAAGAAAATCTGCTGAGGGGGCATACTTGACTGGTGGCCTCCAGCTGCTGTCCCGCAGACCTAACATGGCATTTGCTCCAAGGCCATGCTTCCTTGGGGCTGCTCCCAGCCAGGGACTGAGCACAAGGTGGTTGCTAGAGCAGATGCATTCCTGCTTGATTGTGATTGCTTTCATGGGCAATTTTGGCTCAGGGACTTTTCATCAGCCTGGTTGAATCTTTCTTAGAACTGCTCCGTGGTCTGAAGCTCTTTCTACCTAATCCTTCCTCTCTCATCCCCTTTCAGAGATGTCAAATCTGCATAATGCTCTGAAGGTTCCCCCTGCCTACTCCTGCACCTTCTCATTTTATCCTATACTGTTGGCGTCTACTTCTACTTGAGCTGACACAGTAGGGAGTCTGTAATATGAGTGCAATGTTTTTTAAACTATATGTTTGTTTACAAAGTATGGGCATATATTTTTCTATCTATGTTTATAGGAAAGTGTGAATGTAGGGAGTTGAAGGTAGGCAAAATTGTTTTAAAAGAAGTGAAATTGTAGCAGGAATAGGAAGAATTAGTGAGAACTGGTGACCATGGAGTAACCCATTAGAAAAGTAGTCCGAAAGAAAATCAGTACTGGTGGTTGTCCACTCCCAATGACCAGGAGAGAAAGGATCCAACAGTACTTTCTGGCACAAAAAGATAGCTCAAGCTCACCTGACATTTTCATTTCACCGGAACTGGCATTGACTCTTTCTTCAAAGACTCCTGGTTGTGGTGAATGGGAAATGATATTTAGATGCACAGATCTATGTGCTCTTATTTTTAAAAAGCAAATTTAACTTATTTTTTGTTTGATGCTGTCTTTTTTATTTTCACCTGTTATTCCTTCTCTTAAACTTATATTTTTCAGTTTTCCTTTTTAAAAAATAAAATTCAGTAGTCTGGATATAATATATTCATGATTTTACATTTTCATGGTTATTTAAAAATATCTGGCATGTATTTAAGCACATCAAGAGTCAATCAGAATTTATATCCTTTCCATGAAGGATTGGCTTTAAAATGTTTCACTTTACTCCCATCTGCCATCTGCCACATTGGAGACCATTAAATATTTTTGTTCCTGATAATTTTAATGTTCACTCTGTGCATCAATAATTACATAGATTTAACTATGTTTTTCTGACTTTCTTTCCACAATTTCTTCTGTCTTACATCATTTCCTTTCTTCTAATCATTTTTGTTTTCCTTATTATATTTTTGACTAATTCTTTCTGGAAAGGTTTGTGTGGTAAATTTTGGAGTACTTGTATTTGTGGATGTATATTTATTTTCCTCTGCCTCTTGCATTCCAATTTGATGTGGCATAAAATTCTGTTTTTCTAATTACTTGCCAGGCAGCCTCCAGTCATGTTGATAATAAGTATTCGGACACTATAGTTCTCATTCATCCCACTTGGAACTTCTTGGTCTTGTTTAAAATGAAGACTTAAGTCTTTTTACATGTCATTTTTCCATTCATTCATCAGATAAATACATGCCAGTCACCTCTATGTGTGAGCCACTGTTCTAGAGGCTGGAGCTGCAGCAATGAAAATTCAAGGTCATTAATTTCATGGAGCTTACATTTTAGTATGAGGTACAGATACAATAAACATGTACAGTAGATTCTTGTCATTTGTGGTAGTTATGTTCCATAAAGTCACCTCAAGCACTGAATTAGTTGATATTGAACTGTTGCTCTTAGGGGAAGTAGAAGGCGAGGGTCCTGTGAGGCTCTGGTTTTCATCAGCTGATCAATACGTAACCTTGCTTTATGGGCTTTTCTGTTTAAAGACACCTTATTTAATATATATTGTTGATTCATTGCTACTGAAGTCATAGCTGACAGCACTATAACTCATGCCTGAAAGAAGCTATGTAACACATTTGTTTTCTCTGTAATGCACATTGCAGCCTTCTTGCACTTAGGAACACTAGCCAACACTTCAGCACTATACTGGGGACCATTTTAAAGAGCAAAATCACAAACCAAAAGCACAAAAATATGAAAAACACGACACTAAATAGGCCTTGAAAAGGAAACTTCTTTACAGTACGACAGTTGAAACAAGAAGGCAGAATGACATTTTGCTCAACCTCAGCTGGGTGTTTAAATCTGCCACTGTGGTGTAGATTTGTCTATATTTTCCTGTAATAGTGTCAATTTTTACTTTATATATTTTGGGGCCATGTTATTAGATGCATACAAATGAAGGATTGTTAAACATTGTTTATGAGTCAAAACTTTCAGTAACGAACTGAGCTACTTTATTTTAGTAAACACTTTTACCTTAGAGTCTATCTTTATTATTAATGCATTGACAACAATTTTCCTTCATTAAATATTTGTTCCCTTACACATAACCTTTCTGTATTCTTATATTTTAGATGTGTCTTTTATAAACAACATGTGATTAGATGAAAACAAATACAGTTGGATTTTTTTTGTTTTTTAATTGGACCTATTTAAAATTTACATCTACTTTTTATTGTTATTTTTATTTTCTTACCCATTGTATGCTTAATTTTTTGCCAATTATTTGGGTGTATTGTGTTTTATCATTTCTGTTGTAAAAGTTATATATAATTGATCCTTGAACAATGTGAGGGTTGGGGGTGCCAATCCCTGCACAGTTGAAAATTCATGTGTAGCTTTCAACTTTCCAAAAACTTAACTACAAATAGCTTATTGTTGACTGGAAGCATTACTGATAAACAGTCAATTAACACATATTTTATGTTATGTGTATTATGTACTGTATTCTTTTTTTTTTTTTTTTTTTTTTTTTTTGAGAGAGAGTCTCACTCTGTCACCCAGGCTGGAGTGCAGTGGCGCGATCTAGGCTCACTGCAAGCTCTGCCTCCTGGTTTCACGCCATTCTCCTGCCTCAGCCTCCCGAGTAGCTGGGACTACAGGAGCCCGCCACCACGCCTTGCTAATTTTTCGTATTTTTTAGTACAGATGGGGTTTCACCGTGTTAGCCAGGATGGTGTCGATCTCCTGACCTCGTGATCTGCCCGCCTTGGCCTCCCAAAGTGCTGGGATTACAGTCGTGAGCCACCACGCCCGGCCTTATGTACTGCATTCTTACAATGAAGTAAGCTAGAAAAAAGAAAATGGTATTAAGAAGATTATAAGGAAGAGAAAATATACTTACTATTAACTAAGTGGAAGTAGACGATCATAAAGATCTTCACTTTGTTGTCTTTTATTTATTTATTTTTTTGAGACGGAGTCTTGCTCTGTCGCCCAGGCTAGAGTGCAGTGGCACAATCTCGGCTCACTGCAAGCTCCGCCTCCTGGGTTCACGCCATTCTCTGCCTCAGCCTCCCGAGTAGCTGGGACTACAGGCGCCCGCCACCACGCCCAGCTAATTTTTTTGTACTTTTAGTAGAGACGGGGTTTCACCATGGCTTCAATCTCCTGACCTCGTGATCCGCCCACCTCGGCCTCCCAAAGTGCTGGACTTAAAGCGTGAGCCACCGGGCCTGGCCTGTTGTCTTTAGTCTTTATACTGATTAGGCTGAGGCAGAGGAAGAAGAGGGGTTGATTTTGCTGTTACAGGGGTGGCAGAGGTGGAAGAAAATCTGTAAATAAGTAGATTTTCTGAACCCATGAAGTTCAAACCCATGTTATTCAAGGGTCAACGGTATGTTTTACTTATTCCTGTGGCTGTTTCCCTAGAATATGCATCTTTAACTTATTGATATCTAATATACATTAATACCTTTATACTCCTCCAGGAAAATACAGTGACTTCAGAATCCTTTGATTCCATTTACCCCTTCTTGACTTACGCTTTTACTTTGATAGATCCTTAGCTTTTAAAGTCCAAACTAAATTTTCATTTTATGTAATATACCTTAAATTTTACCCATATATTTATCTCTTTTTTTGGCTTTTCTTTTTTTTCCTCGCATGTCAGACACTTATATCTGGAATCATTTTACCCTCTGCCTAAATTGTATCCTATAGAATTTGTTTTAAGAGGAGGGGTAGAAGGTCTGCAAGTTGGTGAAAACCCTGGTTTTTCTTAGTTTCAAAATGTCTTCATATAATTTCATTCTTGAGGAATATTTTATCTGAGTATAATATATTGGCAGATGTTTTAACAGAGTAATGATGTTCCATTATTTTCTGGCATTCATTATTGCTGTTGAGAAGTAAGTCTTAAATGTAAAGACTTTGAAGCTAATGCATCTTCTGCTTCTCCTAAACCTGGCTGGTTTTAAGTTTTTCATTTGCATTTCCTATAGTTTCACTATGATGTGTCTAGGTGTGTATTTCTTTTTATTTATCACATATTGAAATCCTTTGAGTTTGTAGTTGACATCTTTCATTAGCTATGGAAAATTTTTAGTAATCTCTATCCATTCTCTATTTCATTTTCTGGGACTTTAATCACATGTATTAATTACCTTTTTTTCTCTTGTGCTTGGTATTGGATTCTGGACAATTTCTTCTAACCTGTATTATAGGTGAGGTCCACGAATTCTCTCTTTAGTTGTGTATAATATATTGTTAAACTTGTTTTTTATATGGTTCTTCTTAGTATTTCTATTTTTCCCTAAATCTGTTATGTTATGGTGTTTTGTTTCTTTGTATACCTGTCTGTCTTTGAATGTTTGCTTACCATTGTATTTAAAACATGATTTTAAGGAAACATTTGAGACTTAGAATGGCATTATGGCATTTTCTTCCTCCAAAGGACATTTTTGTTAGAAACTGGGGTCTTTACTATTCAGAGACAGCTTTAATCTAAAGTTGAGGCGTGAGTTTCTCTGACTACCCTCGTGATAGAACCCAGACTAAAAGTCTGCATGAAAGTTGATTCCTTCCACCCACTTTTAATCTGAGGGTGTACCCCTGTGGTATTCCAGTTTATATATAATTGGGATGTATTATCAGGCTCCACATCTCAGATAGATTCTGGGCTTAGATTTTTTGTCACCCTTGCCCCAAGAAATTGCCAAATCTGCAACTCAGAGTTGTAGTTGTTTTGGCAAACATACTGAGAACAAAGCATCTTTGAATAGTAGGCTTACCTTTTCTGGTACCTTGTCTTTTCTCAGATTTTGGCTCGTCTTTTCATCTTGTTAGCTCTGTGATGTTTTGACCATTGTTTTTCAAATTATATGTAGCTCTCAGTTGTCCTCAGCAAAGTTCCTAATGTTACCTAATTAGAAGCAGAAGTCATTATTGACTTTTAAGGAAACTGTTTCCATTTCTGTTTGCATCCCAGCTTTTATTGCATGCATACCAATTTCAACAATATCTTTGGGGTAGAGTAGGAGGATTTTTTTTTTCCATTGCATATCATATAAGTAACACTGTAAGTGCCCTCTCAAGACACCTTAGTTTGGGCATTATTTTGACAGTTTCCAAGGCTCCAGCATATATGTTCTTTTTTTAAAATAAGCAACCATTGATTGTTAATAAGTTCCACAGTTTTGATATCTATGAAGCACGGTACTAAGGTTTTTGTCCTTATTGTTGTTAAAAGCATTCTTTTAAATATGTAATATCTGCTATTCCATCATATTTCAATATCTTGTGTAAGCATATGACAAAATGGTTTGAAAATCCCTGGTATACCATGTAGTTTGTTTTTAAAGAATAATGATGAAAGTGACCAAGTATCTTTCTATTATGCCCAGTAATTATCTTACCATACATTGTGCTATCACTACTTTCTGAAAATATAACTTGAGAGGATTTTTAGCAAAAACTCAATGCTTGGTGATTCCTAAGTTACCCATAGCCTTCTCCATCGTCGGTAATAATTACATAATATTTTTAAAATCTGACTTTTTATTCAATAAATATTTTTAAAATTTGTAATGTTAGTGTTTGAGACCTAACAATTTAAAAAAGCAAAGTAGTAGTATGATTTAATTAATCATTAATCTACCCGGGTGTCGAATTTAGGTCTTCTAGGTTTCTGCATGTCCAAACCACTGATTACAAGATAGAGAAGTAGCACATTTAATAATAACCTTAATCATAGTGGCAGTTTACTCTTACAACAATAAATATATCTACATACTTAACCGATAGAATTCAAAGTATAAAGCACTTAAGGCAAATTTCATTCCAGTTTACATTTAGAATGATTGCTTGTATTTAAAAATGAATATTCATGTGTTGACAAGAAAACTAGATATGTCTTGTTCATAATCCTGATATTAATATGCTACATAAATTCAGTGTTAACCTATGAGATCATAGGATCATTGATCACTCCTAAGATTAAGGATGCCAGAAATAGTGTGGAAGTAACCATTTTGCTAAATGCCAACACTGAAGCCAAATTGCAGGTTTTGGCCAAATACTAAGGCTATAGCTGGACTTTGATGCATCTCTGGTAAGTGTTTTCTAGAATTATACTACTTTCATATGTTTTCTCTTTGGTTCTTTTGTTAATAATGTTGTACTATGAAGTAACAGTCATCATAGGCTTTTAAAAAGTATTCCAAAACATAATTTAAAATTGTTATCTTTTTATCACAGAGTGTTCAAGCAAGCAGACTTTTAACTGATAAATTGTCATATAAAAGCAGTGTCATTACTTTACATCAACATAGCAGAACAAATTTTTGGGTATGTACAATTTTTGTTCTTAATTAGGATTGTTTACTCTATCTGCCTACAGTCCAGATATTAATTATGGTAATTCCAGAAATTATTTCTTGGGGCCAGGCATGGTGGCTCATGTCTGTAATCCCGGCATTTTGGGAGTCTGAGGTGGGCAGATCACTTGAGGCCAGGAGTTACAGACCAGCCTGCCCAATATGGTGAAACCCCATCTCTAGTAAAAAAACAAAAAAATTAGCTGGATGTGGTGGCACGTGCCTGTATCTCAGCTACTTAGGGGGCTGAGGTGGGAGGATGGTTTGAGCCCAGGAGATCGAGGGCAACAGTGGGAGACTGTCTCAAAAAAAATTTTTTTTTTTCTTAGTACTTCTTCATTTTGGAAAATGGCTCAGACCATTCAGTGCTATCCTTGCTGAAGATACATTTCTACTTTCTCAAATATGCTGTTTTTATGACTGTTAGAAGATGTTATTCACTAATCAATAGCAGGATATTTGTTGTGAGTTTTTCTAACATTTCTAGTTTTTTCACTCATTCTTGTGTAGGTCTTCAATATCAAAGGAACATGTTTATGAGTCTTTGACTAAATGGAGAAACTGTGGCCATGAAGCAGAGTAAGACTGATTGCTTTAAACGGTGATCAGATGCATAATCATGACTTTTGGTATAACTAACTACAGTGTATCCAATGACCTGAACTTTATGGGGTACAATTAGGACATGGTTTTATTTTTCTCTCACTAGTGCCTAATATAGTCTTTTCTTTTTGAGACAAAATCTCACTCCATCTACCAGGCTGGAGTACAGTGGTAAAATCATGGCTTACTGCAGCCTGGACCTCCCGGGCTCAAGTGATTCTCCCACCTCAGCCTCTTGAGTATCTGGGACTACAAGTGTGCACTACTATACACAGCTAGTTTATTTTTTATTTTTTTAGAAATGGGGTCTCACTATGTTGCCCAGACTGGTCTCAAAACTCCTAGGCTTAAGTGATCCTCCTGCCTCAGCCTCCCAAACTGTTGGGATTGCAGGTGTAAGCCACTGGATCTGGTCTAGATGTTTCTTTATTGCTGTTTGCATCATTATTGTGCTTAAGGACATGGAACATAGCATTTTCTTTGTACTTTGCACTCTAGTTTAGTAGAGCTTTCCAACTCTTAATATAATAACACCAGTCTGGGTGTTATTATAGTAAGTGGTAACACTTGCGTGGTTTCCTGAACTAAAAGGTTGAGATTGCTCATGATTAGAGGTGACTGTCCAGGGGCTCCCACTAATGCAGCCCCAGGGTTAAGGGGATTCATGGCTCAGCATATCTGTCACACATTCACACACACCAGTGCCACCTACACCAGCTGGGTAGCTTTGCACTATACTACCTTGTACATAGCAGGTACTTGGTGTTTGTTATATCAAGTTGAATTTTTTAAAAAAACATAGTTTTTATTATTATACACTTTTCTACATTAATTCATAGATTTTAAGTTCTCTTCCTCTATATAAAGTCAGTGACTTCAAACTCAGTATCTGTATTTTAATCAGTATTTCTGAATTTCATTAATTTACCTAAACAGTTATTAGCCAAGTATTATATATTTTAGCTTATCAGATAGTATCTGTGACTAATGTATATTTTTCATTTGATTATTTCACAGTGTTTCTTACCAAGAAAATCTGCATCATTTGAAAGTATCCAAAAATGGTTTAGTGCACAACCTACACAACTAAGGGTATTATAATTTTACAGTTTTTACTCTCTAAAAGAAACATTTATATTCCTAGGAATAATAATCACCTTATTTTTTTTTAAAAGCATCTACTTCTATATTATATTCTCTAGTCTAATTACATATTGAGTTTTATATAGTTTCTTGAGATGGGGGAGTACAGTAAGTTGCAGATGGTCAATATCTCTGTTGTACTTTAGTACATATCTTAAAGTACATAACTGGCTTGTATGAAATTATTATGTTTGAAATTTGGGCCAAAATTGACTATAAAGAACTACATCTGTATAACAAATTATTTATTAGCAAATGAAATGCATTTAACTTATTGACGATGGCTCAATAGGCAGGAAATGCTATATCAAAGGATTTAAAGTAATTTATCTTGTGTAAGTAATGAGTATTAGAGTTTCAAGTATTAATGCATAATTATTAAAATTATATAATTATTAATGTTATAATAAATAATATTATTAAAAATTAAGCTGATTCTCTAATGATTAGATAAAATAAATACTGTAATAGGTTGGGATTCTGTTACTTCCTATTATAAATATTAAATTGAAAGTTATTATGGAGAATATTTGAATGGTATTGTGTAGAAATTCAGTGTTGTTAAAGCGCTTTTGAAAGAAAACCCAAATTGATTTTTATGGAATAAGGCATTTTAACAGCTTTTGCCCCTTCTACCAGTTTTTTTGCATTAAATATAAAAGTACAGCATATAATTTATTTGGATATATAGAGAGCATTCTCTTTCAATTAAAATATAGAAAATCATAATACATATCTAATTTATAGTGCTGTTTACATATATCTAATGAAATGTCATATGACCAACCAAATTATTGTACTTTGCTTGAACTAACCCACTATTAACTTTATCAGCTGACTTTTGAATAATTTTAAGAATACTGATTTTTAAACTTTTAAATTAAGTGACCAAACCACATTAATAGTAATTGTAACAGAATTAATTAATTTTGAATGCATAGCAACTAAATTGATTTTACGTTTTTTCTACCTCTTTGCTTGCTTACTAAGCGAGTAAAATCTTCTGTAGACTTGAGGAAGGAGAAGATCATAGCTCCTTTGGAAATCAAGAATGATATGCAAAGCAGTATAAAAGAGGTTATGTTTCAGAAAGCAAAGGAATTGAAACGTCAGCTCCAGCTCACTAAGCAAAATAAAACTGAGGAGCCCAACTATGTGAAAGAAAGTATAGATGACATCTTTGATAACATGTGCGAAAAACACAGTTTGAGAAATCTCTCTTTGACTCTCATTGAAGCGTCTAAAAAAGCTGGCATTAGTTACATTGTTTATCCCAAGAAAAAGAAGATGAGATGGAAGAAAAGATTGAAACAACAAAAACTTATATTCGTGCATGAAGAGTTATCCAAGCCTCCAAAATCTCTTGAAAGGTCTTGTTTAAGTGATTTTCTTATAGTTTAAGAAATATATTGTGGTTTTGACCTTAATTTTATAATCTCACCCCATGAAGTTATTATTTTATTCTGCACTGAACATATGAACCTTTCACTCTTTGAAAGACAAACCTCTGGCTGGGCGCCGTGGCTCATGCCTGTAATCCCAGCACTTTGGGAGGCAGAGGCGGGCGGATCAACTGAAGTCAGGAGTTCAAGACCAGCCTGGCCAACATGGTGAAACCCCTCTCTACCAAAAATACAAAAATTAGTTGGGCATGGTGGTGTGTGCCTGTAGTCCCAGCTACTCAGGAGGCTGAGAAGAGGTTGAACCTGGGAGGTGGAGGTTGCAATGAGCTGAGATCAGGCCACTGCACTCCAGCATGGATGACAGAGTGAGACTCCATCTTAAAAAAAAAAAAAAAAAAAAAAGAAAGACAAACCCTCATTTAAAAATATATGGATATCTCTTAGTATAAGTATGTGAATGATTCAAATGATAATTTAAATAGGGGACTGATTTAAGGACATGAGGTAAGACTAAATCAATTTGATGGCTAACTGAAATCTTCCAGAAAGTAAAAAACCCAAACAAGTTATTTGAAGTGATTTAGTAACAAAAAACAACTCCTGCTCCACACAAATTCTACTCATTCAAAATAGATATTTAAGTATTTTTAAATTTTAAATTATTGAATTGAGTTATAAATCTAGATAATTTTGGGCCCGGTGCAGTGACTCACCCTTGTAATCCCAGCACTTTGGGAGGCTGAGGCGGACAGATCACGAGGTCAGGAGATCGAGACCATCGTGGCTAACGCAGTGAAACCCCGTCTCTACTAAAAATACAAAAAAATTACCCAGGCGTGATGGTGGGCACCTGTAGTCCCAGCTGTTCGGGAGGCTGAGGCAGGAGAATGGCGTGAACCCAGGAGGTGGAGCTTGCAGTGAGCCGAGATGTGCCACTGCACTCCAGCCTGGGCGACAGAGCGAGACTCCGTCTCAAAAAAAAAAAAAAAGTAAATAATTTTTTTAATATTGTAAGCTCTTATTTAGGAATCAACACAGAAATAGTTTTTTCCTTACTTGAAAGTAATAGTAGCCAGTATATTTAAAATTATGTAGGGACCTGAAATAATAACCACTGAAATTCCAAATGTGTTCATTATTAAGTATTCAGGACATAACTTTCTTATAACAAACATATTGTGCAAAATAGTTTCCAAAAAGATCTGAGGTTTCTTTTTAGATATCCCCAGACATCACAAAATTTATTAAACTTGTGTCCTTTTGAAAAGTAAAGACTTTCCTGATGGTAAGAGAATAAAAAAAATTGTTCACTTTATAGTTATAAAGACTTGCTGTCTGTAAAAGAGTTAATTATTTCTTGAAATGGTGACTTATTGTCCTTGAGAAGACTGGGGCATAGTACTTCATAAGTGTGAATGACAGAGTGGAACAGAGGCCAACCATAGCGGAGAATGCCATTCAAGTCTCGTGTTCTCTGTATACTACATATGCTTAAGTTTTGTCTGCAACAAATACAGTATCTGGAAATTTTTTTGTTAGTTCATTTGTAGGAGACTGCAAGTAGGTTTTCTAAGTTGATAAATGTTTTAGATCAGAACCAGAAGTTTGCTTATACATTTTCAATACATTTACTGATTTTAAAGTATTATGAATCTTCACCATCCTGGAAAGGGTAATGCACACAGCACCATTTTGGCCACAACCTAAATGACTTCTATCTAAAAAAAGGATATAAACTGATCAAATGCTGCTTCTGTGGGGTGTGGTCTTCTTACTGACCTTTTATCATTCTGAATATTATAAAGTTTTACCATTTAAAAAGATTTCTTTGCCTTCTAATAACTGACTCTGAAATTTGTATGTGCTGCCAATGGGTGTAACAGGAACCATAGGATGAACCTTTTGGTGGAGGCAGTAAAACAAACTGTGGGAGTATTGTTAGTACAGCTTTCCTACCTTTTTAAAAAAATCTTAATTCAAACTAATTCACCACATATGAATGTAGATATGAATTGTTCAAAACTAACAACTATGGAGCAACTTGAAAAATAATTTTGTTCCTATACTTTGAGACTTTTTTCCCACTTTTTTTTTTTTTTTTTTTTTTTTTTTTTTTTTTTTTTGAGACAGAGTCTCGCTGTTGCCCAGGCTGGAGTGCAGTAGCACCTCGGCTCACTGCAACCTCTGCCTCCCAGGTTCAAGTGATTCCCATGCCTTAGCCTCCCAAGTAGCTGGGAGTACAGGCGTGTGCCACCACACCTGGCTAATTTTTCGTATTTTTAGTAGAGACAGGGTTTTGTCATGTTGGCCAGGCTGGTCTCGAATTCCTGACTTCAGGTGATCCACCTGCCTCAGCCTCCCAAAGTGCTGGGATTACAGGCATGAGGCACCGCGCCTGGCCTTTTCTCACTAATCTTAATTTGATAATTCACAGATGTGCTTCTTACCATTTTATGTCCAACCATAAAGGTTATTTCATCACACCCATTCTTGGCTGGCCTCCCTTAATGGTGGGAAGCAGACTGCGTATGTTCTTATACATCAAGTTGAATTATGGCTGTGGAAAGTCACTCCTGCAGAAAGCTACTGGAGCCATCTCACCCAGATTCATGCATTTCCTTTTATCCCCTTAGCCCTGTTGCTTCCCTCCTCAGCTAGGTCATGGTAGGTTGCCAAAGTTTGCAATAACTTCGCAGCTTCATTGTTTCTCTAGAAGTTTCCCTCTGCTTTGGTCTCTGAGCTCAGTGTTGACAGAGCAGCCTGAGGGTGTAGAGGAGACCTTCCTCAGTAGCTGGCTGACCCACAGTGACCTCTTCCTATTGATGAATAGTGGCTGCCTTGACTCCCTTGTACCCACTGCCTTACCTCCTATGTGGGCTTTTCTGAATTGCTAGCCTCTTGATCTCTACCAACGTTCTGTCTTCCAGGACTGAGTAATATTCTTCATCTGAGATCCAGGCTACCAGCCTGTTTGCCAATGGCGTTCCTATCCCTCTGAATGCATCTTCTTGTGCCCCTTTCTAGAATAATTGTCCTTAGTCTTAACTCACTTGACCTGCTCCTGCGAGTGACCCTGTGGTCTCAGACCTGTTTTTCTTGGCTCATCTTGTGCTGCTGCATTCCTCAGAGAAGCAGAATTTATTTTCCTCCAAGCAGGAGTTGTTATGTTTTCCTTAGTTGTTTTATCCTTCCACTTTTTGGTTTTGTTTTGTTTTTTTGTTTTGTTTTTTTTGTTTTTGAGACATGGTTTCATTTCCATTGCCCAGACTGGAGTGCAATGGTGTGATCTTGGCTCACTGCAACCTCTGCCTCCCAGGCTCAAGGGATTCTCCCACTTCATCATCTCAAGTAGCTGGGCCTACAGGTGGGTGCCACCAAGTGTGGCTAATTTTTGCATTTTTTTTTTTTTGGTAGAGGCAGGGTTTCGCCATGTTGCCCAGGCTGGTCTTGAACTTCTGGTCTCAAGCAATCCACCCACCTTGGGCTCCCAAAGGGCTGAGATTATAGGCATGAACCACTGCGTCTGGCCATCAGGCCTATTTTGACTTTCATTTATCACTCTGCTTCTCTAAAAGCTGGCAGCAGTGATGTTCTAGGAGCAAGAACTCTGGATCAGGAATTTGTATACATCCATATCCCAACCTTCATTCACTAGATCCTCAGTGACTAGGCCGAGCTACTTAATTTCCTTGAATATTTGTTTCCCCATCTAGAAGATGAATAGCCTATCCACATGATTTCTGAAGTAATGTCCAGCTCAAATATCCCTTGATTTGGGTAGTAAAATCGTCCTTATTTTTATATCAACGATATATTGAGCAAAACATTTGAACTGTTCAAAATTTCTGTTTCCTTAAATTGTCTTACATCTCATCTCAGATTAACTGTATGTATACATATTCCAACCCAAAGGCTTGACTTTCTCAGACTGGAGTGATAGCTAGCAGGTTAATTTACTCCGGTTCCTCCAAATGAAAAACCATGAACCATATTCATGGCTATGAAAACATGATTTAAACTTGCAGTACAGGAAGAAATACTTACCTTTTGGGGTAGATGTAAACAGCCAGTCCCCTCTTTTATCATGTTCCTTTTCTTTGTATTACTTACTTTCAGTGATCTGGGACTATAATTCTTCTTCATAAAAGTTCATCCACGGTCTGCATTTCCTTTCCTTTTTACATCCTTCTAGAAAGTTACATAGCAAGATCTTGTTTCCTTAAAAATATTGTACTTATGTTATTAATATTTGATAGTAAAAATAATACATGCTCATTGTAAAAACTTAGAAAATACAGCAATGCTACCATTGAGAAATAAGTCACAATTAACATATTTTTGGATGTTTATGTGGGAATATATTTTAACAAAGCTGTATGTATATGCATGTATGTGTGTATAATAGTGCTTGTATATCTATAAAGAAACCTTGAAATTATATACATCAAACTAAGGCAGTGATTATTTCTGGAATAATGAGAAGGGATTTGTGGGTGGTTCAGGAGTTAGTCTGGGATATGTATAGCTTCAAACTTAGGTTTAGAGGACCCCTCATTCAACTCTGTTATCTGGAACTTCCTCCTCATTCTTGCCTCTTTAGTATCCTTTCTGCAGTTTCTCTGCCTAGTAAAATTTCAGAGTACTGATCACAATTTCAGATGATACAGAAAAGTCAGGATATTGAAAGAGTGAAGCCTCTGAGTAGGCAAATGTGGATGGGACATAGAACACAAGTGATACAACTGAACTCCCAGGGAAGAGGTGTTGTGCATTATATGAAGAAAGCATCTTCCTTCCCTGGGAATGTATATTTTGTTTAAGAAAATGAGGTAAGTATTCAAGTCAGATAGCTCCTATATTTTCAATGAAGGCAAAGTTTATCAGCTTAAAGTGAAGAGTTGGAGGGACTGTAGTTAAATGTGATTTCTCTTATTAAATCATGGCACATAGTAGGAATTCAGCAACAATTTGATGAATGAATGAGTTCAGCCATTCATTTCTGCAACATACATTTATTGAGCACTACTCAGCAGTACTGCATTAGACAAGGAGCATAGGGCAAGGAACAAGATTGGCAAACTCCCTGTCCTCATAGAGCTTACATTGTAGTGGGAGAGAGTGGAGAGGTAAACAAATAACATTAGGAAGTGACAAATGTAATGAAGAAAATAAAGCAGTGCAGCAAAGGTTACTATTTTAGACAGAGTGGTCAGAAGCCTCTATAAGGTAGTGATATTTGAGCGTAGAACTGAATGGAATGAGGGAGTGAGGTGTTTGAATATCTGAAGTGGTCATAACAAGTGCAAAGGCCTTGAGTTGGAGACATGCTTTTTGCTTTTGAGGGACAGCATAGAAGTCAGTGTGGCTGGAACAGAGTGAGTGCAGGGTGGAAAGAAGCGAGGTTGAGGAAGTGGTCAGAGATAATACCATGTGGTGCCTTGCAGGCCAGAGTAAATTTGAAATTATTCTTAAGAGTGCCAAGAAATCATTGTGGACTTGAGAATGGGGTAGTGATGTTTATAGGTTATGGTAAAGACTTTGGATTCTTAATAGAAAAGGAAACACTGGGAGTTGGGAGCAGTGAGTTCATATGATCTAGTTTATGTTCCAGAAGGTTCGCTCTGGTTACTTGTGGAAAATAGATTGTAGTGGAGCAGGGAGACCAGTTAGAAAGCTGTTGAAATAATCTAGGTGAGAAATAGTTTCTTGGTTTGGGGTGATAGCAACCAAAGTAGTGGAAAGTGGTTAGATTCTAGATAGATTTTAGAAATAGGGACAACAGGATTTGCTTATGGGTTGGATATGGGATACACACACACACACACACCCACACACACACATATACACACGTACACATATATATGTACGTACATATACATATGTGTGTGTGTATATATATATGGAGAGAGTTGTCCCTGCCATATAAATGTAAACTTCATCAGATTCTCCTAAACTAGGGAAATGGAAAAGAAAGCATGTCAGGTCAACAGCTGCAAACCAGGTGCCAGGAGGTGTGTTCATTGCTTCAGTAAATATACCACATCTGGAACTAAAGCTGTAATTGTTATCACCACCTGATTAAATTTGTGATAATTTATAGTCACTTTCTACAAGCTATCTTTGTTTTACACTGGTGAAACAGGAAAGTAAAATGGAGATATGGTGGGAATTGCCACCTATATCCTTCAAGTCTCTGATGGTGCCACTAATGTGTAATTTCCCTGGAATCTGGTATTGCTTTTTGTTTGCTATCTTGGTGGATAGTGATGTGAGATGGGATGAGGACAGTTTCCGAGATTTCCACTTGGCCCTTACTACCATTATCTTCCTCAGTGTACAGTTTATTCCGTTATTACATGTATTTACTGCCACTGTACATTCTGGGACTAGGGAAATTATCAAAAAATGGGTCCATGTCTTACTAGGTCCACTGTTAAATGGTCTCAGGCCAAGATTCACTTGACTTTCATAATTCTTTAATTTGATTGATAAACGTCAGTGGGATTTGTAGTGGGTATCTGTGGATTAGCATAAGGTCAGAGCCAGTATGTAATTACCCCTGGAAGGTTTGAGTATTCCCCTTTCTCATACCTTTAGAAGATTTCAGGGAAAATTCACTGTGTATACCTAAGCCACATTGCAGGATTCTTCCGCAGTGGGACTTTGCCCAACCTTCCTGTTAAGAGAGGTTTTGGACTATGAACTGGCTGGGGTCTGAAAGCTGGGTAAAAGATTGTGAACCTCCACTATAGCTGGTTAGGTTTGTACCAGAAGACCTGTAAGTTTTCCCCTATGTAAGCCAAAGAACACCCAAGCAAGCTGCCCATTTATCTCATCTCTAAGCACCTTTAGGCATTTAGTTACTGCCACGAATCCTTGAGAGTTAAAATCCTGTTACTACTATTCTGTCTCTATTGCTTATTGTGGTCATTGTATCTACCATATCTGTAGTGGTAAATGGAATTTTACCACTCCAGGGTTCTATTATTCCCATTGGAATCAGTGAAACAAATTTCTTGGCTCCCGTTCCCCCACTGTCATTCTTTTCCAGCTCTGAGGTCAGCACCCACAAGGCTTTTCAAGGGTATTGTGCCCCCTCACTTATGCATTCTCTGGTCTCTCCAAGGGTTGGGACTTGACTAAGCACATTCCATATTGCAGACAAATTCCTATTTCCTGAACCTTAGAACTCATTCCTCTACAGCAATTGTTCTTATTGTGTAATCCATGCATGAGTGTTACCTGGGAACTTGTTAGAGGTGCAAGTTCTAGAACTCCACCCTAGGTCTACCAAATAAGAGACCCTGAGGGTGGAGCCTCAAAATCTGTATTTTTAACAAGCCTTTGGGTAATTCTGATGCATGCTGAAGTTTGAGAACCCTTCACTTAGAGTATTCCTGGGTGTTCTGGCTAAGGCTGTGTGTGGTGAGGCCAGCAGCCACCAACCCAAGGTCACCTCCATGGAGGAGATATGTGGGAGGCTGAGGGACTGTAATGGCTGTGGCTCCATGAGAGGGTTTGGGAGTCACAGCTGAGTGATTTCAGGGCATGCTTGAGGTAGGTGCATTACAGCATATGAGGCAATGTCACAGTATAGTCATTGAAAGAAACTTATGCAGGAGAGGACTGAGAGTCTCAGTTGGGGTATCTGACAATTCCTCAGCCAGTCTCCTCAGTAAAGGGAAGATAAGTGGAATTTGAAGATTTAAAATTGTCACTCTCATTCATACCTCCTTGCATGTTAACATCCCATATTTCAGTTTTCTGCTTCTTGCCTACTAGCTTTATTACCTTGGTGCACAAAGTTTAGAGGGTACTTAATAGATACTGCAACTACTCTTTGGTCTGAAAGAAGTAGTCAACTGAACATACAATTTTTATAATAATTATTGTTGTCCTAATGACTTAAAGCTCTTTGATCTCCCAATGCCTTGTCTTCCACCTGAACATCATTCCCTGCTAACACTGGTGATATTTGACAAATTTTTATACCACCACATGCCATGGATTACCCATGTCCTATTTCAACCTGGCAAGGAAGTTTTCCTAGAATCCTTTATGTGTGTGTGTGTTTCCTGAGTCCATCCCTGGTACTAATTACTTTGTCAGTGAACATCCCAATCACAAACACCACTCAGCTTAGGATAATATTTGGAGGTTATGATAAAGGAGAAATTTACAAAAATGTCAAAGTACAAGGAAACCAGAAATGATAATGCAGTATCCTGGGATTAAAAATGTAAAGCCATTTTCTACTCCTAAGTTTGAGAGAACAAAAAGAGGGAGTGATGACTAGAAGCTGAAAGAAAAGAGTTGTATAGTAATGGTTTTCTTGAAAGCAGTAGTGATCTTTTTACAAGGATCCTAGGTAGTTTGAGGAGACCCTTCATGAGGAAGCCAGAGGAATAAACACTTTGATTTCACTCTCCTCCTTCCCTCTGTTGGAGTTCCTAATTGGATAAACTTTATGAGAAGACAGAGACCAGGCGATCCTAAGGCTATAGTCTGTGCAGATCAGTTTCCTGAGACAGGGAGCAAGATGGAGAAGGGTAGAGATGAATATGGAGGTGCAAACGAAACATATCTGGCACAGAAGACCTTTCTAAAGTGACATTTGGTCAGAAATATGAATTGAGAAGGAGCCAGCCAGTCAGAAGGGCTGAAAAGGGCAATGGCCTTCAGGCTTGCTCAAGGATTACATGGCTGGAAAATAGGGAATGAGGGAGAGAGTAGTGGTGTGGAATATTTATGCTGGCACTTGATCATGTGGGGTCTTATGGACCATGGTGAAGGGCTTGATTTGCATACTAGGGGAAGCTCCTGGAGGAGTGATGTGATCTTATTTACATTTGTAAAACAAAAAACAAAAACTATGCCTGGCTGCCATGCAGAGAATGAGTTAGACAAAGGGCAAAAGTAGAAGCAGGGAATTAAGAAATTATTCTGCTCTAAGAAGAATAGATGATGGTGGCTTGCACTAGAATGTGGAAAGGAATAGATAACTTATGAAAGTAAGGAAAGGGAAGGAAACTAACTTTTCTTACTTTTGTTCTCCTAGTGTTCAGCACTAGGTATTTCTCATAGTACATATTCAGTAAATATGAAGTGATAGGGTAACTTTTTCTTATTCCGATAGACTGAGTTTATTCGTATTTCCTATGGCTAGTACAGTAGCAGCCCTATGGCACATGTTACTCAATGAAGACTATATTGCAAAGGAAGAATTTGAGAAGGCTAATCCTAGACTTGTAGCATTTGAAAGCATATTAGGTATTATTTAATTTGATAGCCTACTAGGAGGAGGGTAAAACTGGGATGTTCAGTTGATAGTCTGGGGTGTAGTCAACTCCTGCCTTCTTCCCACTGCCTCAAGTTCATGTCCTCTTTAATCTCTTGCATGGCATTTTTTTCTCACGTTATGTTTACTTCCTTAATTCTCCATTGTAATTCCTCTGGTGGCTGGTATTGTAGAGGGTGTAAATTAAACTCGAAAGGCACATTGACCTCATTTTTTTAGTACTGTAAGGAGGCTACATCTTTAAAAACAGTCTTTTGCTTTCATAAACTTGAGGGAGATTCTTCATACAGTGTTACCATTTTATTAAATGAAAAGGAGAACTTGCGCATAAAATTAGCATGTAATTTTGTTTTGATAACAAATAGTAGTTTTATGTGTGGCTGAGTTGATTTACTGATTAGAAAGATGATTGTATTTCTGTAATTTAAAAAAATCACTCTTTTAAAAACTAGATCAGCATCTCATGGAATACTTCCGGGACAGAAGAAATATTTGTTCAAAGTTCCATTATATGAACGTCAAATACGGTGTCCCAGTTTACCTTTGTATTTAAATTTTGAAAAATTCGTCCAAGCTAAGGGAGGAATTCCAGAAAATATTGATCCTCGGACATGGGCTCTTGATAGGCTCATTGAGTACAAAGATGCGAGCATACCTGTAAAAGAGAAAGATGATAAAATATCAGTTCCTGAAGACCCACCTGAAAGAGTGAAAGAACCACCAAAACTAAAATTAAATGATTATGTGGAGTCTGATCTTCCACAAGAGGTCATTAAATATTATGAATCTGAAGTGAAGATTTTGACTGAAGAAATAAATGATAAGACAAAATATCCTGCATTTGCATATTGTAGGCGTGGAGCTATTTATAGGAAACTGGGAAAGTTGCAGAGTGCCATGAATGATCTGCAGAGAGTAAGTTTTCTTTAACCAAAATAGTAATATTCACCATTTACACTTGCTTTTAATTGTATAGTAATTTTTGCTGAAATTTTGAACAATGAATGTTTATAGTATAGCATGTGGAATTATTATAACAGTATAATTATTTGCATTTTCAAGTAATTAATATTAAAAACATGATTTTTGTTTGTCAGATTGGGAGGTTTTATTTTATGTTACGTACATACAAAGCCACTGGGATCAACCGTGTTTTAAAAATTTATTTGATAGGATATCCTCCTTTAACAAATCAACTTTAACTGAATTTTTACATATATTTTCTAGGTAATACTCTTGGAACCATTGTTTCTCAATGCCTATTGGCATCGACATTTAATTTATCTTTTCCAAGACAAAATTAATGAAGCTTTGGATGACTTGAATTATATACATAAATATAATAAAAATAATACAGGTGGGTTGTCTGTAGAGACAGTTATATTACCTACATTTTGACCTCAGCCTTTGTCATTTATTGGTACTATAAGGATACATAAATCAGTAGATATATGTCCTGAAAATGACTTTCCTCAGTTAAATTTTTTTACTCTTGTTATTGTAAATCCGGGGCTCGTACAATCCTATAGTGTTTTTAAAATACCATGGTTTGAAAGGTTATTGTCCTTGATATATATTGCAGTAAGTTGGTTCCTTACTGCTCATCTCACAACGAAAGAATATGAATTTAAAATAGTTAGTTATAGAAGTAATTTACAAATCACTCTTTGATTTGTGTGATTTGATCACATCTCTCTGAGTTAGAGTTATTGTGCGCCTAGGATTACTTGGTTGTATGAAATCTATATCTTTGCTCTTATGTACTATCCTCCAACCAACTTGAAGCACTAGACATGGAACTTTCTAGGAATGTGAAAATGTGATATTCACCTTTGTATCCCCAGCACCTACAACATACCCATAAAATAAAACATGAGCTTAATAAATGATTTTTGACCTGTGTTGATCTCTGCTAAAAGTCCATTAAGTTTTGTGTCATCACAACCTAACCTTTTACTATGATGATTAAAGGATTACGAAAAAACATTTTAGACATATGGAAAGGTAAAAGGTAATTTTTGTTACTTCAAATTGAAAGTACCTTTAACCATAAATGAGCATTTATCCAGCCTTTGAGAACAAATTTGGCATTGTCGAAATCAAAATTAAATGAAATGGGCCCAGGCACAGTGGCTTACGCCTGTAATCCCAGCACTTTGGGAGGCTGAGGTGGGCAGATGACATGAGCCTAGGAGTTTGAGACCAGCCTGGGCAACATGGTGAACCCCTGTGTCTATAAAAAAAAATACAAAAATTAGCTGGGTGTGGTGGCATGCATCTGTAGTCCCAGCTATTTAGGAGGCTGATGTGGGAGGATTGCTTGAGCCCTGGAGGTCGAGGCTGCAGTGAGCCATGATTGTGCCACTGCACTCCAGCCTTGGTGACAGAAGGAGATCCTGCCTAAAAAAATAAAATAAAATAGAATAAAATAAGATAAACTAATAAGAAAGTGTAATAGAGAAAAATTATTTTGACTACATTTGTGGAGGGAGAGGGATTACTCTTAAAATTTTCATAGGAATGAAAGGATTATAACTCCAAATTTTATCTTTTTAATTTTCTTTAGAGGCATATTTGTCAAAAGCAGAAATTTACAGGGGAAAAAAAGACATAACTTTGGCAATTCTAAACTATACCCAGGCAATTAAATCCACGCCCACAGATGCTGATATCTATTTCAGGAGGGGTGAGATGTATGAAATAACAAACAAAGTACTGGCCATTGATGACTTTTCGAAAGTAAGCTTTATCACATATAATTCTACCATTTATATAGTTTAGATTGCGATATCCTCATGCAAATAGTACAGCAAGTTTTTGAAGGTCTTTTTGTATATATTATATAATCAAAATTGATTTATTACAGGTTAGGAGCTAGAGTTTTCATTACTGGAATTAATATTAACACTATGTTAATTATTATTTTTTAAATGGTGAATGAATGAATTTACATCAGAATTGAGTGTGGAGGCATTGAGATAACATGTAGGGGGCCCAGCTTTTCCAGCTGCCTCCTCTGGAGCCATGCTACAGTGGTTAAAGAAGCCTTTGAAAATTGCTTCTTACCTTTAAACATTAAAGAAAAATATTTTCTACTTTTTAACTCTTGAATAGCTGATTCTTTTCTGCAGGGAACCTATCTGCTCTCAAAGAAGCTGTGCTTACTGGTTCGTTCATACGTTCATTCACTCATTCGCTTGCTTGAAACTATTTATTTACTATTATAAATTATGATATTAAGGCATTGTTACAAATTATGGTAAGTACTATGAAGGAAATAAGGATGGTGGGAGAGTAACTTATGTTTAGGAGATACCAGAGAATTGAGGAAATGAACTTTTTTTTTTTTTTTTTTGAGGCAGAGTCTTGCGCTGTTGCCCAGGCTGGAGTGCAGTGGTGCGATCTCGGCTCACTGCAAGCTCTGCCTCCGGGATTCACGCCATTCTCCTGCCTCAGCCTCCCAAGCAGCTGGGGCTACAGGTGCCCGCCACTATGCCCGGTTAATTTTTTTTGTATTTTTAGTAGAGATGGGGTTTCACTGTGTTCGCCAGGATGGTCTCGATCTCCTGACCTCGTGATCCGCCCACCTTGGCCTCCCAAAGTGGTGGGGTTACAGGCGTGAGCCACCGTGCCCGGCCAGGAAATGAACTTTTAACTGAACCGTAGTCAAGGCAAAATATTCCCCTGATTGCAGTACAATTCTAACTCTGATCTCCTGACTTTAAACTCCAAATTGTTATTCCTTACTGCAATTAAGAATTTAGAAGCAATTATTTAAATTATTTAAATAATTTAAGTTTCCATTTTCCCAACTGCCCTATTTATGAATCCATGACATCCACTTGACATTTTTCTGCTTGAGGAGAATATTATATATTTTGTTAACTTCTGGTCTAGAAATGACCAAAAAGCTCTTTTGAAGATGCTGAAATTGTTAGATTATCTATTCTCTTCATTTCCCCTATCCTGCACCAATAGTTTAGAAATAGAGTAATGCAGTACATTGAGGTCAAATTTTGAAATCTTTAGGATTTTTTTTTTTATTTTAAAAATATTTGGTCATCTCCTTTGTGTTTCAGTTCTTTTCTACTAACAATAGGTGAAGAGCTTTATAATTGATATATGATTTAGTCTGTTTATTACTTTGTATGTCAATGTAAAATGAATGAGCCATGCCAATAATAATTCAATTCTCTTCCCCATTTTAATGGCTAGATTAATATATATTTTATGTGATTGAATCAGCCTTGATGTAGTCTAATATGTTATGTCTTTAGGATAAAATGCTGAGATAGATCCAATGAACTCCACTCTAGTTGAACAATTCACTTATGAATTTTTATCAGCAAATTTTCAGTGGGCAGAAGCCTGGGCTTCCTGTATATGCCGGTTTTTTTTTTCTCTTAAAAAATACTCCCTCTCTAGAATTTGATGATGGAAAAAATCTCCTAAAGAAATATTCTTTAGCTACAACTCTGAAAATTTTGACATCTTCAGATGGTTTGCTTTTATTAACCCGAAGTTAAAAACATAGTTTTAGATCACTTATGTGATTATATACTTCATTTTTTTTCATTTTGTGATGTTTATGTACCTCCCGCTGTCCCTATAGTGTATTTTTTATGATCCCAAAAGAACAGATGCATTATTGAAACGTGGGCTGTTTTATTGTGAAAATGAAAACTGGTTTGCAGCCATAGAGGATTTTACAGCCTTGTTAAATATAGATCACCAAAATTCTCAAGCAAGGTAAGAATGATTTTAGATGTCGTTTTAAAATTATTACTATTATTTGAAATACATTTTCAGAACAGAAAATTGCTTGAAATACATCAGACAGCTCTTTAAAAACAATGAATCAATTTTCAGTGCCACCAGTAAATGAAAAATCCTTGCTTACACCCTAATGGTGTCGGTAATTTAATGGGCATAAATGACAATTTAAAATTGTTTCATTTGCATTTCCTAAATACTAGTTACATTATCAATTTCTAAAGCATTGCCTACCACCTTGCATCTCTTCTTCATATCCTTTGTACTTTGAGCACAGAAAACTATTCATACAGTTTCTTGCAGTTATCTTTTGTTTACTTATTTATAGAGATGGAGTCTCACACTATCACCCTGTCTACGGTGCAGTGACGCAGTCATGGCTCACTGCAGCCTGAATCTCCTGGGCTCATGCGATCCTCCCACCTCTTCCTCACAAGTAGCTAAGACTACAAGGCTGTGCTTCCACAGCCAGTTAATTTTTCAATTTTTTTTTTTTTTTTTGTGGAAATGGGATCTCGCTTTGTTGCCTAGGTTGTTTTTGAACTCCTGGCTTCAAGGGATGTACTATTTTATTGTATTGTATATTAAACTTCGTGCATTGTACAGTTTTCATTTGTACATAGCATAGTTTTCATTATCCTATTGTATTGTATATTAAACTTCGTGCATTGTACCGTTTTCATTTGTACATAGCATAGTTTTCATTTTGTTGCTTTTCTTTTAATCTAAATTTTGTTTTGAAGTGGTTTAAAATATGTATATAATCACGTCTACTGATCTTTTCAGTTGCAGTTTTTAATTTTAAATCATTTTTTAAAATATTATTTTATTTTAGTTTAAGTTCTGGGATACATGTGCAGAACGTGCAGGTTTGTTAGATACACATGTGACATGGTGGTTTGCTGTACCCATCAACCTGTCATCTAGGTTTTAAGGCCTGCATGCATTAGGAATTTGTCCTGATGCTCTCCCTCCCCTTGCCCCTGACCCCTGACAGGCCCTGGTGTGTGATGTTCCCCTCCCTGTGTCCATGTGTTCTCATAGTTCAATTCCCACTTATAAGTGAGAACATCCGGTGTTTGGTTTTCTGTTCCTGTATTAATTTGCTGAGAATGATGGTTTCCAGCTTCATCCATGTGCAAAGGACATGAACTCATTCTTATCTTTTTCTTTCTTTCTTTTTTTTTTTTGAGACAGAATTTCGCTCTTGTCACCCAGACTGGAGTGCGATGGCAAAGTCTTGGCTCACTGCAACCTCTGCCTGCTGGGTTCAAGTGATTTTCCTGCCTCAGCCTTCCGAGTAGTTGGGATTACAGGCATCTGCCACCACACCTGGCTAATTGTTGTATTTTTAGTAGAGACAGGGTTTTACCATGTTGGCCAGGCTGGTCTCAGACTTCTGACCTTAGGTGATCCACCCATCTTGGTCTCCCAAAGTGCTGGGATTACAGGCATGAGCCACCATGCCCGGACTGGACTCCTTCTTTTTTATGGCTGCATAGTATTCCATGGTGTATATGTGCCACATTTTCTTTGTAAGTCTATAATTGATGGGCATTTGGGTTGGTTCCAAGTCTTTGCTATTGTAAATATTGCTGCAGTAAACATATGTGTGCATGTGTCATTATAGTAGAATGATTTATAATCCTTTGGGTATATACCCTGTAATGGGATTGCTGTATCAAATTCTATTTCTGGTTCTAGATCCTTGAGGAATTGCCACACTATCTTCCACAATGGTTGAACTAATTTACACTCCCACCAACAGTGTAAAAGCGTTCCTACTTCTCCACACCCTTTCCAGCATCTGTTGTTACCT
Source organism: Homo sapiens (assembly GCF_000001405.40). Taxonomy (NCBI): domain Eukaryota; kingdom Metazoa; phylum Chordata; class Mammalia; order Primates; family Hominidae; genus Homo; species Homo sapiens. The sequence goes on from NC_000014.9 coordinate 37,755,079, forward strand.
GACTTTTTATCAGCATTCTAACTGGCATGAGATGATATCTCATTGTGGTTTTGATTTGCATTGATGATCTTTTTTTCATATGTTTGTTGGCTTCATAAATGTCTTCTTTTGAGAAGTGTATGTTCACATTCTTTGCCCACTTTTTGATGTTTTTTTTTCTTGTAAATTGGTTTAAGTTCCTTGTAGATTCTGGATATTAGACCTTTGTCAGATGAATAGATTGCAAAAATTTTCTTCCATTCTGCAGGTTGCCTGTTCATTCTGATGATAGTTTCATTTGCTGCACAGAAGCTCTTTAGTTTAATTAGATCCCATTTATCTATTTTGGCTTTTGTTGCCATTGCTTTTGGTGTTTTAGACATGAAGTCTTTGCCCATGCCTATGTGCTGAATGGCATTGCCTAAGTTTTCTTCTAGGGTTTTTATGGTTTTAGGTTTTATGTTTAAATATTTATTCCATCTTGAGTTAATTTTTGTATAAGGTGTAAGGAAGGGGTCCAGTTTCTGTTTTCTGCATATGGCTAGCCAGTTTCCCCAGCACCATTTATTAAATAGGGAATCCTTTCCCTGTTGCTTTTTATGTATATATGTGTGGTGTTATTTCTGAGGTCTCTGTTCTGTTCCATTGGTCTCTGTATCTGTTTTGATACCAGAACCATGCTGTTTTGGTTACTGTAGCCTTGTAGTATAGTGTGAAGTCAGGTAGTGTGATGCTTCCAGCTTTGTTCTTTTTGCTTAGGATTGTCTTGGCTATATGGGGTATTTTGTGGTTCCATATGAACTTTAAAATAGTTGTTTCTAATTCTGTGAAGAAAGTCAGTGGTAGCTTGATGGGAATAACATTGAATCTACAAATTACTTTGGGCAGTATGGCCATTTTCATGATAATGATTCTTCCTATCCGTGAGCATGGAATGTTTTGCCATTTGTTTGTCTCCTCTCTTATTTCCTTGAGCAGTGGTTTGTACTCCTTGAAGAGGTCCTTCATGTCCCTTGTAAGTTGTATTCTTAGATATTTTATTCTCTTTGTAGCAATTGTGAATGGGAGTTCACTCATGATTTGGCTCTCTGTTCGTCTATTATTGGTGTATAGGAATGCTTGTGATTTTTGCACATTGATTTTGTATCCTAAGACTGCTGAAGTTGCTTATCAGCTTAAGGAGATTTGGGGCTGAGATGATGGCGTTTTCTAAATATACAATCATGTCGTCTGCAAACAGAGATAATTTGACTTCTTCTCTTCCTATATGAATATGCTTTATTCCTTTCTCTTGCCTGATTTCACTGGCCAGAACTTCCAATACTATGTTGAATAGGAGTGGTGAGAGAGGCATCCTTGTCTTGTGCCAGTTTTCAAAGGGAATGCTTCCAGCATTTGGCCATTCTGTGTGATATATATTATGGGTTTGTCATAAATAGTTCTTATTATTTTGAATACATTCCTTCAATGCCTAGTTTATTGAGAGTTTCTAGCATGAAAGGGTGTTGAATTTTATTGAAGGCTTTTTCTGCATCTATTGAGATAATCATGTGATTTTTGTTATTGGTTCTATTTATGTGATGGATTACATTAATTTGTTTGCGTATGTTGAACCAGCCTTGCATCCCAGGGATAAAGCCGACTCAGTCATGGTGGATAAGCTTTCTGATGTGCTGTTGGATTTGGTTTGCCAGTATTTTATTGAGGATTTTCACATCGATGTTCATCAGCGATATTGACCTGAAATTTTCTTTTTTTTTGTTGTGTCTCTACCAGGTTTTGGTATCAGCATGATACTGTCCTCATAAAATGAGTTACAGAGGAGTCCCTCTTTTTCTATTGTTTGGAACAGTTTCAGAAGGAATGGTACTAGCTTCTCTTTGTACCTCTGGTAGAATTCGTCTGTGAATCTGCCTGGTCCTTGACTTTTTTTGGTTGGCAGGCTATTAATTACTGCCTGAATTTCAGAACTTGTTATTGGTCTATTCAGGGATTCGATTTCTTCCTGGTTTAGTCTTGGGAGGGGGTATGTGTCCAGGAATTTATCCATTTCTTCTAGATTTTCTAGTTTGTGTGGAGGTGTTTGTAGTGTTCTCTGATGGTAGTTTGTATTTCTGTGGGATCAGTGGTCATATCCCCTTTATCATTTTTTATTGTGTCTATTTGATTCTTCTCTTTTCTTCTTTATTTTAATTAATTAATTAATTAATTACTTTTTCTTGAGATGGAATCTTGCTCTGTCACCCAGGCTGGAGTGCAGTGGCTCGATCTTGGTTCACTGCAAGCTCCGCCTCCCAGGTTCATGCCATTCTCCTGCCTCAGCCTCCTGAGTAGCTGGGACTACAGGTGTCTGCCACCATGCCCGGCTAATTTTTTATTTTTATTTTTTGTATTTTTAGTAGAGATGGGGTTTCACCGTGTTAGTCAGGATGATCTCGATCTCCTGACCTCGTGATCCACCCACCTTGGCCTTCCAAAATGCTGGGATTACAGGCATGAGCCACTGCGCCTGGCCTTCTTCTTTATTAATCTAGCTAGAGATCCATCTATTTGTTAATCTTAAAAAATAAAAAACCAACTCCTGGATTCATTGATTATTTGAAGGGTTTTTCATGTCTCTACCTCCTTCAGTTCTGCTCTGATCTTTTTTATTTCTTCTCTTCTGCTAGCTTTTGAATTTGTTTGCTCTTGCTTCTCCAGTTCTTTTAATTGTGATATTAGGGTGTCGATTTTAGATTGTTCCTGCTTTCTCTTGTGGGCATTTAGTGCTATAAATTTCCCTCTTAACTTTAGCTGTGTCCCAGAGATTCTGGTATGTTGCGTCTTTGTTCTTATTGCTTTCAAAGAACTTATTTATTTCTGTCTTAATTTCATTATTTACCCAGTAGTCATTCAGGAGCTGGTTGTTCAGTTTCCATGTAATTATGCGGTTTTAACTGAGTTTCTTAATCCTGAGTTCTAATTTGATTGCACTGTGGCCTGAGATACTGTTTGTTATGATTTCCATTCTTTTGCATTTGCTGAGGAGTGTTTTACTTCCAATTATGTGGTCCGTTTTAGAATAAGTGTGATGTGGTGCTGAGAAGAATGTATATTCTGTTGATTTGGTGTGGAGAGTTCTGTAGGTGTCTCTTAGGTCCACTTGGCCCAGAGCTGAGTTCAAGTCCTGAATATCCTTGTCAATTTTTTGTCTTGTTGATATGTCCAATATTGACAATGGAATGATAAAGTCTCCCATTATTATTGTGTGGGAGTCTAAGTCACTTTGTAGGTCTCTAAGAACTTGCTTTGTGAATCTGGGTTCTCCTGTATTGTATTGGGTGCATATATATTTAGGATAGTTAGCTCTTCTTGTTGAAGTGATCACTTTACCATTATGTAACGGCCTTCTTTGTCTTTTTTGATCTTTGTTTATTTAAAGTCTGTTTTATCAGAGACTAAGATTGTAACCCCTGCTTTTTTTTGCTTTCCATTTGCTTGGTAGTTCTTCCTCCATCCCTTTATTTTGAGCCTATGTGTATCTTTGCAAGAGAGATGGGTCTCCTGAATGTAGCACACCGATGGGTCTTGACTCTTTATCCAATTTGCATGTCTGTATCTTTTAATTTGGGCATTTAGTCCATTTACATTTAAGGTTAATATTGTGTTGTGTGAATTTTATCCTGTCATCATGATGCTAGCTGGTTATTTTATACATTAGTTGGTGCAGTTTCTTCATAGTGTCATTGGTCTTTATATTTTGGTGTGTTTTTGCAGTGGCTGGTACCGGTTTTTCCTTTCCATGTTTAGTGCTTCCTTCAGGAGCTCTTGTAAGGCAGGCCTGGTGGTGACAAAATCCATCATCATTTGCTTGTCTGGAAAGGATTCTATTTCTCCTTCACTTATGAAGCTTAGTTTGGTTGGATATGAAATTCTGGGTTGCAAATTCTTTTCTGCTGGGTGTGGTGGCTCACGCCTGTAATCCCAGCACTTTGGGAGGCCAAGGTGGGCAGATCATGAGATCAGGAGATTGAGACCATCCTGGCTAACATGGCAAAACTCTGTCTCTACTAAAAATTAGCCAGGCGTGGTGGCATATGCCTATAGTCCCAGGTACTCAGGAGGCTGAGGCAGGAGAATCGCTTGTACCTGGGAGGCGGAGGTTGCAATGAGCCGAGATCGCACCACTGTACTACAGCCTGGGCGAAATAGCCAGACTCCATCTCAAAAAAAAAAAAAGAAAAAAAGAAAAAAAAGAAAGTTCTTTTCTTTAAGAATGTTGAATATTGCCACCCCACTCTCTTCTGGCTTGTAGGGTTTCTGCAGAGAAATCCACTGTTAGTCTGATGGGCTTCCCTTTGTGGGTAACTTGACCTTTCTCTTTGGCTGCCCTTAACATTTTTTCCTTTGTTTCAGCTTTGGAGAATTTGACGATTATGTTTCTTGGGATTGCACTTCTCGATGAGTATTTTAGTGGTGTTCTCTGTGTTTCCCGAATTTGAATGTTGGCCTGTTTCGCTAGATTGCGGTTCTCCCGGATAACATCCTGAAGTGTGTTTTCCAACTTGGTTCCATTCTCCCTGTTACTTCCAGGTATACCAATCAATCGTAGGTTTGGTCTTTTCACATAGTCCCATATTTCTTGGGGGCTTTGTTCATTCCTTTTCATTCTTTCTTGTCTAATCTTGTCTTCACATCTTACTTCAGTAAGTTTATCTTCAATGTCTGATATCCTTTTTTCTACTTGATTGATTTGGCTATTGATACTTGTGTATGCTTCACGAAGTTCTTGTCCTTGTTTTTCAGCTCCATCAGGTCATTTATCTTCTTCTCGAAATTGGTTATTCTAGTTAGCAGTTCCTGTTAACCTGTTATCAAGGTGTTTAGCTTCCTTGCATTGGGTTAGAATATGCTCCTTCAGCTCAGAGGAGCTTGTTATTACCCACCTTCCGAAGCCAACTTCTGTCAATTCGTCAATCTCATTCTCTATCCAGTTTTGTGCCCTCACTGGAGAGGAGTTGCAATCATTTGGAGAAGAGGCATTCTGGTTTTTGGAATTTTCAGCTTTTTTGCACTGGTTCTTCCTCATGTTCGTGGATTTATCTATCTTTGATCTCTGAGGCTGATGACCTTTGGATGGGGTTTTTGTGTGGGTGTCCTTTTTGTTGATGTTGATGTTGTTGCTTTCTGTTTGTTAGCTTTTCTTCTAAGAGTCAGGCCCCTGTTCTGTAGGTCTGCTGCAGTTTGCTGGAGGTTCACTTCAGAACCTGTTTGCCTGGGTATCACCAGTGGAGGCTGCAGAAAAGCAGTTTGCTTCCTGCTCCTTCCTCAGGAACCTTTGTCCCAGAGGGGCACTGGCCTGATTCCAGCCAGAGCTCTCCTGTATGAGGTGTCTGTCGACCCCTGTTGGGAGGTCTCTCCCAGAAAGGAGGCACAGGGGTCAGGGACCCACTTGAGGAGGCAGTCTGTCCCTTAGCAGAGCTCAAGTGCTGTGCTGTTAGAATCTTCCTTGTCAGGATCAGCTGCTCTCTTCAGAGCCAGCAGGCAGGAACGTTTAAGTCCACTGAAGCTGCACCCACAGCTGCCCCTTTCCTCAGGTGCTCTGTCCCAGGGAGATGGGAGTTTTATCTATAAGCCCCTAACTGGGACTGCTGCCTTTCTTTCAGAGACACCCTGCCCAGTGAGGAGGAATCTAGAGAGGCAGTCTGGCCACAGCCGCTTTGCCGCACTGTGGTGAATTCCCCCCAGTCCAAACCTCCCTGGCCTCCTTAGCACTATCAGGGGAAAACCACCTACTCAAGCCTCTGTAATGATGGATGCCCCTCCCTGCACCAAGTTAGATCATCCCAGGTCGACTTCAGACTGTTGCCCTGGCAGCGAGAATTTCAAGCCAGTGGTTCTTAGCTTGCTGGGCTCCATGGGAGTGGGACCCACTGAGTGAGACAACTTGGCTCCCTGGCTTCAGCCCCCTTTCCAGGGGAGTAAGTGGTTCTGTCTCACTGGAGTTCCAGGTGCCACTGGGGTACTAAAAAGAACTCCTGCAGCTAGCTCGGTGTCTGCCCAAACAGCCACCCAGTTTTGTGCTTGAAACCCAGGGTCCTTGTGGTGTAGGCACACAGGGAGTCTCCTGATCTGCAGATTGCAATAACCATGGGAAAAGTGTAGTATCTAGGCTGGGTAGCATAGTCCCTCATGGCTTCCCTTGGTTGGGGAGGGAGGTCCCTGGCTCCTTGCACTTCCCAGGTGAGGCAACACCCCACCCTGCTTCTGCTTGCCTTCTGTTGGCTGCACCCACTGCCTAACCAGTCCCGATAAGATGAACTGGTACCTCAGTGGGAAATGCAGAAATCACCCACCTTTTGCGTGGGTCTTGCTGGGAGCTGCAGACCAGAACTCTTCCTATGCGGCCATCTTGGCTGATCTCCCTAAATCATTTTTAAGGTAAAATAAAGCTTATATCCAGAAAAGTGTACAAAATGGAAATGTACAGCATAATGACTTATCATAGTGTCAATACCCATGTAACCATCATCAGGTCATTTCCAACAATCTAGAAACCCCCTCATGCCTTTGTCTTTCCTGGGGGAAGACAACCACTGTCTATTTTAATCACTTCCTTATAGTTCTTTATAGTTGCCTCAAATAAGTATGTGTTCGTAAACATTCTTAGTTTAATTTTGCCTATTTTTTGAACTTTATATAAATTGAATTATATGATAGTATTCTTTTATGTCTAGCTTCTTTCTCTGAGTATTATGTGCTGTTGCATGTGGCTCTAGTTTCTTCACTTCATATTTATGGGATACAAAGTGATGTTATGATACATGTATACAATCTGTGATGATTGAATTGAGCTTATTAACATATCCGTCACCTCAAATACTTACCATTTTTTCCTCCTGTCTAACTGAAACATTGTACTCTTTGACCAACAATTCCCCATTTTTCATAACACCCAACCTCTAATAACCAGTATTGTTCTACTCGCTGCCTCTATATATTTGTTTTAGATTCCACATATAAACGAGAACATTTGGTATTTTTCTCCGCCTGGCTTATTTTGCTTAACATAATGTCTTCCAAGTTAATTCGTATTGTTGTAAGTGGTGGGATTTCCCTTTTTTTTTAAGAAAAGGCTGAATAGTATTTAATTGTGTATATAAGACACATTTTCTTTGCTTATTCATCTGTTGATAGACACTTAGCTTGATTTCTTATCTTGGCTATTGTAAATAATGCTCTAAGAAATGTGGAGTACAGATGTCTCTTTGACATACTGATTTCAAATACTTTGGATATATACCCAGAAGTGGATTGCTGGACCATATGGTGACTCTATTTTTAGTTTTTAAGGCACCACCATACTGTTTTTCATAATGGCTGTATTAACTTAAAATCCCACCAACAGTGTACAAGAGTTCCCTTTTCTCAAAATCCTCGCCAAATTTGTTATCTTTCATCTTTTGGTAATAGTGTGAAGTGATAGCTCATTGTGGTTTTAATTTTTCATTTCCCTAATGATGTTGAGCATTTTTTCATATACCTGTTGGTCATTTATATGTCTTCTTTTGAGAAATATGTACTCAGGTCTTTTGCCCATTTTTTAATTGGGTTGTTTTCTCCCATTCTGAAGGTTGCTTCTTCACTTTAATTGTTTCCTTTGCTGTGCAGAAGCTTTTCAGTTTGATGTAATGCCACTTGTGTATTTTTGCTTTTGTTTTCATTCAATTTATGTGGTATATTACATTGATTTATTTACACGTGTTGAACCAACCTTGTGTTACTAGGATTAATCCCGCTTGATCGTAGTGTATCTTTCTTTTTCTTTTTCTTTTCTTTTCTTTTCTTTTTTTTTTTTTTTTGAGACGGAGTCTGGCTCTGTTCCCCAGGCAGGCTGGAGTGCAGTGGTGCCATCTGGGCTCACTGCAAGCTCCACCTCCCGGGTTCACGCCATTCTCCTGCCTCAGCCTCCGGAGTAGCTGGGACTACAGATGCCCACCACCACACCCGCCTAATTTTTTTTTTGTATTTTTAGTAGAGACGGGGTTTCACCATGTAAGCCAGGATGGTCTCAATCTCCCGACTTCATGATCCGCCTGCCTCAGCCTCCCAAAGTGCTGGGATTACAGACGTGAGCCACTGCACCCGGCCCTGTATCTTTCTTTTAATATACTGTTGCATTCAATTTGCTCATATTTTATTGATGATTTTTGCATCTATATTGGTAAGGGACATTGGTGTGTGTTTGTGCTGTCTTTGTCTGGCTTTAATAACAGGGTAATGCTGCTTTAATAAAGTGAATGAGGAAGTATTTTCTTCTTTATTTGTAGGGAGATTTTGAGAACGCTTGGTGTTAATTTTTCAGACACTTGGTAGAATTTACTGTTGACATGTTCTGGTCCTTGGCTTTTCTATGTTTTTTGATGACTAATTCAATTTCTTCGCTTGATATGATCTATTCAGGCTTTCTATTTCTTCTTGAGTTGGTTTTGGAAGTTTGGGTATTTCTAGGAATTTCGTCATTTCTTCTAAGTTCTTCCAATTTGTTAGCATGCAATTGTTCATAGTATTCTTTTACATAATACTACTTTTTATTTCTTCAAGGGTAGTAGCAATGTTCACACTTTCATTTCTTATTTTCGTAATTTGAGTCATCTTTTCTTCTTAGTCGGTCTAGCTAAGGAATTGTCAATTTTGTTGATATTTAAAAACACCAACATTTGGCTTTGTTGATTCTATTGTTTTCATATTCTCTATTTCATTTATCTTTGCTCTAATCTTTATTATTTCCTTCCTTCTGCTTGCTTTAGGTTTAGTTTTCTTTTATTTTTCTTGGCTTATTAAGGCAGAAAGTAACGTTACTGGCTTGAGATCTTTCTTCTTATTTAATGTATGCATTTATAGCTATACATTTCTCATTGCTTTGCTGCATCTCCTAAGTTTTGGTATGTTGTATTACCTTTCATTTGTCTCAAAGTATTTTTTAATTTCCTTTGTAATTTTCCCTTTGACCTATCTGCCATTTAATTTCCACGTACTTGTGAATTTCCCAAATTTTCTTCTGTTATTGTTTTCTAGTTTTATCCATTGTAGTTAGAAAATATACTTTGTATGATCCATCTTTAAAATTTACTGGGACTTGTGTTATGGCCTAACATATGGTCTGTCCTAAGAATGTTCCAAGTTTGCCTGAGAAGAATTTGTACTCAGCTGTTGTTAGATGAAGTGTTCTATATATGTTTGTTAGGTCTAGTTAGTTTATACTACTGTTCAAGTCCTCTGTTTCATTGTTGAACTTCTGTCTAGTTGTTCTATTCATAATTGAAAGTGAGGTATTGAAGTCTCCAACTATTATTATAGAATTGTTTATTTCTCCCTCCAATTCTGTTAGTCTTTGCTGCATATATTTTGGGGCTCTGTTTTTGACTGTGTTTATAATGGTCATATCTTACTGATTGATTGACTCTTTCATCAATATGTAATGGTCTTCTTTGTCCCTTGTATTAATTATTGCCTTAAAATCTATTTGGTCTGATATTAGCAAAGCTACTCCCACTCTCTTTTGGCTAATATTTGTGTGGAATACCTTTTCCCATCCTTTCACTTTCAACCGATTTGTATCTTTGATCTGAATTGAGTTTTTTTCCTAGATATCATGTAGCTATATTATAGTTTGTAAAAATTATTTTCCCAATATCTTCCTTTAGATTAGACAATTTAACCTATTTACATTTAATGCAATTAATGTTAAGGAGAGATAACTCTGCCATTTTGCTATTTGTTTTTCATATGTATATTTTATATTGTATTTTGTATATTTTGTGTATTATATTGTATACTGTATTTATATTTTTTATATTGTATATTTTTTGTTTTTCAATTTCTCCATAATTGCTTTACTTTTTAATTGATTTTTTTCTACCATTTTGATTTCCTTCTCATTTCTTTTACTGTATAATTTTTAGTTATTGTCTTTGTGATTACCTTTGAATAATGATGTTAATTTATAATAATGTAGTTTGAATTAATATCAACTTAGTTTCAATAGTCTATAAAAATTTTGTGCCTGTATAAGTTTGTCCCCAACTTGATGTTGTTATTGTTGCAAATTACATCTTTATAAATATTAAAAAAATTTTTTTTAGAGACAGGATCTCACTCTGTGCCCCAGGCTGGAATATAGTGGTGCAATCACAGCTTACTACAGTCTTGAACTCCTAGGCTCAAGTGATCCTCCCACCTCAGACTCCCAGGTAGCTAGGACTATAGGTGCACACCACCACACCTAATTTTTTTTTTTTTTTTTTTTGTAGAGAGGCACAAAATTTAAATTAAAAAAAAAATTTGTAACCCAGGTTAGTTTCAAACGCTTCGCCTCAAGCAATCCCCCAACTTTGTGATCCTGAAGTGCTGGGATTACAGACATGAGCCACTGCACCCTATCACAAATTACATCCTTATACATTGTATGCCCAGTGACATAGACTTATTAGTGTTTTATGCATTTGTCTTTTATGTCACATAGAACAAAAAGAGTAATTAGAAACCAAAAGTACTGTGCTACTGGCTTTTAAATTTACCTATTCAGTACTTTTGTTGGTGTTCTTTACCTTGTTGTATGGTTTCAAGTTTCCATCTAGTGTCTTTCATGTCAGCCTTAGGGACTCCTTTCAGCCTTTTTTGTAAAATAGGTTTACTAGCAATGGACTTCTTCAGGTTTCATTTACTCGGAAATGCTTTGATTTCTCCTTCATTTTTGAAGGCTAGTTTGCCAGGTATAGAATTCTTGCTTGATTTTTTTTTAAAGCACTTTAAATATGTTATCTACTGCCTTCTGATCTCTGTGATTTCTAATGAGAAATTGCATTAGTCTTATTGAAGATCCTTTGTATATGATGAGTCACATCTCTCTTGGTGCTTTCAATATTCTCTCCCACACCATCCCCCAAGATTTTCTTTGTCTTTGGTTGTTGACAGATTGATCATAATGTGTCTCTATGTGAAACTCTTTGAGTTCATCCTGATTGGAGTCCTTGAACTTCTTGGATTAATACATTCATTTCTTTCATCAAATTTGGGAAGTTTTCAACCATCCATTTTAAAAGTGTTATTTCTGCTCCTTTCTTTTTCTCTTCCTTCTGGAACTCACAACATATGCATATGTTGGTTGTTTCTTTTTTTAACTTTTATTTTAGGTTCAGAGGTACATATGCACATTTATGATATAGGTAAATTTGTGTCACAGGGGTTTGGTTTACAAATTATTTCATCACCAAGGTGATAAGCACAGTAACCAATACGTAGTTTTTTGTTCCTTAGCCTCCCTCTCTCCACTCTCAAGTAGAACCCCATGTCTATTGTTCCCTTATTTGTGTCCATGTGTTCTCAATATCTAGCTCCTACTTATAAGTGAGAACATGCAGTATTTGGTTTTCTGTTCCTGCATTAGTTTGCTTAGGATAATATCCTCCAGTTTTATTCATGCCACTGCAAAGGACATGATCTTGTTCATTTTTATGGCTGCATAGTGTTCCATGCTGTATATGTACCACGTTTTCTTTACTCAATCTGTCATTGATGGGCATTTAGATTGATTCCATGTCTTTACTATTGTGAAAATTGCTTCAGTGAACATACACATGCATGTGTCTTTATGGTACAATGATTTATATTTCTTTGGGTATATACCCAATAATGTGATTGCTGGGTTGAATGGTAATTCTGCTTTGAGTTCTTTGAGAAATCATCAAACTACTTTCTTTTTTTTATTTTTTATTATTATACTTTAAGTTTTAGGGTACATGTGCACATTGTACAGGTTAGTTACGTATGTATACATGTGCCACGCTGGTGCACTGCACCCACTAACTCGTCATCTAGCATTAGGTATATCTCCCAATGCTATCCCTCTCCCCTCCCCACATCCCACAGCAGTCCCCAGTGTGATGTTCCCCTTCCTGTGTCCATGTGATCTCATTGTTCAATTCCCACCTATGAGTGAGAATATGCGGTGTTTGGTTTTTTGTTCTCATGATAGTTTACTGAGAATGATGATTTCCAATTTCATCCATGTCCCTACAAAGGACAAGAACTCATCATTTTTTATGGCTGCATAGTATTCCATGGTGTATATGTGCCACATTTTCTTAATCCAGTCTATCATTGTTGGACATTTGGGTTGGTTCCAAGTCTTTGCTATTGTGAATAATGCCGCAGTAAACATACGTGTGCCTGTGTCTTTATAGCAGCATGATTTATAGTCCTTTGGGTATATACCCAGTAATGGGATGGCTGGGTCAAATGGTATTTCTAGTTCTAGATCCCTGAGGAATCGCCACACTGACTTCCACAATGGTTGAACTAGTTTACAGTTCCACCAACAGTGTAAAAGTGTTCCTATTTCTCCATATCCTCTCCAGCACCTGTTGTTTCCTGACTTTTTAATGATTGCCATTCTAACTGGTGTGAGATGGTATCTCATTGTGGTTTTGATTTGCATTTCTCTGATGGCCGGTGATGATGAACATTTTTTCATGTGTTTTTTGGCTACATAAATGTCTTCTTTTGAGAAGTGTCTGTTCATGTCCTTCGCCTACTTTTTAATGGGGTTGTTTGTTTTTTTCTTGTAAATTTGTTTGAGTTCATTGTAGATTCTGGATATTAGCCCTTTGTCAGATGAGTAGGCTGCGAAAATTTTCTCCCATTTTGTAGGTTGCCTGTTCACTCTGATGGTAGTTTCTTTTGCTGTGCAGAAGCTCTTTAGTTTAATTAGATCCCATTTGTCAATTTTGACTTTTGTTGCCATTGCTTCTGGTGTTTTAGACATGAAGTCCTTGCCCATGCCTATGTCCTGAATGGTAATGCCTAGGTTTTCTTCTACGGTTTTTATGGTTTTAGGTCTAATGTTTAAGTCTTTAATCCATCTTGAATTGATTTTTGTATAAGGTGTAAGGAAGGGATCCAGTTTCAGCTTTCTACATATGGCCAGCCAGTTTTCCCAGCACCATTTATTAAATAGGGAATCCTTTCCCCATTGCTTGTTTTTCTCAGGTTTGTCAAAGATGAGATAGTTGTAGATATGCGGCGTTATTTCTGAGGGCTCTGTTCTGTTCCATTGATCTATATCTCTGTTTTGGTACCAGTACCATGCTGTTTTGGTTACTGTAGCCTTGTAGTATAGTTTGAAGTCAGGTAGAGTGATGCCTCCAGCTTTGTTCTTTTGGCTTAGGATTGACTTGGTGATGCGGGCTCTTTTTTGGTTCCATATGAACTTTAAAGTAGTTTTTTCCAATTCTGTGAAGAAAGTCATTGGTAGCTTGATGGGGATGGCATTGAATCTATAAATTACCTTGGGAAGTATGGCCATTTTCACGATATTGATTCTTCCTACCCATGAGCATGGAATGTTCTTCCATTTGTTTGTATCCTCTTTTATTTCATTGAGCAGTGGTTTGTAGTTCTCCTTGAAGAGGTCTTTCACTTCCCTTGTAAGTTGGATTCCTACGTATTTTATTCTCCTTGAAGCAATTGTGAATGGGAGTTCACTCATGATTTGGCTCTCTGTTTGTCTGTTGTTGGTGTATAAGAATGCTTGTGATTTTTGTACATTGATTTTGTATCCTGAGACTTTGCTGAAGTTGCTTATCAGCTTAAGGAGATTTTGGGCTGAGACAATGGGGTTTTCTAGATATACAATCATGTCGTCTGCAAAGAAGGACAATTTGACTTCCTCTTTTCCTAATTGAATACCCTTTATTTCCTTCTCCTGCCTGATTGCCCTGGCCAGAACTTCCAACACTATGTTGAATAGGAGTGGTGAGAAAGGGCATCCCTGTCTTGTGCCAGTTTTCAAAGGGAATGCTTCCAGTTTTTGCCCATTCAGTATGATATTGGCTGTGGGTTTGTCATAGATAGCTCTTATTATTTTGAAATACGTCCCATCAATACCTAATTTATTGAGAGTTTTTAGCAAGAAGGGCTGTTGAATTTTGTCAAAGGCCTTTTCTGCATCTATTGAGATAATCATGTGGTTTTTGTCTTTGGCTCTGTTTATATGCTGGATTACATTTATTGATTTGCGTATATTGAACCAGCCTTGCATCCCAGGGATGAAGCCCACTTGATCATGATGGATAAGCTTTTTGATGTGCTGCTGGATTCGTTTTGCCAGTATTTTATTGAGGATTTTTGCATCAATGTTCATCAAGGATATTGGTCTAAAATTCTCTTTTTTGATTGTGTCTCTGCCCGGCTTTGGTATCAGAATGATGCTGGCCTCATAAAATGAGTTAGGGAGGATTCCCTCTTTTTCTATTGATTGGAATAGTTTCAGAAGGAATGGTACCAGTTCCTCCTTGTACCTCTGGTAGAATTCGGCTGTGAATCCATCTGATCCTGGACTCTTTTTGGTTGGTAAGCTATTGATTATTGCCACAATTTCAGCTCCTGTTATTGGTCTATTCAGAGATTCAACTTCTTCCTGGTTTAGTCTTGGGAGAGTGTATGTGTCGAGGCATTTATCCATTTCTTCTAGATTTTCTAGTTTATTTCTGTAGAGGTATTTGTAGTATTCTCTGATGGTAGTTTGTATTTCTGTGGGATCAGTGGTGATATCCCCTTTATCATTTTTTATTGCATCTATTTGATTCTTCTCTCTTTTTTTCTTTATTAGTCTTGCTAGTAGTCTATCAATTTTGTTGATCCTTTCAAAAAACCAGCTCCTGGATTCATTAATTTTTTGAATGGTTTTTTGTGTCTCTATTTCCTTCAGTTCTGCTCTGATATTAGTTATTTCTTGCCTTCTGCTAGCTTTTGAATGTGTTTGCTCTTGCTTTTCTAGTTCTTTTAATTGTGATGTTAGGGTGTCAATTTTGAATCTTTCCTGCTTTCTCTTGTGGGCATTTAGTGCTATAAATTTCCCTCTACACACTGCTTTGAATGCGTCCCAGAGATTCTGGTATGTTGTGTCTTTGTTCCCGTTGGTTTCAAAGAACATCTTTATTTCTGCCTTCATTTCGTTATGTACCCAGTAGTCGTTCAGGAGCAGGTTGTTCAGTTTCCATGTAGTTGAGCGGTTTTGAGTGAGATTCTTAATCCTGAGTTCTAGTTTGATTGCACTGTGGTCTGAGAGATAGTTTGTTATAATTTCTGTTCTTTTACATTTGCTGAGGAGAGCTTTACTTCCAACTATGTGGTCAGTTTTGGAATAGGTATGGTGTGGTGCTGAAAAAAATGTATATTCTGTTGATTTGGGGTGGAGAGTTCTGTAGATGTCTATTAGGTCTGCTTGGTGCAGAGCTGAGTTCAATTCCTGGGTATCCTTGTTGACTTTCTGTCTCATTGAACTGTCTAATGTTGACCGTGGGGTGTTAAAGTCTCCCATTATTAATGTGTGGGAGTCTAAGTCTCTTTGTAGGTCACTCAGGACTTGCTTTATGAATCTGGGTGCTCCTGTATTGGGTGCATATATATTTAGGATAGTTAGCTCTTCTTGTTGAAGTGATCCCTTTACCATTATGTAATGGCCTTCTTTGTCTCTTTTGATCTTTGTTGGTTTAAAGTCTGTTTTATCAGAGACTAGGATTGCAACCCCTGCCTTTTTTTGTTTTTCATTTGCTTGGTGGATCTTCCTCCATCCTTTTATTTTGAGCCTATGTGTGTCTCTGCACGTGAGATGGGTTTCCTGAATACAGCACACTGATGGGTCTTGACTCTTTATCCAATTTGCCAGTCTGTGTCTTTTAATTGGAGCATTTAGTCCATTTACATTTAAAGTTAATATTGTTATGTGTGAATTTGATCCTGTCATTATGATGTTAGCTGGTTATTTCGCTCATTAGTTGATGCAGTTTCTTCCTAGTCTCGATGGTCTTTACATTTTGGCATGATTTTGCAGCGGCTGGTACCGGTTGTTCCTTTCCATGTTTAGTGCTTCCTTCAGGAGCTCTTTTAGGGCAGGCCTGGTGGTGACAAAATCTCTCAGCATTTGCTTGTCTGTAAAGTATTTTATTTCTCCTTCACTTATGAAGCTTAGTTTGGCTGGATATGAAATTCTGGGTTGAAAATTCTTTTCTTTAAGAATGTTGAATATTGGCCCCCACTCTCTTCTGGCTTATAGGGTTTCTGCCGAGAGATCCACTGTTAGTCTGATGGGCTTCCCTTTGAGGGTAACCCGACCTTTCTGTCTGGCTGCACTTAACATTTTTTCCTTCATTTCAACTTTGGTGAATCTGACAATTATGTGTCTTGGAGTTGCTCTTCTCAAGGAGTATCTTTGTGGCGTTCTCTGTATTTCCTGAATCTGAACGTTGGCCTACCTTGCTAGACTGGGGAAGTTCTCCTGGATAATATCCTGCAGAGTGTTTTCCAACTTGGTTCCATTCTCCCTGTCACTTTCAGGTACACCAATCGGACGTAGATTTGGTCTTTTCACATAGTCCCATATTTCTTGGATGTTTGCTCTTTTCTTTTTATGCTTTTTTTCTCTAAGCTTCCCTTCTCGCTTCATTTCATTCATTTCTTCTTCCATTGCTGATACCCTTTCTTCCAGTTGATTGCATTGGCTCCTGAGGCTTCTGCATTCTTCACGTAGTTCTCGAGCCTTGGTTTTCAGCTCCATCAGCTCCTTTAAGCACTTCTCTGTATTGGTTATTCTAGTTATACATTCTTCCAAATTTTTTTCAAAGTTTTCAACTTCTTTGTCTTTGGTTTGAATGTCCTCCTGTGGCTCAGAGTAATTTGATCGTCTGAAGCCTTCTTCTCTCAGCTCGTGAAAGTCATTCTCCATCCAGCTTTGTTCCGTTGCTCGTGAGGAACTGCTTTCCTTTGGAGGAGGAGAGGCGCTCTGCTTTTTAGAGTTTCCAGTTTTTCTGTTCTGTTTTTTCCCCATCTTTGTGGTTTTATCTACTTTTGGTCTTTGATGATGGTGATGTACAGATGGGTTTTTGGTGTGAATGTCCTTTCTGTTTGTTAGTTTTCCTTCTAACGGACAGGACCCTCAGCTGCAGGTCTGTTGGAGTACCCTGCCGTGTGAGGTGTCAGTGTGCCCCTGCTGGGGGGTGCCTCCCAGTTAGGCTGCTCGGGGATCAGGGGTCAGGGACCCATTTGAGGAGGCAGTCTGCCCGTTCTCAGATCTCCAGCTGCGTGCTGGGAGAACCACTGCTCTCTTCAAAGCTGTCAGATAGGGACATTTAAGTCTGCAGAGGTTACTGCTGTCTTTTAGTTTGTCTGTGCCCTGCCCCCAGAGGTGGAGCCTACAGAGGCAGGCAGGCCTCCTTGAGCTGTGGTAGGCTCCACCCAGTTGGAGCTTCCCTGCTGCTTTGTTTACCTAAGTAAGCCTGGGCAATGGTGGGCGCCCCTTCCCCAGCCTCGCTGCCGCCTTGCAGTTTGATCTCAGACTGCCGTGCTAGCAATCAGGGAGACTCCGTGGGCGTAGGACCCTCCGAGCCACGTGTGGGATATAACCTCGTAGTGTGCCGTTTTTTAAGCCCGTCGGAAAAGTGCAGTATGCAGGTGGGAGCGAACGGATTTTCCAGGTGCCGTCCGTCACCCCTTTCTTTGACTAGGAAAGGGAACTCCCTGACCCCTTGCGCTTCCAGAGTGAGGCAATGCCTCGCCCTGCTTCGGCTCGCTCACGGTGCGCGCACCCACTGACCTGCGCCCACTGTCTGGCAGTCCCTAGTGAGATGAACCCGGTACCTCAGATGGAAATGCAGATATCACCCGTCTTCTGCGTTGCTCACGCTGGGAGCTGTAGACCGGAGCTGTTCCTATTCGGCCATCTTGGCTCCTCCCTCCAAACTACTTTCCACAATGGCTTAACTAGTTTACATCCCCACTAGCAGTCTATAAGCATTCCCTTTTCTTGGCAACCTCACCAAGAAAATGTCATTTTAATAATAGCCATTCTGACTGGTGTGAAATGGTATATCATTGTGGTTTTGATTTGCATTTCTCTAACGATTAGTGATATTGAGCATTTTTTCATATGCTTATTGGCTGCATGTATGTCTTCTATTGAAAAGTGTCTGTTCATGTCCTTGGCCCACTTTTTAATGCTATTGTGTGTGGGTTTTTTTGTTTGTTTGTTTGTTCATTTGTTTTTAAGTTCCTTATAGATTCTGGATATTAGACCTTTGTCAGATACACAGTTTGCAAATACTTTCTCCCATTCAGTAGGTTGTCTGTTTACTCTGTTGATAGTTTCTTTTGCTGTGCAGAAGCTCTTTAGTTTAATTAGGTCCCATTTGTCAACTTTGTTTTTGTTGCAATTTGCTTCTGGCATTTTCATCATGAAATCCTTGCTAGGTCCTGTGTCCAGAATGATATTTACTAGGTTATCATGCAGAGGTTTTATAGTTTTAGATTTTGCATTTAAGTTTTTATCTTGAGTTGATTTTTGTATATACTGTAAGGTAGGGGTTTCAATCTTCTGCATATGGCTAGCCAGTCATCCCAGCACCATTTATTAAACAGGGAGTCCTTTTCCCATTGCTTGTTTTTGTCAACTTTGTCCAACATCAGATGGTTGTAGGTGTGTGGTATTATTTCTGGGCTTTTTATTCTGTTCCATTTGTTTATGTGTCTGTTTTTGTACCAGTACCATGCTGTTTTGGTTGCTGTGGCCTTGTAGTATAGTTTCAAAATGGGTAATGTAATGCCTCCAGCTTTGTTCCTTTTGCTTAGAATTGCCTTGGCTTTTTGGGCTCTTTTTTGGTTCCATGTGAATTTTAAAATGGCTTTTTCTGATTCTGTGAAGAATCTCATTGGTAATTTGATAGGAATATTATTGAATGTGTAAATTGCTTTGGGCAGTATGACCATTTTAACAATGTTGATTCTTTCTATCCATGAGCATGGAATGTTTTTTTCGTTTGTTTGTGGTCATCTCTGATTCCTTTGAGCAGTGTTTTGTAATTCTCATTGTAGAGATCTTTCACCTCCCTAGTTAGCTGTATTCCTAGGTGTTGTATTCCTACTGTGGCTATTGTGAATGGGATTGCATTCTTGATTTGGCTTTCAGTTTGGATATTCTTGGTATGGAGGAATGATACTTCTTTTTTATACATTGATTTTGTATCCTGAAACTTTTCTGAAGTTGTTTATTAGATCAATGAAATTTTGGGCAGAAACTATGGGGGTTTTCTAGGTATATAATCATATCATCTGGAAATAGGGATAGTTTGACTTCTTCTCATCCTATTTGGATTCCTACTTTTTTTTTCTTGCCTGATTACTGTGGCCAGGACTTCCAGTACTATGGTCAATAGGAGTGGTGAGAGAGGGCATACTTGTCTTTTTCTGGTTTTTAAGGGGAATGCTACCAGCTTCTGTCCATCCAATTTGGTGTTGAGTATAGGTTTGTCATCAATGGCTCTTGTTATTTTTAAGCATGTTCTTTCAATTTCAAGTTTTTTAAGGGTTTTTAACATAAAGGTTTCTGCGTCTATTGAGTTAATCATCTGGTTTTTGTTTTTAGCTCTGTTTATGTGATGAATCACATTTATTGATTTGCACGTGTGTAAACAACCTTGCATCTCAGGGATAAAGCCTACTTGCTCATGGTGGATTAGCTTTTTGACTTGCTGCTGGATTTGGTTTGGTAGTATTTTGCTGAGGATTTTTGCATCTGTGTTCATCAAGGGTGTTGGCCTGAAGTTTTCATTTTTGTGTTTGTCTCTCACAGGTTTTGACATCAGGATAATGCTGGCCACATAGAATGAGTTAGGAAGAGGCTTCTCCTCTTCAATATTTTTGTAATGGTTTCAGTAGAAATGGTACCAGCTCTTCTTTACACATCTGGTAGAATTTGGCTCTGAATCTCTCTGGTTCTGGGCTTTTTCTTGTTTGTAGGCTTTTTATTACTGATTCAATTTTGGAACTTGTTATTGGACTATTCAGGGTCAATTTGTTCCTATTTCAATTTTGGGAGGGTATATGTTTCCAGGAATTTATTCATTTCCTTTATGTTTTCTAGCTTGTGTGCATAGTGTTCATAGTAGTCTCAGAGGGTTTTTGTTTTTCTGTGAGGTCAGTGATGACACCCCTTTGTCATTTTTGATTGTGTCTGTTTGGATCTTCTTATTTTGTAATTTATTAGCCTAGTTAGTGGTCTATCTATCTTATTAATTCTTTCAAAAACATAACTACTGGATTTGTTTATCTTTTGTATGGCTTTTCACATCTCAATTTCCTTCAGTTCAGCTCTGATTTTGGTTATTTCTTTTCTGCTATCTTTCAGGTTGGTTTGCTCTTGATTGTCTAGTTCCTCTAGTAGTGATGGTAGGTTGTTAATTTGGCATCTTCCTAAGTTTCTAATGTGGGCATTTAGTGCTATAAACTTTCCTCTTAACACTGCGTTAGCTGTATCCCAGAGATTCTGGTATATTGTATCTCTGTTTCCATTAGTTGCATAGAATTGTTTGATTTCTGTCTTAATTTCATTATTTATCCAAAAGTCATTCAGGAGTAGGTTCTTAAATTTCCATGTAATTTTGTGGCTTTTGAGCAATTTTCTTAGTATTGATTTATATTTTTACTGTGCTGTGGTCCAAGAGTGTGGTTGGTATGGTGGAGAGTTCTGTAGATGTCTGTTAAGTCTATTTGGTCAAATGTCAGGTTCAATTCCTGAATATCTTTGTTAGTTTTCTGCCTCAATGACTTGTTAATACTGTCAGTGGGGTGTTGAAATCTCCCACTATTATCTTGTGGTTATCTAAGTCTCTTCATAGGTCTCTAAGAACTTGCTTTATGAATCTAGGTCTCCTATGTTGGGTGCATATATTTTTAGGATAGTTAGATCTTCTTGTTGGATCGAACCCTTTACCATTATGTAATGCCCTTCTTTGTCTTTTTTGATGTTTGTTGGTTTAAAGTCTGTTTTGTTTTAAATTAAAATAGCATCTCCACCTTTTTTTCTGATTTTGATTGGCTTGGTGGGTTTTTCTCCATACCTTTACTTTGAGCCGATGGGTGTCATTGCATTTGGCGTACCACTGGGTCTTGATTCTTTTTTTTTTTTTTTTTTTTTTTTTGAGACGGAGTCTCGCTCTGTCGCCCAGGCTGGAGTGCAGTGGCGCAATCTCGGCTCACTGCAAGCTCCGATTCCCGGGTTCACGCCATTCTCCTGCCTCAGCCTCCCGAGTAGCTGGGACTACAGGCGCCCGCCACCGCGCCCGGCTAATTTTTTGTCTTTTTAGTAGAGACGGGGTTTGGGTCTTGATTCTTTATTCATCTTGCCACTGTATGCCTTTTCATTGGGGCATTTAGCCTGTTTACATTCAAGGTTAGTGTTGATGTGTGTGTATTTGATCCTGTTATAATGTTGCCAGGTGGTTATTAAGCAGACTTGTTTGTGTGGTTGCTTTATAGTATCATTGGTCTGTGTACTTAAGTGTGTTTTTGTAGTGGCTTGTAATGGTCTTTCCTTTCCATATTTAGCATTCCCTTCAGGACCTCTTTCTTGTAAGGCAGGTCTGGTGGTAATGAATTCCCTTATCATTTGCTTGTTTGAAAAGGATTTTATTTCTCCTTTACTTATGAATGTTAGTTTGATTTGATATGAAATTCTAGGTTGGAAATTCTTTTCTTTAAGAATGCTGAATATGGGCTGAGGATGGATCACCTGAGGTGATCACCAGAGGTCAGGAGTTCAAGACCAGCCTGGCCAATGTGGTGAAACCCCGTCTCTACCAAAAAAATACACAACTTAGCCAGATGGGGTGACTATAATGTCAGCTACTGGGGAGGCTGAGGCAGGAGAATCACTTAAATCTGGGTTGGGCGGGGGCGGGCTGAGGTTGCAGTGAGCCGAGATGGCACCATTTAACTCTAGCCTGGGCGCAAGAGTGAAACTCCATCTCAAAAAAAAAATTGCTGAATATGGGCCCCCAATCTCTTCTGGCTTCTAGGGTTTCTGCTAAAAGGTCTGCTGTTAGCCTAATGAGGTTCCCTTTGTAGGTGACCTGTCCTTTCTCATTAGCTACCTTTAGCATTTTTTTCTGTCATTTAGACCTTGGAGAATCTGATGACTATGTGTCTTGGGGATGGTCTTTTTATGTAGTATTTTGCAGGGGTTCTCTGCATTTCTTGAATTTGAATGTTGGCCTTTCTAGCAAAGTTGGGGAGATTTTCATGGATGATATACTGAAATAAATTTTCCAAGTTCCTTGATTTCTCTCCCTTTCTTTCAGGAATGCCAATGAATCATAGATTTGGTTTATGTACATAATCCCATATTTCTTGGAAGTTTTGTTTGTTCTTCTTTATTGTTTTTTCTTTATTTTTGTCTGACTGAGTTATTTCAGGGAACTGGTCTTTGAACTCTAGATTTTTTTACTCAGCTTGGTCTGTTCTGCTGTTAATACTTGCAATTGTATTCTGAAATTCTTAAAGTGCTTTTTTTCAGCTCTATCAGTTCAGTCTGGTTCATTATTAAAATGACCATTTCATCTTTTATCTGCTGTATCATTTTATTGTATTCCTTAGAATCCTTGGTTTGGGTTTCAAATTTCACCTGAATCTCAATGATCTTTGTTCCTATCCATTTTCTGAATTCTGTTTCTGTGATTTCAGCCATTTCAGCCTGGTTAAGAGCCATTGCTGCGGAGTGAATGCGGTCATTTGGAGGTAATAAGACACTGGGGTTTTGAGTTGCCAGAGTCCTTGTGCTGGTTCTTTCTCATCTTTTTGGGCTGAAGTTCCTTCAGTCTTTGAAATTTGTCTCCTTCGTGTAGGTTTTTTTTTTTTTTTTTTTGATGCTTTTATCTTCTTTGAAGTTTTTGGGGGTTTGATTGTGGTATAAGGTGGGTGCAGTTGACTGGTTTTGTTTCTGGAAGATTACAGGGGCCTAAGTCTTAGCTCAGCACTCCTGGGCTGCATGTTCTAACTCTGGGGGAGTGGTATTAGGTTTCTGTCTTTGTTCTCTGGCCCCTTAAGTTGGGAACCTGCTGTGCTGGAGGGGCCAAGGTGTTCCCAGACCACTGGCTACAACACTTTGATGGGTGGTGCCAGCCAATGTGCTTCATTGGGTGGTGGCAGCAGGATCTGTGCTCCCTTTGCACATGCCAGCAGCAGTGGCGGTACAGTGGGGTGCATGCTTATCAGCTGGGGTGGTGTGCTGGTGGGCATAGGGATGTCAGCCTCTGTGTGGGTGTTCACAGTGACTGCAGTGGCAGCGTTAGGGGTGACAGGGACACTGGTGTCCATTCATGTGTTTGTGGCAGGGTTGGGTAGGGGTTCAGGTCCTGGTGGATGTTGGGCTCATGGCCTTCATGTGCGTGTTCTTATGGTGGCAGTGGCAGGTGTAGGGCTGGTGGTCTCTGTGTGTGCATTTGCACTGGCAGCAATGGCAGTGCAAGGCTAGGGGTGGTGCTGCTGATCTCCATGTGTGTGTCTGCACCAACAATGGTGGCCCAGCAGTGAGGGTGGCAGAGTATGCTCATGC
The DNA here is from genome assembly GCF_000001405.40 of Homo sapiens. Lineage (NCBI taxonomy): Eukaryota > Metazoa > Chordata > Mammalia > Primates > Hominidae > Homo > Homo sapiens. The sequence goes on from NC_000014.9 coordinate 37,778,480, forward strand.
CAGCAGCTAGTGGCATGGTGGGGTGCACATGCAATTGCGCATCATTGAGGAAGGGATGGTGAAATCTGCCCACATGTGTGTGCACCTACAAAGTGATGAGGGAGTGGCCATTGATGACTGTGGGCCAGCAAAGCAGAGTTGGGGAGGCCCTGGTGGAGGGAGGTTGCAGGTGGACCGGTGCCTGTCATCTGGAACTGCTCTGCTGGACCCCTCCAATAGTCAGGGGTGGTCTGCCAGTGCAAGAGGTATGACGTGGACCCCTGGGAGGCACCCTGGTTGGGCATCTGAGGCTGCACTATGAGCAGGTGTGGCCACCCTGGGGTCCTGGGAGAGGCCAGCAGACATGGGAGGGCACTCAAGTTGGACTGGCATCATCTCCAGGGCAAGGTTGCCCTGCTTTATTGAGGCCCAACAACTCCCCTAGGGCTAAAGTCTCCAAGGGGAGCATGGCAGACCTTGGGGTATGGGTATCCCTGACTGTGCTTCATTGCAGACTTTCCTGCTCCAAACCCTCTGGGCTTTGCACAAGCTGGAATTTTGCCCCACCACCTTTCTAAGAAGCTCTCTGCCAGCTTAAGTGTCCATGGGGGTCATGAGGTCTCCTGCTGCCAGGATTCCAGAAGTCTGTGGTGAGAGCAGGTTGCTGCTTTCCTGCTCAACTCATCCTTTCCCCAGGAGTCACTGGGAGCCAGAAATGGGTCCCAGTTCATGGTAGCCCCATGCAGGGTTCCCAAGTTCCTCCCCATTCAATGCTTCATCTTTGTCCTCTTTCTGTTCATTCTCAATGCATTCTCTATGAAGATCTGCTGCGAGTGCCAGTCTTTCTGATGTCCGTGTCCCTCAGTGGCAGGTGTTCCTCCTGTCTGTGACTAGTTGGCCTGCTTAGAAGTCTTTTTTTTGGCTTCCTTATTTTGAAGGATAAGTGCCCCTTGGCCATTATATACTTTTAGGTGGATCATTTAAAAATAGTACTGCATTTTCTTTGTCTTTAAAATTTTAAATCTATATTCATGGTAAAATTGGTCTCTATAGTGACTACTATATTTCAGCATTTGACTACTTTTTAAAAAATTGATTAAGTGTTCCATCTTTTCTTAGAAACATGTCCTTTATTATTAGATATTTTTTGTTCTTTGAAAGTTTGGAATAACTTGCCTCTAAAATTATCCCAGCTTACAGCCATTTGCTGAGAGGGCAAAATTTTTTGAAACTCTTTATAAATTATTCCCTTGTTATTGGTCTATTCTGGTTATCTACTTCTTCAATTGAAGGGACATTACTTGCAGGAAGGGATCAAATTAGTTGGAGGAGAACAAAAAGGTTAATTGAAGGTATTATTAGGTGGTGGTGTCTCAGGGGGCCTCATATGCCATTTTTAAAGAATTGGCCTTATCCCATTACCAATATGGGCCATGGAAAGAAAGTTTTTGAGAAAGTAGGTCTTTATTATATTACAGTCAAATCTTATCACTCCAGCTCTAGGAATAGAGTAAAATAAGAGCCCAGGTGTGAGCTGATGAAGGTCTGAATTACTGACGAAGTTGAAACAAATGCAAAAGCGAGTCTGTTTGAATGAATGAATGAATTAATTAATGGCATGCTACACAGAATATTACAAAAGGTTTATTCTGTAAAATTTTAAGTTCAGAAACATATATATGCTCAAAATTAATTAGTAATATTTTTTAGCAGTGAATACTAATTAAAAATAAATACAAAGCTCTTCTATTTATTAGAAAATTAGTGAAACATTTTTTTCCTCAACTTTTAAGTTCAGGGGTACATGTGCCAGATGTTCACATAGGCACATTTTTGTTACATAGGTAAATGTGTGCCTTAGTGGTTTGACACACAGATCATCCCATCACCTAGGTGTTAAGCCCAGTATCCATTAGCGATTCTTCCTGATGCTATCCCTCCCCTCACCCCTCTTCTGACAGGCCCCAGTGTGTGTTGTTCCCTTTCATGCATTCATGTGTTGTCATCATTCAGCTCCCATTTATAAGTGAGAACATGCAGTGTTCGGTTTTCTGTTCCTGTGTTAGTTTGCTGAGGATAATGGCTTCTAACTCCATCCACGTCCCTGCAAAAGACATGTTCTCATTTTCTTTTATGGCTGTGTAGTATTCCATGGTATATATGTACCACATTTTCTTTTTTTAAATTATACTTTAAGTTCTGGGTTACATCTGCAGAATGTGCAGCTTTGTTACCTAGGTATACATGTGCCATGGTGGTTTGCTGCACCCGTCAACCCATCACCTACATTAGATATTTATCCTAATGTTATCCTATCCCTAGCCTCCCACCCACCATGGACCCCGGTGTGTGGTGATCCCCTCCCTGTGTCTATGTGTTCTCGTTGTTCATCTCCCAGTTATGAGTGAGAATATGTAGTGTTTGGTTTTCTGATCTTGTGATAGTTTGCTAAGAACGATGATTTCCAGCTTCATCCATGTCCCTGCAAAGGATGTGAACTCATCCTTTTGTATGGCTGCATAGTATTCCATGGTGTATATGTGCCACATTTTCTTAATCCATTCTATCATTGGTAGACATTTGAGTCAGTTCCAAGTCTTTGCTATTTTGAATAATGCCACCATAAACATACGTGTGCATGTGTCTTTATCATAAAATGATTTATAATCCTTTGTGTATATGCCCAGTAATGGGATTGCTGGAGCAAATGGTATTTCTAGTTCTAGATCCTTGAGGAATTGCCACACTGTCTTCCACAATGGTTGAACTAATTTACACTCCCACCAACAGTGTAAAAGTGTTCCTATTTTTCCACAACCTCCCCAGCATCTGTTGTTTCCTGACTTTTTAATGATTGTCATTCTAACTGGAGTAAGATGGTATCTCATTATGATTTTGATTTGCATTTCTCTAATGACCAGTGATGATGAGCATTTTTTCATATGTCTGTTGGCTGCATAAATGTCTTTTTTTTGAAAAGTGTTCATATCCTTTGCCCATTTTTTGATGGGGTTGTTTGATTTTTCCTTGTAAATTTGTTTACATTCTTTGTAGATTCTGGATATTAGCCGTTTGTCAGATGGGTAGATTGCAAAAATTTTCTCCCATTCTGTAGGTTGCCTGTTCACTCTGATGGTAGTTTCTTTTGCGGTGCAGAAGCTCTTTAGTTTAATCAGATCCCATTTGTCAATTTTGGCTTTTGTTGCCGTTACTTTTGGTGTTTTAGACGTGAAATCCTTGCCCATGCCTATGTCCTGAATGGTAATGCCTAGGTTTTCTTCTAGGATTTTTATGCTTTTAGGTCTGATGTTTAAGTCTTTAATCCATCTTGAGTTAATTTTTGTATAAGGTGTAAGGAAGGGATCCAGTTTCAGCTTTCTACATATGGCTAGCCAGTTTTCCCAGCACCATTTATTAAGTGGGGAATCCTTTCCCCATTGCTTGTTTTTGACAGGTTTGTCAAAGATCAGATGGTTGTAGGAGTGTGGTATTATTTCTGAGGGCTCTGTTCTGTTTCATTGGTCTATATCTCTGTTTTGGTACCAGTACCATGCTGTTTTGGTTACTGTAGCCTTGTAGTATAGTTTGAAGTCAGGTAGCGTGATGCCTCCAGCTTTGTTCTTTTGGCTTAGGATTGTCTTGGCAATGCGGGCTCTCTTTTGGTTCCATATGAACTTTAAAGTAGTTTTTTTTAGTTCTTTGAAGAAAGTCATTGGTAGCTTGATGGGGATGGCATTGAATCTATAAATTACCTTTGGCAGTATGACCATTTTCACGATATTGATTCTTCCTATCCATGAGCATGGAATGTTCTTCCATTTGTTTGTATCTTCTTTTATTTCATTGAACAGTGGTTTGTAATTCTCCTTGAAGAGGTCCTTCACATCCCTTGTAAGTTGGATTCCTAGGTATTTTATTCTCTTTGAAGCAATTGTGAATGGGAGTTCACTCATGATTTGGCTCTCTGTTTATCTGTTATTGGTGTATAGGAATGCATGTGATTTTTGCACATTGATTTTGTATCCTGAGACTTTGCTGAAGTTGCTTATCAGCTTAAGGAGATTTTGGGCTGAGACGATGGGGTTTTCTGAATATACAATCATGTCATCTGCAAACAGGGACAATTTGACTTCCTCTTTTCCTAATTGAATACCCTTTATTTCTTTCTCCTGCCTAATTGCCCTGGCCAGAACTTCCAACACTATGTTGAATAGGAGTGATGAGAGAGGGCATCCCTGTCTTGTGCCAGTTTTCAAAGGGAATGTTTCCAGTTTTTGCCCATTCAGTATGATATTGGCTGTGGGTTTGTCATAAATGGCTCTTATTATTTTGAGATACGTCCCATCAATATCTAATTTATTTAGCGTTTTTAGCATGAAGGGCTGTTGAATTTTGTCAAAGGCCTTTTCTGCATCTATTGAGATAATCATGTGGTTTTTGTCTTTGGTTCTGTTTATATGCTGGATTACATTTATTGATTCGTGTATGTTGAATCAGCCTTGCATCCCAGGGATGAAGCCCACTTGAACATGGTGGATAAGCTTTTTGATGTGCTGCTGGATTCGGTTTGCCAGTATTTTATTGAGGACTTTTGCATCGATGTTCATCAGGGATATTGGTCTAAAATTCTCTTTTTTTTGTTGTGTCTCTGCCAGGCTTTGGTATGAGGATGATGCTGGCCTCATAAAATGAGTTAGGGAGAATTCCCTCTTTTTCTATTGATTGGAATAGTTTCAGAAGGAAGGGTACCAGCTCCTTTTTGTACCTCTGGTAGAATTCGGCTGTGAATCTGTCTGGTCCTAGACTCTTTTTGGTTTGGTAGGTTCTTAATTATTGCCTCAATTTCAGAGCCTGTTATTGGTCTATTCAGGGATTCAATTTCTTCCTGGTTTAGTCTTGGGAGGGTGTATGTGTCCAGGAATTTATCCAATTCTTCTAGATTTTCTAGTTTATTTGCATAGAGATGTTTATAGTATTCTCTGATGGTAGTGTGTATCTCTGTGGGATTGGTGGTGATATCCCCTTTATTATTTTTTATTGCATCTATTTGATTCTTCTTCCTTTTTTTCTTTATTAGTCTTGCTAGTGGTCTATCAATTTTGTTGATGTTTTCAGAAAAATAGCTCCTGGATTCATTGATTTTTTGAAGGATTTTTTGTGTCTCTATCTCCCTGAGTTCTGCTCTGATCTTAGTTATTTCTTGCCTTCTGCTAGCTTTTGAATGTGTTTGCTCTTGCTTTTCTAGTTCTTTTATTTGTGATGTTAGGATATCCATTTTAGATCTTTCCTGCTTTCTCTTATGGGCATTTAGTGCTATAAATTTCCCTCTACACACTGCTTGAAATGTGTCCCAGAGATTCTGGGATTTTGTGTCTTTGTTCTCACTGGTTTCAAAGAACATCTTTATTTCTGCCTTCATTTTGTTATTTACCCAGTAGTCATTCAGGAGCAGGTTGTTCAGCTTCCATGTAGTTGAGCAGTTTTGAGTGAGTTTCTTAATCCTGAGTTCTAGTTTGATTGCACTGTGGTCTGAGAGACAGTTTGTTATAATTTCTGTTCTTTTACATTTGCTGAGGAATGCTTTACTTCGAACTGTGTGGTCAATTTTGGAATAAGTCCGATGTGGTGCTGAGAAGAATGTATATTCTGTTGATTTGGGGTGGAGAGTTCTGTAGATGTCTATTAGGTCTGCTTGGTGCAGAGCTGAGTTCAATTCTTGTTAACTTTCTGTCTTGTGGACCTGTCTAATGTTGACAGTGGGGTGTTAAAGTCTCCCATTATTATTGTGTGGGAGTCTAAGTCTCTTTGTAGGTCTCTAAGGACTTGCTTTATGAATCTGGGTGCTCCTGTATTGGGTACATATATATTTAGGATAGTTAGCTCTTTTTGTTGAATTGATCCGTTTACCATTATGTAATGGCCTCCTTGTGTCTTTTGATCTTTGTTGGTTTAAAGTCTGTTTTATCAGAGACCAGGATTACAACCCCTGCTTTTTTTTGTTTTCCATTTGCTTGGTAGATCTTCCTCCATCCCTTTATTTTGAGCCTATGTGTGTCTCTGCACGTTGAGATGGGTCTCCTGAACACAGCACACTGATGACTCCTGACTCCTTATCCAATTTGCCAGTCTGTGTCTTTTAATTGGAGCATTTAGCCCATTTACATTTAAGGTTAATATTGTTATATGTGAATGTGATCCTGTCATTATGATGTTAGCTGGTTATTTTGCTTGTTAGTTGATGCAGTTTTTTCCTAGCATCGATGGTCTTTACAATTTGTCATGTTTTTGCAGTGGCTGGTACTGGTTGTTCATATCCATGTTTAGTGCTTCCTTCAGGAGCTCCTGTAAGGCAGGCCTGGTGGTGACAAAATCTCTCAGCATTTGCTTGTCTGTAAAGGATTTTATTTCTCCTTCACCTTTGAAGCTTTGTTTGGCTGGATATGAAATTCTGGGTTGAAAATTCTTTTCTTTAAGAATGTTGAATATTGGCCCCCACTCTCTTCTGGCTTGTAGAGTTTCTGCTGAGAGATCAGCTGTTAATCTGATGGGCTTCCCTTTGTGGGTAACCTGAACTTTCTCTTTGGCTGCACTTAAGATTTTTTCCTTCATTTCAACTTTGGTGAATCTGACAATTATGTGTCTTGGAGTTGCTCTTCTCAAGGGGTATCTTTGTGACATTCTCTGTGTTTCCTGAATTTGAATGGTAGCCTGCCTTGCTAGGTTGGGGAAGTTCTCCTGGATAATATCCTGAAGAGTGTTTTCCAACTTGGTTTCATTCTCCCCATCACTTTCAGGTACACCAATCAGACATAGATTTGGTCTTTTCACATAGTCCCATATTTCTTGGAGGCTTTGTTTATTTCTTTTTACTCTTTTTTCTCTAAACTTTTCACTTCATTTCATTAATTTGATCTTCAATCACTGATACCCTTTCTTCCAGTTGATTGAATTGGCTACTGAAGCTTGTGCATGCATCACGTAGTTCTTGTGCCATTGTTTTGAACTCCATCAGGTCATTTAAGGTCTTCTCTATGCTGTTTATTCTAGTTAGCCATTCGTGTAATCTTTTCTCAAGGTTTTTAGCTGCTTTGCTTTGGGTTTGAATATCCTCCTTTAGCTCAGAGAAGTTTGTTTTTACCGATCGTCTGAAGCCTTTTTCTCTCAACTCGTCGAAGTCATTCCTCATCCAGCTTTGTTCCGTTGCTGGCGAGGAGCTGCGTTCCTTTGGAGGAGAAGAGGTGCTCTAATTTTTAGAATGTTCAGCTTTTCTGCTCTGGTTTATCCCCATATTTTTGGTTTTATCTATCTTTGGTCTTTGGTGATGGTGACATACAGATGAGGTTTTGGTGTGGATGTCCTTTCTGTTTGTTAGTTTTCCTTCTAACAGTCAGGACCCTCAGCTGCAGGTCTGTTGGAGTTTGCTGGAGGTCCACTCCAGATGCTGTTTGCCTGGGTATCACCAGTGGAGGCTGCAGAACCACACATGTTGCAGAATGGCAAATGTTGCTGCCTGATTGTTCCTCTGGAAGCTTTGTCTCAGAGGGGCACCCGGCTGTATGAGGCGTCTGTTGGCCCCTAGTGGGAAGTGCCTCCCAGTTAGGCTACTCGGGGGTCAGGGAGTCACTTGAGGTGGCAGTCTGTCCATTCTCAGATCTCAAACTCCATGCTGGGAGAACCACTACTCTCTTCAAAGCTGTCAGACAGGGACGTTTAAGTCTGCAGAAGTTTCTGCTGCCTTTTGTTCAGCTATGCCCGGCCCACAGAGGTGGAGTCTACAGAGGCAGGCAGGCCTCCTTGAGCTGTGGTGGGCTCCACCCAGTTCGAGTTTCCCAGCCGCTTTGTTTACCTACTTAAGTGTCAGCAATGGCAGCCGCCCCTCACCCAGCCTCGTTGCTGCCTTGCAGTTTGATCTCAGACTGCTGTGCTAGCAGTGAGCAAGGCTCCGTGGGCGTGGGACCCTCCAAGCCAGGTGCGGGATATAATCTACTGGTATGCCATTTGCTAAGACTGTTGGAAAAGCGCAGTATTAGGGTTGGAGTGAGTCAATTTTCCAGGTGCCATCTGTCATGGCTTCCCTTGGCTAGGAAAGGGAATTCCCGGACCCCTTGCACTTCCCGGGTGAGGCGGTGCCTGGCCCTGCTTTGGCTCACTGTCCGTGGGCTGCACCCACTGTCCTGCACCAACTGTCCGACAAGCCCCAGTGAGATGAACCCGGTACCTCAGTTGGAAATGCAGGAATCACCCGTCTTCTGCATCGCTCACGCGGGGAGCTGTAGACTGGAGCTGTTCCTATTTGACCATCTTGGAACCTCCCACTATTTTTATTTCTTCTAAGTAGGCAACCTAGTAGCTTCTTTCTTCTGTTTTTCCTTGTCATCTTTATTTTATTTCTAAAAATGGATATGCTTCACATTATTAACTAATTGAAGATGAGTTTTTTGGCATTGATCTAAGTCAGTGATAATTTCAAAATTGGAGTCAGAAGTTAATGATAAAGGAATCCAGTTTACACAACTAATGCAATAGCTTTCATCCGTGAAAGAGCAGACTTTCACGTATTTGGATGTATCTTCAAGCTCCAGAGAAAAACCTCCTAAAACTTCTACTCACTAGGGCCCATGTTCTGCAAAATGGATTATTTTGCTTTTCTAGGAAGCAATTTTGTATAAATTAGTGCTTAATACATTTTTGGGAATCAATAAATAATAAATGTCATACTTATTTTATTGACATACGTCCTTGATAAATGTAAGAAATAAAATTAGTAAGCATATAATTAATATGTAGAATGTACCTGATAAGCATATAATTATGTATACAATAAAGTGTACTTCAATTTATAAAAAGTTTGTATCATTTTTGCTGTTAACATCATGACTAAACTCTCTTGTGAAGCAAGGAGAAACATTTACAAATTGTTATTCAAATATAAAATTAGTTGTACAGGTTTACCAAAAAGAGAAAATGTATACTTTACAGTACTTGTTAAAACAAACTTTTTTTTCCTAGGACATACCGAGGGATTGCATATGTTAAATGGAAATTTTATAAAGAAGCAACTCAAGATTTTTCTGCTGCAATTCACTTAGATCCTAATAACTGGTTAGCGTTGTATTATCGAGGTTGCTTATTCAGAAAGAGTAACCCTTTTAGAGCGCTACAGGATTATAGTGTTTCAGGTACTTTGCCTTCAATTACATGTATATAGCAACCCAATCTGAGATTCAACAGCTCAGTTTCATAGTGGTGAATGGTAATGTGGGTTCACTAATGTAATATGTATACTACTATATACTAATATACATTATAAGTATATATTACATGAGCTTACGCATTTTAATATTCTTATATAGGTATACAATATATGAATATATAGCTATAATGGTTTAGCTATAAGTGTTTCTAATATGCCCTTTATGTGTGTGTGTGTCTGTGTGTGTGTGTGTGTGTGTGTGTGTGTGTGTGTTAACTGTGGCAAGGGGAGAATGTGACAGCAAAGAATCTCTTTCTATAATATACTGGGTTCTGAAGATTTTTCTGCAAACCCAGTCCTGTTTCCTAGTCAGCTTGCTAAAATGGCAGTAAACTGTCCTGGTGGGCTGTGTCCTGCTCCATAGGCTCAGCCCAAGGGATTTGTCAAATTCAGAGTTTTTAACCCCTAAACTAAAAATAGGTTTTGAGAATCCTTAGTAGCTAAGGACACCAACAGCTAAAAATGGCCATTTCTGTGTTACTCTCAATCAGCACACTCCTGGTTTATGCATGTGCCCAGCACAATTGTGAGCATAGAGTCAGTGCTCAGTAAACAGCCTCCAACAGAATGAATGAGTCCATCCTGACTGATGAAATCCAGCCTGAGTCTAACACTCCAGATATGCCTGTGTTCACCTGGGTGCAAAGTTCTGGAATCCCATCATCCTAGATTAGACAGTGTCTAGAGATGAAGAGACAACTAGATTTCCACAGGGAAGAAGAGCTAAGGTGATAGTTACTTGATTGTCTTAAGTCCATTTGCCTTCTGAGGTCACCCTTCTAATTAATATTAAAATAAAATAACTCAAATTTCATTCTGTGTGTTGACAGGAGTCTAGTGTCCTCCCCTCTATTTCCAGTGATTCTTGGGAAAGGGGACTGAGGATTTCTGTCTAATTCTTTCGTCATCTTTGAGTCCAATTTCAGCTTTTGGCTGGATTTCCCATCTTTGCCCACCCTCACTTCTGTGGCTACTGTTCTCTCGGCTTTGCTTTTTCCCAGGTCTGTCCTTCATTCCCCAGTGTAACATCAACACAAACCTGTTATGTCTACTAATCTGTTACTGAATGCTTTAGGGTTCAGAGGATAAATTTAGCACAGATAACTTAAATTTGAAGATCAAACCACCCCCATTTCTAGAAGTTTATCTGGCTCTATCAGCCCTATCCATCTGCCACTGGCCACATCCCTTTCTCTCTGATCTTCCTCTAAAGGCCTCTTTCTCATATTTCCCTCTTATACAAGTTTTGGGCTTCTCATGCCCTCCTCTCCCCACTTCTAGGCTATCACAATAATTGAACAAAATTCCTATTATTTAATTATCCAGAGCAGACAAACTTGATTTCAGCCTCCATCCTTTCCTACCAGACAGCCCAAGGAGTTTTATCACCTGCAACAAAAAAGGACTCTCAAGATATTTTGCTAAGCTAATAATAATAATAATGATATCTAACATTTATTGGGCATTTTGCTACTTGCAAAGTGCTGTTTAAAGTGCCAAATAAGAAGTGTCTCAATATTCAGAGTAATGCTAGGAGCTCGGTACTATTTTCATTCACATTTTACTGATGAGAAAGCCATAGCACAGAGAGGTTAAATAATATTTTTTTTCCTTTTTCCTTAAGAAGAGTTTTTTTATTGTTTGTTAAGAGCAGCCACCCAAACTGCAGCTGATTTTTTAATTGCTAGCCAATCATACTGTGAACTGAGCAGTTAGATTTTCTTCAAGTGATAACAGTCATGCGCCACATAATGATGTTTCGGTCAAAAACGGACTGTATATACTATGGTTAAACCTGATATATGGCACTTGACATTCGCATTGTGGATCAAGTAGGGGAAACGATTGATATTCATTAATGGTGTTGGGACATTTGGTTTCCTCTTATATATATATATATATATATTGTATATACTCTATGTATATTCTATAATATATTCTATATTCTGTATATATGTATATATATAAAAATATATACCATCTAGGTTTGTGAAAGTACACTCTATGATCTTTGCACAATAAAGAAATCCCCTAATAATGCATTTCTCAGAACATATCCCTACTGTTAAGTGGTGCATGACTGTACTTCCTTAATGTGTATGATCATTGCTGACACTGGCTATAGTTCCCTAAATCCAGTACCGTGAATATTTTTGTCCTAGACTGCAAACATTATGCATATTTTGACAAAACTTTGCACCTTAAGGCAGAATGTCATGAGAAGCTTTAAAGATATCTGTCAAAACTTGTGGAAACCCCATCTAATTCACTAACATGTTTTGAAAGTGAAGGGGCAATCAGTAGGCGAGAGACATGAGATGACCTCTAGACAGGTTACTGATGAGAGTCACACACCTGGATTACTGAGAGGAGGTTCTTTTTCTCCCTTCCATTATTAGGGATGTGCATCTCGCATCTCGGATAGCTGTCATTTGGGATGTGCATAGTCAAGCCGTCCGCCTTACCTCCAAGCTCTGTTTGCCTTGGTGTAGCCTCTTTGCTTGTCCATCCCGGTTTGTGTGTGAGCCTGACCTCTGCTTTCTGCCTTCAGGACTAGTACTCAAGCCTGTTCCTTGGCCAGTAACGATGGCTTCCTGATAAAATCAGGCCATCAAGGGTCATGGCACCCTTCTGACTGGAGTTGGATTCTAGGCCAGTCTTTGCCATTGACTGGTATATCATGACCATGGTCAATGTACTTACCCCCTTTGGACTTTAATCTCCTCACCTATACGGTGAGTGGACTATGCTAGATTCCAATCAGGATTTAATTCAGCTCTAATGAGTTTGTGAACCACAATTGCCACATTGTTACTAATAAATACATTTTAATGTACAATACTATTATTTAACTTACCAAACAAGTACACTCATCATAGATATGTTTCTATTTTATATAATGTTAAAAAATGAGAATAAGCAATAGGAAGTTTACAGACTAAAGTATAATTTACCTATGGTTATTTTAGAACCTGAATGAAATACATTTTTTTAAACTTTTTAAGCACTCATAAATGATGGCTATGAGAATCTTGGTTGTTTTCTACATCGGGGAATAGTCTATGCACATCTAAAACTTTGGCTGCTGGCAATTTGTGACTTTGAAACTGTCATTTCTCTAGAAAGGTATGTTTTCCTTTTCATATTTATTGATTTCAGTTTTGTAAAAAATCGAAAACCTGAAATGGGAGAAAAAGTTTCTTTCCCCTCATCATTGATAACCTAGAAAAAATGAGACACTTATAAAGTCATCCTAGAATTAGAATACTACTTCTAAAAACAAGATTACTTCAAAAATAAAACCTGTTCTCAACATCTGTTTGCCTTGGGTGTTTTTGCAAATTTTAGAAGTTAAATGGGTTTGACAGGAGTTAAATCTATGGATAAGGAATCAATACTATTGAGGATTTTGGAGATGCCCAGGCTAGAGCTTTTTGAAATTAACTTCATGGAAAACTGTCATTAAGTTTTAAAATAATGAAAAAACATTCTGCTTGGTGTATGATTGCTATGGACAGGATACAACTCAATGGAAGGCAGCCTTCTATTTAGAACTTCTGGCTTCATTTTGTTTAGTAAAGCAAAATAAAAACACTAATACCATGTAGACCATATGTTCAGGGAGAAATATAGACTGAAAGTTAAATGCACTAGTCAGAAAGTCAAACTGTAAATCACAGAATTTAATTAAAAATTCCCCTTTTTTTCCAAAGAAGGATTTATGAAAAGGGAAGGTGTCAGAAAGAGTAACTAATCATGCCAATTCCTTGCCAACCAGCAGACTGTTTACTTAATCTATCCAAGGTAAACTTTGAACTTGACACAGGAAATTCATGGAGCATGGCTCCCATAATGACCACAGTGGTTTTCTTTTGGACATTTTTGAGCCAGAAAGAAAAAGAAAAGAGTGTCAGTTTCAAAGAGACAGAAAACAGGAAGTAGGAACTTTGGTGTCTAGGCAAGGGGTCAGGGATTCTGTGAGGTTGGATTATTGGATGGGTGGTTTTCATTTTGAAATAGAGGCATCAAACATGATAATTTCTAAGGTTATTTCTCTACTGAAAATCAGTTGATTTTAAGAGAGATAAATAACATTTATTTGATACAGAAAAGCTGTGTTAATATGTACGTGGAGAGGATTTTAACCCCAAGCCACCAAACCCTTGAATATGACTGTTTCTCACTGTCACTCGTGGCCAATAGAACATAGCCTGAGGTAAAGACTCTTTAGTTGAGAAAAACTAAGCTTGTGACTCAAGATAACGGAAAGGTAAATCAAAGAAGAGTAAAGTTTTGCTAAAAGTCTAGGAGACTTCAGGAATTCTGTTCCTAGCGCAGACCTTAAAAACATTAATTCCTTACTAAGGGTTTCATAAAGGTGTTTATAGTTTTTCATAGAGAGCAGCTAACTAATTTACTTTCCTTTGTAAAACATTAAAAAATACTCTGATGAATACTGATGCATCTGTTTCATTCAGTTTATTCCTAATTGGAGAACATTTGGAATAATTAAAAATGTTTAACAAGATTTCACTTTCTCATTTTTTTTTAGAACTATTACTTTGGCTTATGTAAATATTGGCCTCATACATCTGCTACACCTGGATAACTACACGGAAGCTATTTGGCAATTTTCTGAGGCTATTAGAATTGATCCTTTATGTATTCAAAGCTATCTTTGTCGGGCGGAAACCTATTTTAAGGTATTTAAGGCTCGAGAACCTTGATTTTTTTAAAAAAACTTTAATTTTCTGGATATTTGTTCAACATAATTTTAATATATATACATATTTTAGCTAATTGTAGGGGCTAATGCATTTATAAACAATGTGTTAAGCTGGTAGTTAACTCTAATTACTCATTTATAAAGCCTCTACTTTCAAGGTGTGCATTTTTATGTCTTTCACTTTTGAAAATAATACCTTTTTTTTTCTTAATTACAAAAGCATTATATACTTATTGCAGGTAATATATGCATGCGATAGGAATAAACTAAAAACTATTATCTATAATTTTATTCTCTAGGGATAGCTGCTATTAACAATTTGAGTCTATGGTCCAATGTTGTGTGTGTGTGTGTGTGTGTGTGTGTGTGTGTGTGTGTGTGTACAGGTGAGTAAGTAGGTTCATACAATGGGATCCAACCATAGAATGGGATACTGACCATTCATACTTACTTTTAATTTTGTTTAAGTTTTATAAGTTGTTCACATTAAAAATAAATGTTATATGCCCCTGCCGTGACAAATTAAAACAGCACAATAAATAGGAAAAATCCTCTCCAATTCCAGCCAGATCTGATTTTCAGAGATAACGCTGTTAACTCTTGTCTCTACCCTTCAAAGTAGACACCCATTTATACCACTTCACCTCTAACTGCCCTGTCCAAATACTGGTTTCTCACCAGGATGGATTTTCAAATAGCAGCCACAGTGATCTTGCCAAAACATGTCAGATTATTTCACTTCTTTGCTCAAGCCCTTCAATAGCTTCGCTTGTGTTTAGAATAAAAGCTAAATTCTACAAAAGCCAAAGGTCTGCAAGACCCCACAGGAGCTAGCTTCTAATTGCCTTTCTACCTTTGTCTCCTGTCTATGCTGGTTTCAGCCAGGATAAGCTAGGCTATACTGAGGTAAAAAAACAAAAAAACAAAAAACCCAAAAACCAAACCTTCAAAATTACTGTATTAAAACAAAGGTTTATTCCTTGCTCACACTGTATGTCCACAGAGGACTGCCTGGAGGCTCTGCCTCCATTATCTACATCTCAGGACCCAGTGTGACTAGAGTCCCATTCAGAGTCCTTACTCTGCTGACAATG